>NC_000003.12:160978301-161281331 GCF_000001405.40 Homo sapiens
CCTTGGCATCAGGGAATCTCCAGGGGAGGAAGCAAGCAATAAATAGTTTAGTCCGAGGCAGCATCTGAGCAGAACTGGTCTCCACAGTGGTGGCGGAAATAAGAGGTACGGGAGCAAGAGAGTATGAAATGGTGCCCAGGAGATGGCCTAGGCAAGCACAACAAATAAAATCTTAACTTCATAGCAAATGCATGTGAGCCCATCTTATGGTCATTTCTTGCATAACAACCATCTATAAAAGCTGAGGGCCAGGCACAGTGGCTCATGCCTGTACTACCAACACTTTGGGAGGCTTAAGTGGGAGAATTGCTTGAGCCCAGGAGTTCAAGATCAGCCTGGGTAACATGGTGAAACCCCATTTCTATAAAAATAAGAAAAATTAGCCAGGCATGGTGGTGCATACCCATAGTCCCAGTTACCCAGGAGGCTGATGCAGGAAGATTGCTTGAGCCCAGGAAGTTGAGGTTGCAGTGAGCCGTGTTCATGCTACTGTACTCCAGCCTGGGTGACAGAGCAAGACCCAGTTAAACAACAAGAAAGAAAGAAAGAGAGAAAGAGAGAGAGAAAGAAAGAAAGGAAAGAAAGTATTATTCATGTTTTTTTAAAGCTCTTGTATTGGACAGGAAAATGCATCTGAATACTCTCTATGTTGGACATACTCTATACTGGAATACTCTCTATATTGAACATGTAGAATATCGAGTGTATTCACATGCATTTATAGAAAAATATTGCATATAGCAGAAGATGAAAGAAAAGATGTTTTGTTTGATGTAACGGCTCAACAGGACAGGATCCTAACTCAAACCTAAATAATTTATCTTCACTTTTATCACTAATGAATTTAAATACCTGGGCCCTTCAACCTGAGTAGCATGGTGAGATGTAACATTCAAATTGGGGTTTATTTATTTGACAGTAATTTGTATTCATTTATTGATTTTCCAACCCACTTATTCCAGTTCAGGGTTACAGGTGTCTGGACCCTATCCTGACAGCTCAGGGCACAAGGTGGAAACCCACCTTGGACAGGACACCATCTCATCCCCATGGTGCACTCACACACACCCACTCAGACTGGAACCATGTAGACATGCCAGTTCATCTAAGGGGCACAACTCTAGGATATGGGAAGAAACCAGAGTACCTTGGGAGAACTCACACAGACATGGGAGAACATACAAATTCCTCATGGACAGTGGCCCCAGCCAGGAAACAATTTTTTTTTTTACATCAATATTCTAGCAAAATGATGTTGAATGAAATAACATTATTCAATGACCTGCTATATGTAAAAATTAGTTACCTTCCACAGATAAGAAACTCACAAGAGTGGTTACTTTGGGAATGAGGAATTGAGGAAGGAGACTTACTTTTTCACTGAGTACTCTTACTATATTGTCTGAATTTTTAACTTTGTCCATGTATTTTGTATTTCTTAAAATTTATAAAAATAAAACTAAACAAAACCTTCCTAATCCATTTCCCTTATCTTCAGTGCTAGAAATGGAATGTAATACCACAGAAAATCATACTTCTTGTTTTCAATAAAACTTTTCATCCTTAAGTCATATGTATCTTTGGAATAAGTCGACAAAGGAACTCAGCAACAAGACCAGACATCATGGAACTGCAGTGCCAAGGTCAGAGAAGGTCAATAATAAGGTCCAAGGCATGCCTGGACACCAGGGCTTCTACCATAGGTGCTTGGTAGCCTTTCTACCCTGGGCCAGAACTGGTTCCAGATTCCAGGGTAGGGCTGGCCTTATTGGAAAAAAAATAAAAATTCATCTGAAAGAGAGCAGGATTCATCGGTAGCATGCTGGTGGGGATCCAGCAGAGTTTCTGATGTCAATTTCTGTTGGTTGCCTCTGCTTCATCTCAGAGCTTGATCTTCTTGTGTCTGACAAGTTATTAGATTTGATGCTTTACTTGGCCTTTTAGTCAGATTTCTTCTCTCCTGAACTATGGCCAAACCTCTATTGCTTTTCTTTCAAGGCGGTGAAGTATAGTGAAAAGAGCCCAATTGGCTTCATGATAATTCTTTGTGATATTATACTTAATGGGGCTTTTTATGAAGATTAAAGATAATGGGCCAGGCACAGTGTCTCACGCCTGTAATCCCAGCACTTTGGGAGGCGTAGGACGGGGGATTGCTTGAGCTCAGGAGTTCAAGACCATCCTGGGCAACATGGCAAAACCCCGTCTCTACAAAAATTAGCTGGACACGGTGGCATGCACCTGTAGTCCCAGCCACTCAGAAGGCTGAGGTGAGAGGATCGCTTGAGCCCTGGAGGTTGAGGCTGCAGTGAGCTGTGATCATGCAATAGCACTCCAGCCTGGGTGACAGAGTGAGACCTTGGAAAGAAAGAAAGAAGGAAAGAAGGAAAGAGAGAAAGAGAGAGAAAAAAAAAGAGAGAGAGAGAGAGAAAAAGAAAGAGAAAGAAAGAAAGAGAAGGAAAGACGGAAAGAAAAGGAGAGGGAGGGAGGGAAGGGAGAGAGGGAGGGAGGGAAGGAAGGTAGAAGGAAGGAAAGATATAATGTGTGGAAAATGATGGACATGCAGTAAACACTCTACCAATGATAGTCTTTCTCTTGTTTTTGCTGTTACATGACGTAGCATGTACTTGATGTGGTGTACAGGGGTATTTCCCCAATCCCCTTCATGATGGAGAGGATTACCTATTATTATACTTGGCACAAATTAACTTCCTGTCCAGAGCATGACAGAAACCAGCAAAATGCTGACTCCATAAGCCTCCTCTTCCTTCCTTGCCCTGTCCTGTATGGAAAAATATTTCCTCAAGTTAAGAGTATTTGTATGGGTTTAATATCTTTATCTTTTCTAATACTGTGTATTAGTTACCTATTGCTGCATAACAAATTACTCCAAAATTTAGCAGCTTAAGACAATAAATGTTTATTAGCTCATATAATTTCTGAGGATCAGGAATCTAGGTTGGTTCTCTCATGTAGTTGCATTCAAGCTGTCAGCCAGGGGAGCAGTCTCTGAAGATTTAACTGGGGCTGTTCTGCTTCTGAATATACTCATGTGGCTCTTGGCAGAAAGCTTCATTTCCTGTCTACATGGGTTTCTTCATAAGGCCTCTTGCCACATGGCTTCCCTCAGTGTGAGTGATGTAAGAGACAGAGAGCAAGGGGGCACCCAAGACCAAAGCCACAGTCTTTTATAATGTGAATGTCGAAAGTGGTATACCACAGTTTCTGACAGAAGCTGGGGTTGGTCAAACAAACCAACCCTAATTTGGTGTGGTAGTATTCATACTAAGCAAGGGTATGAATACTAGGAGATGGAGATCATTGGGGGCCTCTTGGAGGCTAACTACCATAGGGTGTATTGCAAAAATATCTACTCTTACTCTTCCAACTCCTCCACTCTCTCTTCTACTATTATCACCTTTCCTTCTCATTTTATTTATTTATTTATTTATTTATTTATTTATTTATTTATTTTTATTGAGATGGAGTCTCGCTCTGTCGCTCAGGCTGGAGTACAATGGCAGGATCTCAGCTCACTGCAGCCTCTGCCTCCCAGGTTCAAGTGATTCTCCTGCCTCAGCCTCCTGAGTAACTGGGATTACAGGTGCACACCACCACACCCAGCTAATTATTTTTGTATTTTTAGTAGAGACGGGGTTTCACCACGTTGGCCAGGGTGGTCTCAAACTCCTGACCTGAAGTGATCCACCTGCCTTGGCCTCCCAAAGTGCTGGGATTACAGGCATAAGCCACTGCGCTTGGCCCCCTCTCGTTTTCTAATCACTACCTGCATCTCATTTCTTGGAAGTCCAAAGCTGGAGTGTTGAGCCCTGCACCTGGATGGCTTTAGGATTATTTAGACTCAGCATCCTTTCCAGTAATCACAGTGTACATTTCATCTCTCCAGGGTCAATGCCTTTGATGTATCAGTTTTTAAATATTTTGACTATCACTTCTGACTCCTCTAATTCATTAAGATATTTCCTTCTAGAGCTTCCTAACACTGTGCCTGGGCATCTCGACAGCTTTGAAATTTCAGATCAGTTTTTTATAGCGGCATCCTAAATGCTTCAAGATTAAGGCATGACTCTCTGGATAGCAAGAAAAAAAAATGTCTCTCTCCTTTATCACTCCCTCCTCCCTTTTGTTTTTCTCTTTGTTTCCTTAACTGTGTTCTAAAATTTATCACATTTTAAATTATATCTATTAAATAATTTGATCACTCATTCTGTTAATTTTTTAAATGGATGAGTAAAGAACCACATAAATTGCTTTTATATTTCACTTTAATGTTCGACCCAGCAGTTGCCCTCAGTACAAGTTTCCTATCCCTTTTTTATTGCTCTTGGTTGCCTTTTGTATTGTGTAGAGAAAAAGGAATGCAGCAAAAATGAGGAAGTCACTGAGGAGCTTGTCTTTTTCTTTCACTTTTTACTATGCCATAATTTCCCTTACTGTGGTCATCTATTTTTTCACCAAATCTCCACCTCTGATTCTCTGTTCCTAAAGAAAACAACAGTAAACATGTAAGCCTCTCATTGTATCTCCATTAGTGGAAGAAGACTGTGATGGAACTGCAAGTAACTTTCCTAGGGACTGCTCCACTGTGGCTAGATTTTTTAAAAATGTTATGAGGAAAGCATTATTTTTTAAAGAACTCATATTTTTAACTTTTTTCTCGTTTCAAATTGCTTTTTTGATCTATGGTGAATTCAATCTGAGATTAAGCATTAAAGAACTTGGGAAAACCAAAATGCCTTCACAGAATTAGAGATGCATTTGATTTTTGTACTCGAGAATCAGCTTGTGAGAAGTATTGGCCCCTGTAAATAGAGATAAACTAAGCCAAATTTGTCTGTAGGCCTTGCATTTTAAAATCACACCTGAAAGTGTTATGAGCCTGATATAATTGCATTTGCAAATAAAATGCAAGAAGGTCTAGGGCTCAGAGTACAATTAAATGTATTAAATTTTTCTTTTTGCTGTAATGACAGTAACTTTAGGCCTCTTCAGTTGACTGTACCTCTTTGTAAACCTTCCCCTGCAGGATAATCAGCATTCCACAGCCACTAAAGAAAATGAGCTTGTCTAAAAATAGTTGCCTGTTTACTAGATTTTAGCAGATTTTTTGGGGGGTGGTGGGATAGGGGGTGGGTAATATGAAAGCTTTACAAAATGAAATGAGGTCAAATATGACAGATGTGATCAAATGTACTTCTAATCTGTAAATCCCTGACTAGCTACAGTTGTGCTATTTTTAAATGTATACTTTGAAGTTATACTGAATTTATGACATTCTCAGCATTTTCCTATATCTACAAGCATTTGGGATTACTCTGTTGTATTCTGTGGGTTGGCGATCAGTGCATCATTGCTGGTGCCCACTGGCTCTTTATTGGGGGAACCCACCCCTGATAATTCTTCGTGGGTTCTTTTCTATTTACCTAAGTGTCAGCCAGTCTGAGAAATAAAGGGAAAGAGTACAAAGAGAGAAATTTTAAAGCTGGGTGTCCGGGGGAGACATCACATGTCAGCAGGTTCCATGATGTCCCCCAAGCCACAAAACCAGCAAGTTTTTATTAGTGATTTTCAAAAGGGGAGGGAGTGTACGAATAGGGTGTGGGTCACAGAGATCACTTGCTTTAAGGGCAACAAAAGATCACAAGACAGGAGGTTAGGGCGAGATCACAAGGTCAGGGCAAAACTAGAATCACTAATGAACTTCCGTGTCCCGCTGTGTATGCATTGTCATTGATAAACATTTTACCAGAGTTCAAGAGCAGAGAACTGGTCTGACTAGAATTTGCCAGGCTGGAATTTCCTAATCCTAGCAAGCCTTGGGGCACTGCAGGAGACTAGGGCATGTTTCATCCCTATCTACATCTGCATAAAGGCAGACACTCCCAGAGCGGCCATTTCAGAGGCCTTCCCTGGGAATGCATTCTTTTTCCAGGGCTGTTAATTATTAATATTCCTTACTGGGGAAAGAATTCAGCGATACTTCTCTTACCCATTTTTGGTAATAAGAGAAATATGGCTCTGTCCTGCCCAGCCCACAGGCAGCCAGACTTTAAGGTTATCTCCCTTGTTCCCTGAAAATCGCTGTTACCCTGTTCTTAAGGTGCCCAGATTTGATATTGTTCAAACACACATGCTCTACAAACAATTTGTGCAGTTAACACAATCACCACAGGGTCCTGAGGCGACATACATCCTCCTCAGTTTATGAAGATGATGGGATTAAGAGATTAAAGTAAAGACAGGTATAGGAAATCACAAGAGTATTGATTGGGGAATTGATAAATGTCCATGAAATCTTCACAATTTATGTTCTTCTGCCGTGGCTTCAGCTGGTCCCTCTGTTCAGGGTCCCTGACTTCCTGCAACAGGTCTTACTTAGTAGAGTGTCAAATGAGGTCCTGTTTTGCACTGCTTTTATTTGACAGGAATTATTTTCTAACCACCAAAAATAATAAAATTGATTTACTATGAACTCTTTCCTTTACAAGCAGTGGTTCTCTACCAGAGGCGATATCTACCTCCACCCCCATGGGACATTTGGCAATGTTGGGAGGCATTTTTAGTTGTCACAGCTTAGAAAGGGGAATGGGAGGGAGGGCTGGTGGTGTCTAGTGGGTAGAACCCAAGGATGCTGCTAAGTAAGCATTCTATAATGCACAGGACAGCCCCCAACAGCAACATTTATCTAACCAAAATGTAAGTAGTGCCAAGGTTGTCTTTAGAACAATAGTTTTCAACCTTTGTAGCATATTAAAGTCACCTTGGGAGGCTAATGCCCAGGCTGCATTCAGATGAATTACACTAGAGTCTTTGAGCAGTGGGACTCAGGCTTTAGTATTTTTATTTTATTAATTTTTAATTTCAATAGGATTTTGGGGAACAGATGGTGTTTTGTTACATGGTGATTTCCGAGATTTTGGTGTACCCATCACCCCAGCAGTGTACACTGTACCCAATGTGTATTCTCCCCCAATGACTCCACTGCGTAACCAAGATTGAGAACTGTTACTTTAGAGCAAAATTTTAAAGGGTAAGACTAGTTTAGACATCATCACAAATAGTTCCCTTACTAAAGTAGATGAAAGGACCTCATTAACATGTGGTTGGACCAATCAGGCATGTCCTAGTATAGTATTATAGTGAGGTTCAAATGAACTTTTAATATTCTCTAAAGCCAGTACTTAAAACATGAGAAACTGCTATTCTCATTCCCATATTGGAAGTTTGTTTTCCTTGTTTTTTTCTAATAAGTTCTTTCTTTTTCCAAGCAAGTGGTGATAAATATTTACTGGTAGCTTTAGTTAGTAAAGTTCTTTCAAATAACACCTTGGGTGTTTGAGCATTGGTGATTTGTTTTCCTTGAAGATGTCTTATGTATCTTTATTACTTGAATAAATATCATCATGTAGTTATTTACCTGAATTGATAATGCTGTGCAAAGGAGCTAAAGTATCCTCTCTAAAAATATTTTTTTTTCATAATTTTGGCCTTTCATTCCTTTAACCATTTCCTCTCACCAAAAATTAAATCTTAAAATTTATGGACAGTTACTCTAAACAGATAAATATTCTCCAGGGATGATTAATGTATGATTTTTTTATTTTATTATAGATGCCTATATTGATGGCACAGTTCTCAGGGAACACTCTCCACCCACCCAAAAAAAAAAATAGCACCTCAAAGCTTTTGAGAGTCAGGGTAGATAGAACAATTTTTAATGATGTATTATATAGTAAAAACTAGTCCATTTATAAAAACCTGCCTAGCAAATAATAAAACTGTCTTCTTTCACATCTCAACGTCTCAGTGAGAGTTCAGGCTGTCGAACTATGGAAAGCATCCAGCTTCTTTGAAGAAATAGAGTGAGGTATTACTCACAGAGAGCCATCTGGTATCTTGGTCATTAACCCACTTTTGCTACCCATGCCCACATGCTTGTCAGGAGATGCTGGAGAATGAAGGAAGGGAACAGATTGAGGAAGGAAATGGCAGTGATTGCAGAGCCCAGAGGCTCCCATATTGGTAAGAGGTTAGTCAGATTCCTCAGCCAGGGCAGAGACTGGCCCAGGTTTCCTGAGGCCTGAGTTTTACACAATTTAGAGAACCCTCTTTAGGAAAAAAATAAAAAATAGGTACAAAATGATTTCTTTAGAATGAGAAAAGAAATCACAATAAATTACAAATTGTAAAGAGTTAACCACTACCACTGAACCTAGAAAAATAACATTTGTATTAATTAATTGCCTGATATATGCTATAGTCTGACATCTGCTACAGTTTTTCCCACATCTTTGGCAGCATGTTCTTTGGTTACTTCTTCATAGAACAGTGAGTTTGTAACATCATTTCCTGCAGAGGGGCCTGGGAAGATAATTTAATCTTCCCTTTAGCATGGTTGAGCAAAACTTGGGATTTTTATCTTGCTTTGTTTTTTAATTCATACTTCAGAGTCTCTTTCAGCTTTTCATTTTGTTATTCGTAATGTCATACAAATTTTTAGAGTTGCTGCCAAATCTTGGAAAATTTATATCAAAGTTTCTTACATATTCTTTCTTTCTTACAATAAAAGATTTCAGGTCATTTGAAGTTTCCTTATACAGTTACTAATAAATAGTCCTTGAATTTACAACACTCATTAGCTGATTGGTTGTCATTGTCCTTGTTGTAATGGTGAATAATGAGTTTTATTTGTCTTCACTTAATGTCGCATTATTCATAAGAACCTGAGCTGTAATGGAGTGAGAACATTTCAGGTCAAGGGAGAACAAAAGGTGTGATCTGGCAAAGGCATGGTGTCCAGTTTGGATGGAATATCATGTACAAGTAGTGTAGCAGTGGGCCACAGGACTAGAAAGGTATGCTGGAGCCAGACAGGCAAGTGGGAAGGGTTGTCAATACTTGGTAGGTGGCTAAAAATAGACTCTATGTTGTATCATAAAGTTAAGAAGCCCAAGGCCATTTGTGGACCACTGAGCATATGAAAGGCAGCATGGTGTAATGTTAACATCATTGGCCTTAGAGGCAGCCAGATTCTAGTCTGAATACTAGCTTTCCCCCCAACAGGCCTGGGAAGCCTTGCTAACAAGAACTATACGTGAAAATAATGGCAAACTACATATATATTTCACTATACCCAAACTTGATGTATCCTTGACTTAAGTTCCTCTTAGATCCCAGCCAGAGGCCAATTTAGCATCAGTGTATATACAGGGAATATGATCAAAGGGAGGTAGAAGTGAAGAGACAGTGCTCTTACCTGATTACTTCTTACTTCTCCAAGTATCTTCTTCAAATTTTCGGAAACATGACCCAGGCCTTTGAAAGTGCTTGGGCAAGGGAAGGGCTCTCAAGTTTGAAGCTTCATTAGCTTCAAGTAAATCTGCAGGTGGTCTAGGACTTATTCTTCCTCTCCTATATGACTTCAGAATCAGACAGGTGAGTTTTAGTGCAATGATTTAGGCAGTTATTGTCATTTCTGATAGTAATGAACGATATGCTCTGTGTTTTAAACTAAATAATAAAATGAGTTTTTAAATCGTCACATAGCTTCACTTTGTTCCTTGGCTTAAATTCTTGAACTAGGGAAGCACATTGTATGGATTGGTTCTTCTGGTCCTATCGGCTGTGGCAAAGGGGCCAGGCTTATATGGCGGAATTTTCCTTTCCTGACCCTGGAAGAGGCAGATTCTCTAAGAGTTAACGATTGAGAAGGAAATAATGGGATCTCTAGAGTAGACACTGTCAAGAGTGGCAGTCACATGACTGCCTTCCACAAGAATAGGGGAACCTGGGCAAGAGAGGAGGAATAGGGCAGACGCCATGAGGTGACTGAAGCTCATGGGAGACACCCCTTGTCAACTTGTAGAAACACTTGGACAGGTTCTGTCAAGAGCATGACGTTTACGTTATTAATGTTTATATGACATCCATGGGAAGGTGAGGTCTGCAAACATTCAGGTTAAGGAGTTAGGAATGATATGAGAAAAGAAAAAAAAATCAACCTTGTTCTTGAAATGAGAACAGACTTGACCTTAAGCAAAATCAAAAAACAATAGAGCCACTTCACAGTTGCTATAGATTTCCACCTTTTAGAAGCAGATGCAAAAAATCAGATTTTCTTGGCTTTTGGTCTGTCAGCCCCAGTCAATAATTAACAACACTGAGTGAAACATTTTTCCTCTGAGATCCTCAAGCTGCTTAACTGATCAGCTTAGCTTAGCTGAGCATGTTAGGGTAGTAAGAAAAGGGAAAATATGGTTTCAATTTTGGTGTATGTGCCACTAGAGCAGGCACTAAAAAAGAAATAGAATGTTTTCTAATCTTCCTTTCTGCTTGGGAGATCTAATTCATGGAGAAGTTAAGTGATTTTCTCAGGATCTCAGAACAACTTACCAGAATAGAACAGCCAGTCTTTAACTATCAAAGCCTTCCTGGGAGCCACCACTTAAGCTCTGCTAACCTGCTTCCTCTGTTCAGATATAGTGGTAGTGCAGTTAACAGAAGATGTCTGTACAATTCTTTATGCTTAGGAGGCCAGGGAATGTCTATGATTTCATAAACTAGTTCTGTGGTTCTCATGAGCAATAGATTTTAAAGGCTTTAACACCCTAGTAATCAGAAGAGGGGAAGGCATCAATCTTTTCATGCCTTCAAAGAGATCAAACCATAGCCAGCTGATATAAAACCCAATGTATTGATTAAAGGGAATGTGTTACTCACTTCTGATGTGAAAGGGAAGAAAGGAGGAAATAGAAACAAATAAGACAATCCTTTAGAAAAATCTGAAAACTGAAGAATATGAGCACTTCAGTGCTTCATGCTAAAGCCCTGCGTTTCCTATTAATATTTCTTAATCTGTTTCCTTACTTGCTCATTTCTCCTCTTTTAATTTTTATAGTAACATGTCCTATAAAACCAACATGATAATTGTCCTATAATAAGTTCCTCTGCAGTGGGAAGTTTAGGGAAAAACAATTTAAGTACCTTTCCTCTCTAAAGTAGTAACTCTAACCCTTACAGAACCAACCAGCACTTTTTTAAAAAAATAACGATTATTTTATTTATTATTTATTATTATTTAAAACAATTTTTTTTTTTTTTGAGCAGAGTTTCACTCTTGTTACCCAGGCTGGAGTGCAATGCTGCGATCTTGGCTCACTGCAACCTCTGCCTCCCAGGTTCCAGTGATTCTCCTGCCTCAGCCTCCCGAGTAACTGGAATTACAGGTGCCCTACCACCATGCCCGGCCAGGCTGGTTTTGAACCCCTGACCTCAGGTGATCCACCCGTCTCAGCCTCACAAAGTGCTAGGGTCACAGGCGTGAGCCACCACGCCCAGCCTATTTATTAATTTTTAGAAACAGAGTCTTGCTCTGTCACCCATGCTGGAATGCAGTGGCGTGATCATAGCTCATCAGAGCCTTGAAATCCTGGGCTCAAGTAATCCTCCCACCTCAGCCTCCCAAGTGGCTGGGACTACAGGCATACCCCACTATGCCCAGCTGATTATTATTTTTTATTTTTTGTACAGACAGGGTATATCTTTGTTGCCCAGACTAGTCTTGAACTCCTGGTCTCAAGCAATCCTCCTGCCTTGGCCTCCCAAAGTTCCAGCATTACAGGCATGAGCCAGTGCACCCAGCCATAGCAACGTTGTTTTTGTTTTGTTTTGTTTTGTTTTGTTTTGTTTTTGAGACAAGATCTCATTCTGTCACCCAGGCTGGAATGCAGTGGCATGAACACAGCTCACTGCAGCCTCAACCTCCTGGGTTCAAGTGATCCTCCCGCCTCAGCCTACCAAGTAGCTGGTACTACAGGTATGTACCACCACTGCAGCTGATCTTTTTTTTGTTTGTTTTTTGTAAAGACAGGAGTCTCATCACATTGCCCAGGCTGGTCTCAAACTCCTGGGCGCAAATGATTCTCCCACCTCAGCCTCCCAAAGTGCTGGGATTACAGGGGTGAGCCACCATGCCCAGCCAACAACTATTTTTTAACATTGTTTTTACCATCCTAAAATGAAATTCATAGATAATATAATCTACCTATATGTATACATCATGATTTAAAAATTCAGCAAAATGCCCTAACATAAAGGGGAAAACAAAGGGAAAATAATATATAATTATATGTATTTCAATATGTAAATATTCAAGCACCAATACATTAGAAGTCATAATGGAGTTGTCAGATGTGTGTACACAGATGTACAACAGCTGCAAATGAAGACTAACAGTTGGATTATTTTGATAACTCCAACACAGTAAGTAGCATTGTCATTGATGAAGTGATTTTTTTAAGATAGCAATTCCTCTTTGTGAAGTTCTAAACAAAACAAAGTGAAAGGTCCCTTCATTTATACAGTAGCTGCATTCCTGGAAAATTCATTGTATACTAAAGCGATTCCCAAAATACTCTTTGTTTACATGTAAGACAAGTTCCAAGCCCATGTGATTATAAACAGATTTTCACTTCTACTATTTGCAAGTTGTATGGGATGTGACGAAGTCTCTTTTGTAGGACTGTCTATTACATTGCAGAATCTCTAGTGTCCCTTTCCCTTGCTGAATAAGTCCCAGTCATACCCACAGTTATTTTGACAACCAAAAATGCCCCCACAAATACCCAGAACATCCTCATTCAGGATCACTGCTTTGTAGGGGTGCCAATCTTTTGGCTTCCCTGGGCCACATTGGAAGAAGAAGAATTGTCTTGGGCCACATATAAAATACATTAATACTAATGATAGCTGATGAGCTAAAAAAAAAAAAAAGAAAAAAATCACAAAAAAATCTCACAGTGTTTTAAGAAAATTTACCAATTTGTGTTAGGCCACATTCAAAGTCGTCCTGGGCTGGTGGGCCACAGATTGGACAAGTTTGGCTGGAACAAAGGTGAAGAATTAAATTCAGGGAAGAGACATTGAGTTCTTTCCCAAACCATTTTGAATGTTTTTGGTTCCTTTTCTTTGGATTTGAGATGTTGAGAGCCCCTGTTTCATTTTCAGTTACTGAAAACTTAAGACCCCAGGGTATTCTCAGGAAAAAGAAAGATGGTGATGGTGTAGTTATAGCACATTAAATTTATGGCTTTCATCAAACTACTTGAGTTAAGAATCCCCAAGGAGAGTTTAGTTAGGGAAAGAAGACTCTCAATTACAGATATTGATTCAAACCTAAATACCATGCTAAGGAACCTAGAAAATAGGAACAGTTATACCTCAGGCAATTATGTAACTACTTGATGAAATTTTTTTAAATGTTCTTTCCGGGATTAATCTAGAGTTACTATAAGTCTATTACAGTCTCCCATAAGTCATACTTATTTTCTGTGAAGTCCTTGAACCCTGGGCCTTAACTGTATTCCTAACGACTGTGGCCTAAGAAAAAGACCCACTGGAGGAGCTACCCATGTGCCAATGAGAACCCAATCTTCAACTGGAAATTGACCAGCCTACTGTCTACAAGTGTATGCCATTCATCTCATTATACTGCATTCTGTATACATATGATACATCTATAGTAAATTCATGAAGACAGCTCAATCTCTTGGTTTCCCTAGGTAACATAATAATAACTAATAATGATAACTAATAATTATTGAGCACTTCTATGTGCTAGATGCTGTTCCAAGCTCTTGATGTGTATTAACTTTTTGAATTCTCTCAACAACCCTAAGATGTAAGTATTATTATTATCCTCATTTTACATAGGGAAACTGAAGCACAGGGAGGTTAAGTAGCTTGCCTAAGGTTGTATAACTAGCAAAGCCAGAATTCGAACCCAGGAAATCTATATCTCCAGAACCCAAATTCCCAACCATTATACTATGCATATTTAAGAAATAACAAGGCTTAGTAAAGGATATGGGTGGGTAACTAATAATCCATGAAGAGGATTAAATACCATACTGCTTCCAGTTCTGATCAAGCTAAATATTTGTGGGTGATAATAGTTGAGAAAATTGGTAGTGCTGTTACAGCTTTATTCTTTTAAGTATCTGCAGTGTTAGATGTGGTAAAACAGAGGACACGAACACCATTATCTCTAAAACGGAGATAATGACAAGTGTAGCTTCCACTCATATCATCAAAATTAGGGCCCAAGACACTCTATCCAACTAACAGAAATTCAATTCAAACTAGCTTATGCAAAATGAAAACAACAACAGCAAAAAAGAATGTGAAGTTTAGTAGTTCTGTAAGTGAAGAATTCGAGGGATATACCTGATTAGGAATGGTTTGACCCAGGTCTCAAATGATGTCAAAAGCCTTTCTCTTCCTTACTCAGCTCTTTCTCTCTTTGCATGTTAACCATATTCTTGTCCATTGCAAACAACTTTATCCTTGGAGCCATAGAAGATGTTCACAGTTTACCAATACAGGGAAAGAAAGGAAGAGACCCTCTCTTTCCTGGTATCTGCTGGACAGATTTTGATCCAGTTTGGATCACATGTTCTTCTACAAACCAAGAACTGTGGCCAAGGAGAAAGAACTCTGATTGGCTAGCCTGAGCTATGTGCTCATCTGACTCATCTCTCTGAAGGAAGGTGGGCATGCACCATGGACCTCATGGCTTGGAAGACAGATCGTTCTCAAGGGGAAAGGGATGATGGGCAGTTAAAAATAACTGCTTTAAGGAGCCAAACTGAGCCATAACCTGACTACTACTATTTTTATAACACTAGGCCGTTGAATCCCTAACTCATAACTGAATTGTTGATCCAGGTACGGTGTACACTGGTGTTACAACAAGGTTTTTTTTTTTTTCTTGGTTTTGTTTTATACATGAGGATATAGAATTATACACAGTGCCTGATATAGGTTAATCATTCAGTAATTGTTAGCTGATATTATATGCTAATAAGTAAAAATGATATTCCTGCTATTGCCTTTATAATGAATATCTAACAAAAAACTTTCTGCAGGGTATGGCAGTCTGAGGTGATGGCCAGCATCAATATTCCAAGGCATGTCAACAACTATATGAATTAGGGAGCATCACTTTCTAATCTAGATTAGTCTCGAGTTTGATAAATTATCCTGATTCTCTACAGGAGATTTGGGAGGGTTGGGGGAAGGAAGTCAGGTAAGAAAACATGGGAGCTGAACTACAATCTTTCATACTAAAGAGTGTCCGAACAGAAGTGGTCACAAGGTGGTAAAAAATAGCTTCTTGCCTGCTCAGGTCTGGCAGTTGGAAAACATTGTTCTGGTGATGCTTCTAAACCATCAGTAGCCCTCTGCTTGCATTGGGTGAATTGGGGAGCTTTATAGAACTAGTTCATGGGCCTCAGCCCTTAAGAATGTTTTGGTAAATGTGGAGGGACCGAGATTCCCATTTTCAGACCCAAGGTAAGCCTGACATGCCGCTAGACATGAGAACTGCAATAAGCAATCTCTATAATTCAAAAAGAGAAAACAGTTGTCATAGTAAGAACACAGAGTAGCAGTTCAGGCACAGCCAAGTTACAAAACTTGAACCGACAAATGGTATATACAGACAGACAGTGTTTATACCCTGTCCCCTCTTTTGATGACAAAGCCATTAGTTCCTTTTTGTTTTTCTCTCCTCAGGGACTGATAACACAAAGCCTGCTCTCTCCCCAACTCCCATTTTTCCTCTTTTTTTTTCATTGCTCAGTTAATTTCACTTTGTTCCATTTCTTTCTCATGTATGTAAGTAAATTTATCCTGATGCCTTTTCTGGTCTTTTTGCAGATTTTACTCAGGATTTATAGGGGGGTGGGGGCGGATATTACTTCTCTCTATTAATTCATGAATAAAAATTACCTTAAATATACTTGATGAATTATTAATTCATCCAGAAAATAGTAATTGGGCACCTATTTGTTATGCTGACCCTTATCAACTCCAGTGGGGAAGGCACCAAGTTGAAGAGGCTGAAGAAGAAACCTAGAGCCAGCAAACAAGATATGGCTTTTCCCAGGGGCTTACATGCAGAGGAGGGAGTTCAGTGGCAGCAGCCTTGGCAGGATATCTGCATGGCCCAGTGGCAGCAGGCTGGGCAGAAGAACCACAGCTGCTTGCAAAAGGCATGCAGTTTAATATGGCATTTTCATTTAGCACCATTTCCCCAGTGATCTTCACCTGGCAATCTACATTCAACCCAAAACCTGGGGCCTCGATCCCCTGTACAGCCTGTGTTCCATGGGACAGCCTGGGGGCTCAACTGTTCCTCATAGAAATCTCCAGGTTGGCCACTCCCAAGTTCCCTAGCTCAGAACATACATTCAGGTGCATCTGCCCTACAGGGTTATTCTCATGGTATGCTTAAGTTATTGCTATCAGGTATGTTTACCACACACTACTATGTGCAGGCATAGTACTAAGTTCTGGAAATTCAACTGTGAACAACTCACACAAGATTCCTGTCATCATGAGATTTCAGTGTAAGGAAGGAGACAAAATAATGAACAAATGACTATCAGGGTGCCAGATGATGCTAAGCACTATGGAGAAAAATAAAGCAGGACAAGAGACAAGAGCTTGACAGTATAGGGAATAGGAGAGGCTGAGGCACAGGCAGTCAGAGAAAGGCTTGAAGGAAGTGAAAAAGTGACCCTTTCCAAGATCTGCAAGAAAGGCGCTCCAGGCAAGTTACCAGCCAATGCAAGGACCCTGAGGTGGGACAAGGCAGAGGATGATAGGATATAAATTTGAAGAGATGATGAGGAAGGTTGTAGGACATTTCAAATGGTGTTTTAAACAGCGTTATTAAAAGGTGGTGTAAAACAAAAAGCAAAGGTTGACAATTGGATTTCGTGAGATGGAGGTTTTCAATGTTCTCAACAAGAGCAACTATAATGGCAATGTGAGAACAAAAGCCTCTTTGAAGTGGCTTAGGGAAAAATTATGGAATGTGAGGAAGTGGAAATTTCAAGTAAATACAAGTTTGTTGGGTGTTTTTTCAGTCCGCTATGAAGATTAGCAAAGAAATGCACCAGTAGCCAGAGGGTTTGTGATACGTAGGTAGAGATTTTTTTTTCTTTTTCTTTTGAGACAGAGTCTCACTCTGTCTCCCAGGCTGGAGTGAAATGGCACAATCTCGACTTACTGCAACCTCCACCTCCCGGGTTCAAGTGATTCTCCTGCCTCAGCCTCCTGAGTAGCTGGGATTATAGGTGCCTGCCACCACACCCAGCTAATTTTTGTATTTTTAGTAGTCACGGGGTTTTGCCAGGTTGGCCAAGCTGGTCTCGAACTCCTGTCCCCAGGTGATCCACCTGCCTCAACCTCCCCAAGTGCTGGGATTACAGGCATGAGCCACCATGCCTGGTCCAGGTAGAGACTTTTTTTAAGATGGAAGAGATGATGGCATATTGATATGCTAATGAATTATTCTAAAGAATGAGAGAAACTATTGATGCAGGGGAGAGAAATATAATTACAAGAGCAAAGGTCTTGAATAGATGTGAGAGATAGGAACAAGGAGAAAGGAAAGCAAGAGGTTTTTGGTTTTGTGGGTTGATAAATCGATCATGGGAAAACACCTTAGTTTTCTAATGGCATCTCTTGGTAAAATAGGTGAGATCCTGCATTGAGATTGAAATAGGGAAAGTGGTATTGGAAGTTTGAGAAAAGAGGGTAAGATGTGAAATATTCAACTTGGACTGAATTAACCAAGAAGTGGGCTAAGGACATGAATAGACAATTCTCAAAAGAAGATATACAAATAGCCAACAAGCATGTGAAAAAATGCTCAACATCAGTAGTGATCAGGGAAATGCAAATCGAAACCACAGTGTAATACCACCTTACTCCTGCAAGAATGGCCATAATCAAAAACTCAAAAAATAATAGATGTTGGCATGGATGTGGTGAAAAGGGAACACTTCTACACTGCTGGTGGGAATGTAAACTAGTACAACCACTATGGAAAACAGTGTGGATATTCCTTAAAGAACTAAAAGTAGAGCTACCATTCGATCCAGCAATCCCACTACTGGGTATCTACCCAGAGGAAAAGAAGTCATTATACGAAAAAGATACTTGCACACACATTTTAATAGCAGCACAATTCACAATTGCAAAAATACGGAACCCACCCAAATGTCCATCATTCAACGAGTGGATAAAAAAAATTGTGGTATATATATCATGCAATACTACTCGGCCATATAAAATAATTTAATAATGGCATTCACAGCAACCTGGATGGAATTGGAGACCATTATTCTAAGTGAAGTAACTCAGAAATGGAAAAGCAAACATCATATGTTGTCACTCATAAGTGGGAGCTAAGCTATGTGGATGCAAAGACATAAGAATGATACAGAGGGCTTTGGGGACCTGGGGGAGAGGGTGAGAGGGGAGCAAAGGATAAAAGACTACACATTGGGTACAGTGTACACTGCTCTGGTGATGGGTACACTAAAATCTCAGAAATCACCACTAAAGAACTTAACACCAAACACCACCTGTTCCCCAAAAACCTATTGAAATCATAAAAAATATTTTAAAAATTAACTAGAAAAATACAGTAAAAATGCAGTGATGAGTGAACACATCATGAAGATTGTGTTCACAGAGCACAGATACAAAGCCAAAAGATGGTTGGATTTAACCAGAGTTGTGGTTGTTCTAGGCAAGGCAATAGCAGGAAGAGCAAAGGAGGATTTCAGTGGTGGGCAGGCTAGGAGGGATAGGAGGACTTAAGGTGAGTGAGGAACAGTGAAACAGTGGTGGGGCTAATGGATCAGATATCCTGTTGGGCTGAAGAATTATTGGAGTCCAAATACCAGTGTGAATGATCTGGAAAGTTAAAAGGTAGTGGTTGGAGAGAGAGATTTTTCAAACAAAGATTTCTGAGGTGGTTCAAGGAGTAGATGGTCTATGTGGACTGTGACAATGTCAGTGGTATAGAAGGTGACAGAGGGAATTCCTAGTCATTAAATGAATGAGGAGGTGAAACCAAGGGGACAGTAAATGCTTGCAACAAGGAGCAGGAGTTGGATAAACTGATTGCACATGTTTGAAAGGAGCTGGATATGTGCGGGAGGTGGACTCTGTTCCTCACCAGTTATCAAATGATGAAGATATCCCCAAATATGATATCTATCCACTGGAAATAACCTTTGAGTTTTTGACCTTTAGTAAAAGGGAGAAGGATAACATTGTTGGCAGAAATGTGGATGGTGATAGGGGAAACCAGAATGGGAAACCATTTGTTGAATTTTTTTACGAGACTCAGGTATAGTTATTTAAGTATGTCATAAGAAATTTTGGCAGTTCCAAGAAGTCACATTGTCAGATGTCAAATGGTCTGGTTTAATGACTAGCTTGTTGTCCTCTTAAAGATAACCTTAGGTAGGATAGGCCTAAATAAGACTAAGAAAATTCCAGGTCTTGGTAGCTGGCCTCATTCTGGCTCTAAAATTCTTTTGAAGAGTGGGTGTGGTGGGGAAGGGTCAGTTGGACAAGCAGGAAGCAAAGAAGCACATATAGTCTGCAGTTTTGTTTTTCGCATTTTATAAATTTCCTCCTTTCTTCTAGATTAAATAAGGACAGCCTATCACTAACAATCTCAAAATAAAATTGTATATGTCCTGAAGAACCTCCAAAACTTTCAATAGCCAAGAACCATATGAAGCAGGATCCAAGTACCACATGAAGCAGGATCCAAGTCTTATACACAAGTAAATAGGTTTGAGGAAAATTTTCAGAAGAGCATATCACAGAACATATTTGGAAAATATAATAGAAGGAAAATAATATAGAACTAAAAGTTCCTATTATGTAATTACTTTATATATATAAGTAGCTTTTGCATTCAAGACAAATAACATTACTGGAAAAATTTCTCTCTTGGAAGACATTTCCACATTCCAATTTTCACATTAAAAATGACATAATGAAAGTGCCCCAAGTTGTATTGAAATGACCACAAGCACCATACTTAGGTATAACAGGAGTTCACCTGGGACTCACTAATCCAGTTGTTTACAGCCGGACTCTGTTCTAATTGATTAGCACCTGTGTCTCACTAGTTGTTAATGTTTTTATTAACACTCTTGCTAGAATATGTATTTACTTGTCAAGTAGCAAAAATTATGTACAGAACCAGAACAAAACACATAAAAATTAGTTTATCTGGTGTGGTTCTTATCCATGTCATTCTTGTCCCTCTCTCTTCCCTCCCTTTTTTTTCCCTTTGCAGCAAATTGTAAAGGTGACTTTATCATTACCTTCTTCAGGGTCACAGAGTTCAAAATGACTTTCCTGAGGGAGATTTTTGACAGGCATCTTTGAAAAGATGTCTAGGGAGACTTGGAACTACTGGATGACATTTTGATGTCATGGAAATTGAACAAGAGTAAATAAATGTATTGGCAATATTAGAAAGACTGTTAAAAGTCATTTCTTCAGTGTAAATTTTTGTGAAGGAAGAATAAATATTGACCATTAAGTTATATCACTGTAATACAAGGTCTGTTTGTTAAGCACTGTGTGTGGAAAATGATATGATCCTGGTAAACCCAGAACTGAGGGGGTTGACCTGAAAGTTATTTCATAATTGTATTTATTAGTAATGAGTTACAAAGGTACATGACTTTTTAATAAAGAACTTGACCTGGTAAAGAGAATGGGTTTCAGTTTTTATGAATCTTAAACAAAAAAAGAAAAGAAAAGAAAGCCGGTGGTGAAAAGAACCATGTTTTCTCAGTTAAGGCTACTCAGAGGATAACATGGTTGCTACCGCCTGGCACAATAAATGCAATTTTGGTGCAATGTTGGGGAAAGTGTAAAAATACTAATAATAGCCTACATTCTTCAGCACATTCTATGTGCCTGTACTCTTTTATTCATTCTACATGTAGGAACTCATTTAATCCTCACAACCACCCTATAAAGAAGGAACCATTAATATGTCCATTTTTATAGATGAAGAGACTGAGGTTAAGTAACTTGCTCAAGGACACAGTACTTGAAAACGGCCGCGTGTGGTTTCTACTGCAGACAGTCTGATCCCAGACCCTATACTCTAATAAAGCTTAAGATCATACTGTGGTTGCACTTAGTAAGCCATATTTCACTGCCCTAATCTACCTATGACTCATAACATATATTTGTGAATTCAGATGATTGTACCATAGATCCCCACCTGGCCGCCAGAGGGAAATAAGAATCTCTTACACCCCAGTTATTTCTTCTCAGGGTAAGCCTTCACTTGTGCTCAGTGTTTTCTTTCCAGCATTCTTACCTTGTTGCTGTGGTTTCTGCTGCCACACTCTTAGGAAGTTACTGCTGTCAGGCGTAAACATGTTTTCAATGCAACCACTTTAATGCTCCTACTCTGCCTTCAGTAAAGACATAGCTTCCTGTAATTCCCCAGAGTTCAACTAGATCAACCAGTGACTTTCAGGAGTCCTGGCACATGCCAAGTTTACAATGCCAGTATCTCAGTCTGAAGCATCTATAATTTGGGTCATTTTACTGTATTCAGAACTTCACTAGGAACAAAGCAAAAGTACTTACCTTTGACTCACCAGAAGTGTCCTCAGAATCAAGACAGGACCTACAGCTTAATTCTAATTACTACCCTAAAAGAGACAGTATGCATACAACGCTTAATGTGGCGGTTATTACGGCTGAAAATCTTGGATATTTTTATTGTAAGTACTGATTTACAGGTATTTCTCCCTCCCAAGACTCTGAGATACTGCAGAGCTGGAATTGTCATGTTCACCTTTGTATCCGCAGAATCCAGCACATAATAGATGTTCGGTAAATGTTTGCTTTGTGAACAGGTGATGGCATAAAGGCCACGGAAAGGAACAGCTCTTTGCCATCACAAGTTCCATTTTGGACTTGTCCAGTTTAAGATGGTACAACATTCAAATACACATGTGCTTTAAGTAATTAGAGGTTAGGTGATATAAATTTGATAAGAGCTTAGAACTGCAGATACAGACACTCATATTGTCTATAAAGAATTCGAAGTGGAAGCTGTAATTCAAAGTAGATCTTAAAGAAAAAAGCAGTGAAGGATGAGGAAACAAAGAATGACCTTTCAGGAGCACACACAAAGTTTGGAAGAGGAATGTGATCCAGCAGAGAAGCATTCAGTGAGGAAGAAGCAATTCAAGAGCATGCATATATAAGAAGCTAAGAAAAAGTAAGTTTCAAAAAGTGACCAGTAAAAATACAAACAAAACACATAACCAGTAAGCAAGGTCAGATATATAAGAGAGGCCAAGAAAAAAACAGGGAGAGAAGGCTGATGAATCTGGAAAAAAAGTTATTAGAGACCTTTAGAAGTACATTTTCAATGGAGTAGTTTATGTTTTTCACATTTGTGACTTATTTATATTGATTGCAATGACTTTTATAACAAAAAATATTGCCCAATACCTAGCCTTTTATTTTGTAAGATATACTCGAGAAATTTACCAATTAGAAATTATCATTTGATCCTGAGTTCACTGGAATCATTTTAGAAATTTCTCCTGACTAGTACTGTGTAGAGAAGACATTCCTTAGTTGGTTGTTGGATTTTCTATAAATACTTTACACAGCTCAAAGATATATCTGATTAAAACCTCTTTAATCCTTCAGTGACCACATTAAAAGCTATACTGAGTGCTTTCTTTCAGGAAACAGAACACCAGATCATTGAAGATTTAATTTTAATTCCTAAGATTCAGTTTACTTCCTAAGATTTTAAACTCTTCCTAGGCATTTAATTTCAAGAATATAACTTGAGTCTACTTCAAATTATTGAGATTTAAGATCTGTAAATAACTAATATTTCTGATTGAGTCTAGTAACAATAATCATTTGTTTCTGTCAGTTATTCTGTTCTTCTAGAAATCACAAACTATTTAAATTTAGCTAACTCTCAGAGGATCTATGGGCTAGATTGCAAAACAAAACAAAAAACAAAAACAACAACAACAAAACAAACAACAAGAAAATACCCAAGGAACTAAAAGTCTATAGTTTTTTGTTTTTTGTTCTTTTGGGAGAGTCTCACTCTGTCGCCAGGCTGGAGTACAGTGGTGCAATCTCTACTTACTGCAACCTCCACCTTCCCGGGTTCACGTGATTCTTGTGCCTCAGCCTCCCGAGTAGTTGGGACTACAGGTGTGTGCCACCATGCCCAGCTAATTTTTGTATTTTTAGTAGAGACTGGGTTTTTCCATTGGCCAGGCTGGTCTTGGACTTCTGGCCTCAAGTAATTCGCCCCCCAAAGTGCTGGAATTACACAGTTTTAAAGCAAACAAAACTACCTTTTCTCAATGATAGGAAAATATATGAAACTCAATACTATATGTTTATCAGGCCCAACCATTAAAAAATTATTTCATAAATAACACCCCCAGCTCTTTTTTTCTTCTATCAAAGCTTCACTAGCTACCAGTGCCCTCACATTCTCTTTCTTCTCCATCCTATTAGGATTAGGATTGGAAAAGATCTGTGATCCACTCATAACTAAGTATGAATTTACTACAAACCCTCCCTAAAGTGTTTACATTTTAAGGATCTTTCTTTTTTTTAATTCATTATTATTATACTTTAGGTTTTAGGGTACAGGTGCACAAGGTGCAGGTTAGTTACATATGTATACATGTGACATGCTGGTGCGCTGCACCCACTAACTCGTCATCTAGCATTAGGTATATCTCCCAATGCTATCCCTCCCCCCTCCCCCAACCCCACAACAGTCCCCAGAGTGTGATGTTCCCCTTCCTATGTCCATGTGTTCTCATTGTTCAATTCCCACCTATGAGTGAGAATATGCGGTGTTTGGTTTTGTGTTCTTGCGATAGTTTACTGAGAATGATGATTTCCAATTTCATCCATGTCCCTACAAACGACGTGAACTCATCATTTTTTATGGCCGCATAGTATTCCATGGTGTATATGTGCCACATTTTCTTAATCCAGTCTATCATTGTTGGACATTTGGGTTGGTTCCAAGTCTTTGCTATTGTGAATAATGCCACAATAAACATATATGTGCATGTGTCTTCATAGCAGCATGATTTATAGTCGTTTGGGTATATACCCAGTAATGGGATGGCTGGGTCAAATGGTATTTCTAGATCTAGATCCCTGAGGAATTGCCACACTGTCTTCCACAATGGTTGAACTAGTTTACAGTCCCACCAACAGCGTAAAAGTGTTCCTATTTCTCCACATCCTCTCCAGCACCTGTTGTTTCCTGACTTTTTAATGATCGCCATTGTAACTGGTGTGAGATGGTATCTCACTGTGGTTTTGATTTGCATTTCTCTGATAGCCAGTGATGGTGAGCATTTTTTCATGTGTTTTTTGGCTGCATAAATGTCTTCTTTTGAGAAGTGTCTGTTCATGTCCTTCGCCCACTTTTTGATGGGGTTGTTTGTTTTTTTCTTGTAAATTTGTTTGAGTTCATTGTAGATTCTGGATATTAGCCCTTTGTCAGATGAGTAGGTTGTGAAAATTTTCTCCCATTTTGTAGGTTGCCTGTTCACTCTGATGGTAGTTTCTTTTGCTGTGCAGAAGCTCTTTAGTTTAATTAGATCCCATTTGTCAATTTTGGCTTTTGTTGCCATTGCTTTTGGTGTTTTAGACATGAAGTCCTTGCCCATGCCTATGTCCTGAATGGTAATGCCTAGGTTTTCTTCTAGGGTTTTTATGGTTTTAGGTCTAACATGTAAGTCTTTAATCCATCTTGAATTGATTTTTGTATAAAGTGTAAGGAAGGGATCCAGTTTCAGCTTTCTACATATGGCTAGCCAGTTTTCCCAGCACCATTTATTAAATAGGGAATCCTTTCCCCATTGCTTGTTTTTCTCAGGTTTGTCAAAGATCAGATAGTTGTAGATAGGTGGCGTTATTTCTGAGGGCTCTGTTCTGTTCCATTGATCTATATGTCTGTTTTGGTACCAGTACCATGCTGTTTTGGTTACTGTAGCCTTGTAGTATAGTTTGAAGTCAGGTAGTGTGATGCCTCCAGCTTTGTTCTTTTGGCTTAGGATTGACTTGGCAATGTGGGCTCTTTTTTGGTTCCATATGAACTTTAAAATAGTTTTTTCCAATTCTGTGAAGAAAGGCATTGGTAGCTTGATGGGGATGGCGTTGAATCTATAAATTACCTTGGGCAGTATAGCCATTTTCACGATATTGATTCTTCCTACCCATGAGCATGGAATGTTCTTCCATTTGTTTGTATCCTCTTTTATTTCGTTGAGCAGTGGTTTGTAGTTCTCCTTGAAGAGGTCCTTCACATCCCTTGTAAGTTGGATTCCTAGGTATTTTATTCTCTTTGATGCAATTGTGAATGGGAGTTCACTCATGATTTGGTTCTCTGTTTGTCTGTTGTTGGTGTATAAGAAGGCTTGTGATTTTTGTACATTGATTTTGTATCCTGAGAATTTGCTGAAGTTGCCTATCAGCTTAAGGAGATTTTGGGCTGAGACAATGGGGTTTTCTAGATATACAATCATGTCGTCTGCAAACAGGGACAATTTGACTTCCTCTTTTCCTAATTGATTACCCTTTATTTCCTTCTCCTGCCTAATTGCCCTGGCCAGAACTTCCAACACTATGTTGAATAGGAGTGGTGAGAGAGGGCATCCCTGTCTTGTGCCCGTTTTCAAAGGGAATGCTTCCAGTTTTTGCCCATTCAGTATGATATTGGCTGTGGGTTTGTCATAGATAGCTCTTATTATTTTGAGATACGTCCCATCAATACCTAATTTATTGAGAGTTTTTAGCATGAAGCGTTGTTGAATTTTGTCAAAGGCCTTTTCTGCATCTATTGAGATAATCATGTGGTTTTTGTCTTTGGTTCTGTTTATATGCTGGATTACATTTATTGATTTGCGTATATTGAACCAGCCTTGCATCCCAGGGATGAAGCCCACTTGATCATGGTGGATAAGCTTTTTGATGTGCCGCTGGATTCGGTTTGCCAGTATTTTATTGAGGATTTTTGCATCAATGTTCATCAAGGATATTGGTCTAAAATTCTCTTTTTTGGTTGTGTCTCTGCCCGGCTTTGGTATCAGGATGATGCTGGCCTCATAAAATGAGTTAGGGAGGATTCCCTCTTTTTCTATTGATTGGAATAGTTTCAGAAGGAATGGTACCAGTTCCTCCTTGTACCTCTGGTAGAATTCGGCTGTGAATCCATCTGGTCCTGGACTCCTTTTGGTTGGTAAGCTATTGATTATTGCCACAATTTCAGGTCCTGTTATTGGTCTATTCAGAGATTCAACTTCTTCCTGGTTTAGTCTTGGGAGAGTGTATGTGTCAAGGAATTTATCCATTTCTTCTAGATTTTCTAGTTTATTTGCATAGAGGTGTTTGTAGTATTCTCTGATGGTAGTTTGTATTTCTGTGGGATCGGTGGTGATATCCCCTTTATCATTTTTTATTGCGTCTATTTGATTCTTCTCTCTTTTTTTCTTTATTAGTCTTGCTAGCGGTCTATCAATTTTGTTGATCCTTTCAAAAAACCAGCTCCTGGATTCATTAATTTTTTGAAGGGTTTTTTGTATCTCTATTTCCTTCAGTTCTGCTCTGATTTTAGTCATTTCTTGCCTTCTGCTAGCTTTTGAATGTGTTTGCTCTTGCTTTTCTAGTTCTTTTAATTGTGATGTTAGGGTGTCAATTTTGGGTCTTTCCTGCTTTCTGTTGTGGGCATTTAGTGCTATAAATTTCCCTCTACACACTGCTTTGAATGCGTCCCAGAGATTCTGGTATGTTGTGTCTTTGTTCTCATTGATTTCAAAGAACATCTTTATTTCTGCCTTCATTTTGTTATTGGTATGTTGTGTCTTTGTTCTCATTGGTTTCAAAGAACATCTTTATTTCTGCCTTCATTTTGTTATGTACCCAGTAGTCATTCAGGAGCAGGTTGTTCAGTTTCCATGTAGTTGAGCGGTTTTGAGTGAGATTCTTAATCCTGAGTTCTAGTTTGATTGCACTGTGGATCTTTCTAATTTATTTATTCACCCAGGAAATATTTCTTGAGTTTTCAGCACAGTACTAGTTTCTATGAAAAAACAAAGTGAGTTATGTATGAAGCCTACCTTTTAAAGTGGCATGAAATGATGCAATTAACTATGATCTCATAAAAAAGTGATATGTATTATGAGAGGTACAGGTTTTCTGGAGTTTAGGAAAAAGAGATGGCCATCTCAAGGTCAGAGTGGGAAGGTGTTCAAGAAGTGGTATTTGATAAGGTACCACAGCATAATGATTAAATACAGAAGCTCTGGAACCAGCCTTGCCTGCGTTTAAATTCTGGCTATCACTTACCACATGATCTCGGGCATGTTATTCAGTAAGCTGCCACTCAGTTACCTCTATGAAATCAAACAGTGGTATATACTTTATGGATCTCTTGTGAGTATTAAATGTGTTATGACATGTAAAGCACTTGAAACACAATATAAGTTTTCCACAAAGGTTAGCTATTATTCTTTAGACTGGGCTTTGAAAAACAGGATAAATAGGATTTAGACATGCAAAAATGAGTCAGAAATTAAATTTCAGAAGGTGCAAAGATTAAAATATAAAAAGGTTAAACCATAAAATTATTAGAAGAAATCAGGAAGAAATCCCAGGGTGGGGAAGGCTTTCCTAGGTATGACTTCAGACCCAAAAGCTATAAATATACAATTTTAAAAGATGCATTAAAAAAACATAAAAAAATACAATTTTAAAAGATGCATTAAAAATAACATAAACAAAAAACACAGTCTCAACGAGATATTTTTACAACTATGCTCATTGCAGCATTATTCACAAGAGCCATGAGGTCAAAACAGCCCAAATGTCCATCAACAGATGAATAAAGAAAATGTGATATATACATACAATGGAACATTATTTAGCCTTAAAAAAAGAAATCTTGTTAAATGCTGCAACATGGATAAATCTTGAGGACATTATGCTGAGTGAAATAAGCTAGACATAAAAAAGACAAATACTGTATGAGTCTATTAATGCAAGATATGTACAGCAGTCAAAATCATGGAAACAGAAAGTTAAATGATGGGTGCCAGAGGCTGAGGGAAGGGGGAATAGGCAGTTGTTGTTTGATGGGGATAGAGTTTCAGTTTTGGGAGATGAAAAAATTCTAAAGATCTGTTATACAACCATGTGAATATAGTTAACACTAATGAACTGTGCACTTAAAAATGACTAAGAGGGTGAACTATATATTTTTTTACCATAATAAAAGATAAAAAAGTTTTTTTTAAAGTAAACTGAATAATGCTGAAGGTGAGGTGAAAAACTTTTTTTAATAATTGGTTTTCCTCATAATCCCATTTCTTTTCCCTTTACTCTGGTGTTTAAAGCTTTTATGCCATCAAACACTTCAGAAAACCCACCGTCTTTCCTTTTTTTTTTTTTTTTTTTTGAGACGGAGTCTTGATCTGTCGCCCAGGCTGGAGTGCAGTGGCGCCATCTTGGCTTACTGCAAGCACCACCTCCTGCGTTCACGCCATTCTCCTGCCTCAGCCTCCTGAGTAGCTGGGACCACAGGCACCCGCCACCACGCCCAGCTAATTTTTTGTAGTTTTAGTAGAGACGGGGTTTCACCTTGTTAGTCAGGATGGTCTCGATCTCCTGACCTCGTGATCCACCTGCCTCAGCCTCCCAAAGTGCTGGGATTATAGGCGTGAGCCACCGCGCCCGGCCCCCTACCTTCTTTCCTTTATGCCATTAGGAGAATGTGCCACTTGTAATTACTTCTCTTACCATCCCAGTCATTCATTCATTTAATATGTATCAAGCACATACTGTGTGCTAGATCCTGTTCTAGACAGTGTGGATTTAGCAGTGAACAGAATTCCTACACTCAACGACCTATATTCTAATGGAGGGGGCACATTAAACAACAAGTAAACATATAGTCTGTCTGATGGTGTCAAGGGCTCCAGAATAAAAGATGAGCGGGGCAAGGAATGCCAGGACATAAGTAGGTTACTATTGTGCACAGTGCAATCAAGGGAAGCATCATGTAAGCTGATAACTTGAGTAAATACCTGAATAAAATGGACCATGAAGGTGGATATCCAGGGAAAGTGTGTTTCACATAGAGGGACCACCAAGGGCAAAGGCCCAGAGGCAGGAACAGCTTGATGGGTTTGAGGGAAAGCAAGGAGGCCCATGTAGCTGGAGGAGAGTGAACGGACGGGGAGAGAAATGGAAGTTGTGTGGGGAGTTGGTGCTAACTTTTTGGGTCATTATATAGACCAAGCTGTTCAACCTGCGACCTGCAGTCTGCATGCAGCCCAGGACAGCTTTGAATGTGGCCCAACACAAATTCGTAAACTTTCTTAAAATATTATGATTTATTTATTTTTTTATTTTTATTTTTTTAGCTCATCAGCTTTCGTTAGTGTATTTTATGTGTGGCCCCAGACAATTCTTCTTCCTGTGTGGCCCAGGGAAGCCAAAAGATTGGACACCCCTGAATAGACTTTGGTTTTTACTGTGAGCAAGATGAGAGCCATTGGGGATGCTGAGCAGAGTGGCACGATGTAACTTATGATTTAGATGGTTTCTCTGGCAGCAGGGTAGGTAATAAGAGGGAGAAGATAGAAGTAGAAAGATGAGTCAGGAGAGAGGTGGTGGTGGCTGAGACCAGATGGTATTGTCGGGGCTCAAAAATGATACCCCAACATGAAGGCCTCAGAAGCAAACATCTATCTCTATCTGACCTTTTCCTGCCCTCCTGGCTCTGGCTTCTCATTCTCCCTGAGGCTAGCCATAGAAAGTAGAATTACTCTTCCCCAAGGCAGTTCATAGAAACCAGAACTCCTTTTCCCCAAAGCTAACCATAAAACCATAAGTATTTTTAAATATTACTCTAACTTTCCCTCCACCTTTTTGTGTAAAAACTGGCCCTAAAGGAATTATCTGACCTTTCTTGTTTGATTTTAGGCCATAAGACCGCCATTCCAGAGAGGGCCCTGCCCCATACCCAGGAGGAAGGAATGCTGCACAGAGCGGCCAAGAAAAATCTGAACAGACAAGCCTTGCAGGGTTTCCCCATTCAATCTATTAGAATTAGATCATATCCTTTTTGTCCAATCACATTTCTTCACAGCTGTTTATACTTTGTTGAATCTAAGCATAAAAATGGATAGTTTCCCCTGTATCTTTGGGTCTTCATTCTGAAAGCTCCAATGTCACATAAAACTATGATCGAGGACATTTATGTGCCTTTTCTCCTATTAATCTGCCTTTTGTCTGCTGGTTTTCAGCAGCCTTCAGAGGGCAAAGAAGTCTTCTCTTCACCTTACTATAGCAATGGAGGTGTGAAAAGTGGTCAGATTCTAGGTACATTGTGAAGGCTGGTGGAGATTTCTAATAGATTGGATGTGAAGTGTAGGAAAAAGAACAGAGTCAAAAATGAGTCTGGAGTTTTTGACCCAAACAGCTGCCAGAATGGAGTTACTGTATACTGAGACAGGGAATGCTACAAGAGAAGAAGATTTGCTGGAATGATATTAGGAGCTTAGTTTGGGACATGCTAAATCAGACATGCAAAGTTGGGTCAAGTAGGCAATTAGATATATGAGTTTTACGCTCAGTGGACAGATCAAAGCTGGGAATAAAAGTTAGGACATCATCAGCATAGAGATGGTATTTAAAGCCAGTAGACTAGATGAGACCAGCTAGAGAGTAAATGTAATTAAGAAAGAGTTCTGTGGAAGGAGCCCTGGGGTGCTTTAGGGTGGGGACATAGGGAAGAAGCCGCAGACAGGGAAGAAAAGCCAGTGCCAGTGATGTGGGAGATAATTGTTTTCTCAGAAAATATCCCTTTTTGAATGACTCTGATTATCAAATAACTTTTTGTTTGGTCAATGCTAATATATATTTCTACAGTGTTTTTAATCAGTTGCCATAATGCTGTTTACTCCTGGTTACATGAGCTGTGTTGATCCTGGATCACTCTTGAATGGTAAGGCCAATTCACTGGATAGAGTGCCCACAGTGTTTTCCCTATAGATGCTTTAAATGTCTTTTTCTTTTTGGAATGGAACACATGTTATTATATAGGCTTACATATGAATAGTTAAAATAAGGTAATTTATCAAGAAGTTTTTTAAAAAATATGTGACCGTATTTAGAGATGCAGTGTTTGTTTTTTAATAGGATGCAAATCAACTGTCTATAATGTTTTATCTCAATGAAAATCATGTATAAGAATCCCAGTCATACTATATTTGTTACCTAACCTTCCTTTTCATTCATTACTCATCCTCAGCAATCAATAACAGCCTCTCTGCAGCCTCTTAAAATGCAGTGAACCTATTGATTTCACTTGTTATTGCATCTCCCTCCCCTGCCGCTGGCTACAAATTACTCTTAAGTCAGAAAAGGTGGTAAGATAGTAAGACTATATATAGACTGTCCTCTTCTGTTCTCTCCAAAAAGCTTTTTTTTTCTATTTAACTAGGAAGTGATAAAAGCAAAGCTCAGGACCAGCTGTAAGTTATATGTCCTACAGTTGAAATCTTCTGTACTTTAAAACCAAACATTTTGACTTGCTCTATACTATTAATTAAGCACAGGAAGCAATGCTTACTGTGATTTATCTTTTCCTAAAGATGCATTACAGAAGATATTCAAATATAATATGTCACTTAATGGAAGTAGTTGTTTCAACTCCAAATTATAAAATATCCATGTTAGTTGTTTTTATGTCTCTATTCTAATTTATACTTATACTTTAAGTTCTAGGGTACATGTGCACAATGTGCAGGTTTGTTACACATGTATACATGCACCATGTGGGTGTGCTGCACCCATTAACTCGTCATTTACATTAGGTATATCTCATAATGCTATCCCTCCTCCTCCCCCCACCCCATGACAGGCCCCAATGTGTGATGTTCCCCTTCCCGTGTCCAAGTGTTCTCATTATTCAATTCCCACCTATGAGTGAGAACATGCAGTGTTTGGTTTTTTGTCCTTGTGCTAGTTTGCTGAGAATGATGGTTTCCAGCTTCATTCATGTCCCTACAAAGGACATGAACTCATCCTTTTTATGGCTGCATAGTATTCCATTTATGGCTGCATAGTATTCCATGGTGTATATGTGCCACATTTTCTTAATCCAGTCTATCATTGTTGGACATTTGGGTTGGTTCCAAGTCTTTGCTATTGTGAATAGTGCTGCAATAAACATACGTGTCCATGTGTCTTTATAGCAGCATGATTTATAATCCTTTGGGTATATACCCAGTAATGGGATGGCTGGGTAAAATGGTATTTCTAGTTCTAGATCCTTGAGGAATTGCCACACTGTCTTCCACAATGGTTGAACTAGTTTACAGTCCCACCAACAGTGTAAAAGTGTTCCTATTTCTCCACATCCTCTCCAGCACCTGTTGTTTCCTGACTTTTTAATGATCGCCTTTCTAACTGGTGTGAGATGGTATCTCATTTTGGTTTTGATTTGCATTTCTCTGATGGCCAGTGATGATGAGCATTTTTTCATGTGTCTGTTGGCTGCATAAATGTCTTCTTTTGAGAAGTGTCTATTCATATCCTTTGCCCACTTTGTAATGGGGTTGTTTTATTCTTGCAAATTTGAGTTCTTTGTAGATTCTGGATATTAGCCCTTTGACACATGAGTAGATTGCAAAAATTTTCTCCCATTCTGTAGGTTGCCTGTTCACTCTGATGGTAGTTTCTTTTGCTGTACAGAAGCTCTTTAGTGTAATTAGATCCCATTTGTCAATTTTGGCTTTTGTTGCCATTGCTTTTGGTGTTTCAGACGTGAAGTCCTTGCCCATGCCTATGTCCTGAATGGTATTGCCTAGGTTTTCTTCTAGGGTTTTTATGGCTTTAGGTCTAACATGTAAGTCTTTAATCCATCTTGAATTAATTTTTGTATAAGGTGTAAGGAAGGTATCCAGTTTCAGCTTTCTACATATGGCAAGCCAGTTTTCCCAGCACCGTTTATTAAATACGGAATCCTTTCCCCATTTCTTGTTTTTGTCAGGTTTGTCAAAGATCAGATGGTTGTAGATGTGTGGTATTATTTCTGAGAGCTCTATTCTGTTCCATTGGTCTATATCTCTCTTTTGGTACCAATACCAGGCTGTTTTGGTTACTGTAGCCTTGTAGTATAGTTTGAAGTCAGGTAGCGTGATGCCTCCAGCTTTGTTCTTTTGGCTTAGGATTGTCTTGGCAATGTGGGCTCTTTTTTGGTTCCATAGGAACTTTAAAGTAGTTTTTTCCAATTCTGTGAAGAAAGTCGTTGGTAGCTTGATGGGGATGGCATTGAATCTATAAATTACCTTGGGCAGTATGGCCATTTTCACAATATTGATTCTTCCTATCCATGAGCATGGAATGTTCTTCCATTTGTTTGTATCCTCTTTTATTTCGTTGAGCAGTGGTTTATAGTTCTCCTTGAAGAGGTCCTTCACATCCCTTGTAAGTTGGATTCCTAGGTATTTTATTCTCTTTGATGCAATTGTGAATGGGAGTTCACTCATGATTTGGTTCTCTGTTTGTCTGTTGTTGGTGTATAAGAAGGCTTGGGATTTTTGCACATTGATTTTGTATCCTGAGAACTTGCTGAAGTTGCCTATCAGCTTAAGGAGATTTTGGGCTGAGACGATGGGGTTTTCTAAATATACAATCATGTCACCTGCAAACATGGACAATTTGACTTCCTCTTTTCCTAATTGATTACCCTTTATTTCTTTCTCCTGCCTAATTGCCCTGGCCAGAACTTCCAACACTATGTTGAATAGGAGTGGTGAGAGAGGGCATCTCTGTCTTCTGCCCGTTTTCAAAGGGAATGCTTCCAGTTTTTGCCCATTCAGTGTGATATTGGCTGTGGGTTTGTCATAGATAGCTCTTATTATTTTGAGGTACGTCCCATCAATACCTAATTTATTGAGTGTTTGTAGCATGAAGGGCTGTTGAATTTTGTCAAAGGCCTTTTCTGCATCTATTGAGATCATCATGTGGTTTTTGTCTTTGGTTCTGTTTATATGCTGGATTCCATTTATTGATTTGCGTATGTTGAACCAGCCTTGCATCCCAGGGATGAAGCCCACTTGATCATGGTGGATAAGCTTTTTGATGTGCCACTGGATTCGGTTTGCTAGTATTTTATTGAGGATTTTTGCATCAATGTTAATCAAGGATATTGGTCTAAAATTCTCTTTTTTGGTTGTGTCTCTGCCCGGCTTTGGTATCAGGATGATGCTGGCCTCATAAAATGAGTTAGGGAGGATTCCCTCTTTTTCTATTGATTGGAATAGTTTCAGAAGGAATGGTACCAGTTCCTCCTTGTACCTCTGGTAGAATTTGGCTGTGAATCCATCTGGTCCTGGACTCCTTTTGGTTGGTAAGCTATTGATTATTGCCACAATTTCAGCTCCTGTTATTGGTCTATTCAGCGATTCAACTTCTTCCTGGTTTAGTCTTGGGAGAGTGTATGTGTTGAGGAATTTATCAATTTCTTCTAGATTTTCTAGTTTATTTGTGTAGAGGTGTTTATATATTCTCTGATGGTATTTTGTATTTCTGTGGGATCGGTGGTGATATCCCCTTTATCATTTTTTATTGCATCTATTTGATTCTTCTCTCTTTTTTTCTTTATTAGTCTTGCTAGCGGTCTATCAATATTGTTGATCCTTTCAAAAAACCAGCTCCTGGATTCATTGATTTTTTGAAGGGTTTTTTGTTTCTCTATATCTGTCTCCTTCAGTTCTGCTCTGATCTTAGTTACTTCTTGCCTTCTGCTAGCTTTTGAATGTGTTTGCTCTTGCTTCTCTAGTTCTTTTAATTGTGATGTTAGGGTGTCAATTTTAGATCTTTCCTGCTTTCTCTTGTGGGCATTTAGTGCTGTAAATTTCCCTCTACACACTGTTTTAAATATGTCCCAGAGATTCTGGTATGTTGTGTCTTTGTTCTCATTGGTTTCAAAGAACATCTTTATTTCTGCCTTCATTTCGTTATGCACCCAGTAGTCATTCAGGAGCAGGTTGTTCAGTTCCCATGTAGTTGAATGGTTTTGAGTGAGTTTCTTAATCCTGAGTTGTAGTTTGATTGCACTGTGATCTGAGAGACAGTTTGTTATAATTTCTGTTCTTTTACATTTGCTGAGGAGTGCTTTACTTCCAACTATGTGGTCAATTTTGGAATAAGTGTGATGTGATGCTGAGAAGAATGTATATTCTGTTGATTTGGGGTGGAGAGTTCTGTAGATGTCTATTAGGTCCACTTGGTGCAGAGCTGAGTTCAACTCCTGGATATCCTTGTTAACTTTGTGTCTCGTTGATCTGTCTAATGTTGACAGTGGGGGGTTAAAGTCTCCCATTATTATTGTGTGGGAATCTAAGTCTCTTTGTAGGTCTCTAAGGACTTGCTTTATGAATCTGGGTGCTCCTGTATTGAGTGCATATATATTTAGGATAGTTCGGTCTTCTTGTTGAATTGATACCTTTACCATTATGTAATGACCTTCTTTGTCTCTTTTGATCTTTGTTGGTTTAAAGTCTGTTTTATCAGAGACTAGGATGCAACCCCTGTTTTTTTTGTTTTCCATTTGCTTGGTAGATCTTCCTCCATCCCTTTATTTTGAGCCTATGTTTGTCTCTGCACATGAAATGGGTCTCCTGAATATGGCACACTGATGGATCTTGACTCTTTATCCAATTTGCCAGTCTGTGTCTTTTAATTGGAGCATTTAGCCCATTTACATTTAAGGTTAATATTGTTATGCGTGAATTTGATCCTGTCATTGTGATGTTAGCTGGTTATTTTGCTCATTAGTTGATGCAGTTTCTTCCTAGCATCAATGGTCTTTACAATTTTGCATGTTTTTGCAGTGGCTGGTACTGGTTGTTCCTTTCCATGTGTAGTGCTTCCTTCAGGAGCTCTTGTAGGGCAGGCCTGGTGGTGACTTTATACTATTAATTAAGCACAGGAAGGAATGCTTACTGTGATTTATGCTTACTGTGATTTATCTTTTCCTAAAGTTGCATTACAGAAGATATTCAAATACAATATATCATTTAATAGAAGTAGTTGTTTCAACTCCAAATTATAACATATCCATGTTAGTTGTTTTTATATCTCTATTCTCTAATTTAGGGAATAGACTGACACTGTCAGCTCATACTGCCAAATATCCCTTTTTTTCAAGTCAGGATTTTTTTTTTTTTTTTTTTTAGATGGAGTCTTGCTCTGTCACCAAGGCTGGAGTGCAGTGGCACGATCTCAGCTCACTGCAACATCCGCCTCCCAGGTTCAAGCGATTCTCCTGCCTCAGCCCCCTGAGTAGCTGGGATTACAGGCACACGCCACCACGCCCAGCTAACTTTTATATTTTTAGTAGAGATGGGGTTTCACCTTGGTCAGCCTTGTCTCAAACTCCTGACCTCATGATCCGCCTGTCTGGACCTCCCAAAGTGATGGGATTATAGGCGTGAGCCACTGCTCCTGGCCAGGATTTTTAAGTGTAGTAGAAACTAGTATAAGCACTAATGCTTCAGATTTCTCAGACTTGCCTTCATGTTTTGGTTTGGGATATTTGGGGATGGGGGGAGTCATATTGTAACACCTCCAAGCAACTGAAATCCACCACTTACGGTGCAAAATCATTATGCCTGAGTTTCCTTGGTGCTGTATGCAGGCAACCACTTCCATTTATTGGAGCTGGCAAAGAATCTTTGCTATTAAATGGGAAAAGGTCACAGTTGTAAATCAAGGAGCAGTAAGTCTTTTAGGTGTGTGTAGGGCAGTTGGTAGGGGGAGTAGCAAAGGGGGGTGAATGGGAGAAATTTGTAATGGCTTCTCTTAACACCACTCACACACATCAAAAGCATCATAATACACATTTCTATTTGGACATATTCTATTTTTAAATTAATAATCATGCGCTATCCTTCCTTCCCCTAAACCAGCTGGAAAGCTTAGTAGTTATTTACAGGGCACCTCAGTGAAATTAGCAGTAGACTGAAACATGACTGTGCCACTGATATGTGCAAGTTCTTCATAAAACCTCATTACCAGGGCCTGGAGATAATGCAGTTGTAGTAAAACAAAACAATTTGTCAAATGTGATCTGAAATCCTAAAGGGGATTTTCCAGCAGCTATATTTTGTTAATGCTGGTGCTGACTGAGTTGATCAGAATATGCAAACTATATCTCTAAACTGGTCATTATTTACATGCTTCAGCTGCACTCACTAATTAAATCCCTGGAGTTATTTCTGACACCTACCACCTGGGACCTGTTTCCAGACAAAGGCTTTCCTGTGGCACACAGCCGAGATAGGTCTGGGCCCTTCTGTTTCATGTCAGAATAAATATTTCAGCTCTGAGGCTTTTTGTTTAACTGGATTCAGTGGTTCTCTTGATTTGCGTTATTTCTTTTACCAGGAATCAGTTTACTAAGCTAGCTGTTGTTTGGATGGGCTAATTAAAACCTGCTCAGTGTGTGTGCAGGCAGCCTCTAAGCCAAATATTGCCCTACCCAGAACTTGGATAAAAACATGGCATTTGTATTTATTAGAACAGATGAGCCTTGTGACTTACCCCTAGCTAATCTGACTCTAGTGTTTGCTTTTTTCATTGTATGCCCTTCTGAATGTACATCCCACCTTAAAAAGTGAGGAGTGCCCACAGTTCCCAGCCCTTGAGAAATCCCATGGAAAGGAGAGATGTGGCCTGGGTGTTCCTGAGAACAGTCCTGCTGTCAACTTCATGGGTGGCAGGTCACCAAAAGGTGTGTCTATATCACATATGATATTTGGTCTCATGAGACACTTCGGAATTAGTTATTTATACTATTTTTATCAAGGTTTCATGCAAAGTGGATAACCAGTTATAGAAGCTTTGCTGATACTGCCGTTCTTTTGAGTGGAGGCATTCTATCTAGGCAACTGGTAAAAAAAAATCCAAATATTGTTTCAGATAGTTAAATGCATTAGACTATGATCTCCATCTACATCAAACATTTATTCATTTCTGTCATATTGCATGGTCCTATATTCTAGGAGAGGCCTATCATATTCCCCTAAGGAGCTTGTAGTCTTGTGAATGAAACAGATATGCAAACAAATATTTCCAGTACAATGTGATAAATTGTCTCTCAGATTTCTAAATTGGGTAAGTATGTGTATGATGATGCCCTAACCAAGATATGGAACGCTGAAGAAGGAACAGGTTGAAGGAGGAGAGATGGAGGGAGATGTTAAATTGGATTTCACACGCTCACAGGACATTCAGGCTGAAGTTTCTAGTAGGCAGTTCTAAATGCGGCTTATAAGATAGATGAGGAACTCCTTGCCAGAAAATATTATTTCATCATGTTCCTATTAGAGGGCGAGGCATGGTACAAATATATTTTGATAGGAGAGGTGAATAAACAAAAGATTGAGAGTGGAGGCTACCCTGGTAGGACATCAGGTTGGGGAAAAGTAAGCTTTTCAAGAGCAGCTTTCCTAATTCTCAATTTTATTTAGAGTGTGCTCTGATTATAACAATATGTGGATGGTGTGGAGACTTTCTGAGAGATTAACCAGTGAATAAGTCTTTAAGAGAAGAATGCTTGCTCATCGACTGGGTATTCATTTGGAGAAGATTGTGTTTTCCAGTTTCTTAGAAGATAATATTTGGAGTATTATCTGAACAAAACATAATGCACTTCTTTTTTTTTCTTCTTCTTTATGCTTATCTTGCCAAGTCATGAAAGAGCCAATTTGAAATATTTCAACTGATATTTCTAGCTAGAAATGAATGGATTTTTGAAACATTTCATTACTGTACTTAGAAAGTGTAACTGTGGATAGAGATGATTCATAGTCTTCTTTTTCGGAGGTGGATTTTTAGAAAAAAGAGTGGGGTGTGTCTCCAGTTATCTTAAGGGTGAAATTCTCCCAAATGATCTCAAACTAAAGAACATTTTAAAATCAGTGCCATGGTGAAATTTGAAGAGGGAAGAAAATGTCACAGAATACAATAAATAGAAAATTATCAGAACTCCAAGGAATTTGAGGGAGATTAGATATAGAGAAGTGTCATATTTTTGTTTAGACCAATTATGGAGTCTGAGCATCTTGACACAATTGATTATGTTGATTGGCTCTTCAGTAGCATTTTCATTTCTTCACAAAACTTATCCAAAAACCTTCAAGTTTCGAGTACCTAGCTGAATAAACTACCTACTTTTTGGTGCCTTACCAAGGGTCCACAGTGTTCTATTTTCTGAAGTAAATGCCAACCTCAGAAGTAAGTGCCCATTATGCCTATTGTATTACAATTTTTCTAAGCCCAGAATTGTCGTGGGAGGTTGAAAACATTCCAGTGGTCAAAGAAAGAGAGCAGTTAGCTCATTTAAACCCTCTTCCATATCCCATTCTGTCCTTGGTGAAAAGGTGCCAGCCTGTTTTTATAAGAATAAATCTATTTGACAGACCTGGGGCAGTTCTTGTCTGCTGCTAAGGTTTCCACTACAAATACAAGGAAAAAGTATTGCCGAGGTTGAGTAGGGAAATACAGGGGAAAAACAGAGTTTTTGCATCCTAAAATAACCTTGGAATCTGTAAAGCACCTGCTTTACTCCAATGAAGTACCTAAAATTTGAGTTTACACTAGAGGTTCTAGAAAATTTCCCCTATTACCCTAACCTGATTGAATATAGCTTTAAAAGCTTAAAATTAATAACAGCAAGATACTTTTAAAAGCTTAAAATTAATAACAGCAAGCCAATGACTCCTTAAAAAAAAAGAATGGGGTATACATCTTGACATTATTTAATTCAGCTGTCAATCTTAAAAGATAAATTTGCATTCAGACTGTGTATGCATGTGTTAGCCTCCTCACAGATTACGTGCTGGCAACCCCATTCTGTGCAGGGACTCCTTAGGAAGGCCATCTTTATAGAATTCTCCATGGTGGATCACAAAGAGAGGATTTGCATTTACACATAAAAGACCATAACGCATCAATTTTAGAAAGAGCTTCTTTCATTTTACAAATAAATTGGCCCTAAATAAGAATATTTCATGTAGAAATCTTGAAATGTATTTTGTTTATTCAATAGTAATAATATCAAATGGTTTTCATATGTTCTCTCTTCTTTCTATGAACATGAAAGGTAGCATAGATATTTTTACAAATGGAATTCCAATATTATTGCTTTGGAATTTTTTTAAATTTGTGTTTAAGATACTATAAACTACAATTGATGATAAAGATCATTTAATTAGTTTAGGACTAGAGTTAATTAGCATTTTAATGAAATGGAATCATATCTCTTTAGGAATTTTGTAGCATTTCAGGATTATGGATATTTTTTCTTGTAGTATAAATATTTATTATACACTTTCCAATTATTATGAAGCTGATATAAAATTTAAACCTAAAAATAATGTTTCTAACAATATCACTTAATAGTCAGAAAAAATTTTGAGAAAACAAATTAACCATCTTACTTGTAGGAAGCTGATGACAAGAATCGAAGCAGAACTGCACATTTTCCAAGGTATGTTCCTTGGCATCTCGGCATTCCAGGCATTCTGGAGGGAAAAACATTTGGGATATGTTGCATACCATGACCTTCTTTGGAATTCACTATTTGACATTATATTAAAGGCTTTGTAAGACTGATAGATAGTTTAACTGGCTTTAACTTTGAGAACTTGTTATTTCCCCAACTTATTGAGGCATGAACCCTTTTACTGAATAACTTCTATCTATATTCAGCTGAATTGGCTATCCACAGAAACCACTTCGGGAAACATTGAACTAGAGGATAAGATTATTTGATTAATTTGGTTAATTATTTTAGATAATACTATAGATGATGCTCAAAATTGCAACCCAAATTAAGATACTTGTGGTCATTCTGGGTTTGCTGTTGTTGTTGTTATTGTTTCTTGTTAGGAACAAGGTCTCATTCTGTCACCCAGCCTGGGGTGCAGTGGCATAATCATAGCTCATTGCAGTCTCAAACTCCTGGGTTCAAGTGATTCTCCCACCTCAACTCCCCGAGTAGCTGGGACTATAGGCATGCGCCACCATGCCTGGCTGATTTAAAAAATTTTTTTTTGTAAAGATAGGGTCTCACTATGTTGTCCAGGTTGGTCTCGAACTCCAGATCTCAAGTGATCCTCCTATCTTGGCTTGCAAAAGTGCTGAAATTACAGGCATGAGTCAACATGTCTGGCCACCAATTCTTTTTTAACTACTAAAATAAATTCTGGACACTTTTTGGTGAGGTCAACAGCTGGTTTTTAGCTACTACAAAGATGGAAATTTGTTCAGAAGTAAGATAGAATCAAAGTACCATTTAGCAGTAAGAGTTTTGTATATAGAACAAACTTTCAAATAAATAAATTTGAGTGAGTTTGTGTTACCTGTCACTGCTGCATCATCAGTCAGTTAGCTCAGGGCATTTACTGCATGATATATGTCCACTAGGGTCACAGTAATGCATTAACAAGATGATATGTCATATAATTAGTTGGCCTTTTTCTCTAAAATCATAAACGAAGCTAACTATAAAATGTTGTGCTGCTGGGCATGGTGGCTCATGCCTGTAATACCAACACTTTGGGAAGCCAAGGCAGCGGATCACCAGGTCAGGAGATCGAGACCATCCTGACCAACATGGTGAAAAACCCCCTCTCTACTAAAAATACAAAAAATTACCTGAGTGTGGTGGCGTGTGCCTGTAATCCTAGCTACTCAGGAGGCTGAGGCATGAGAATCACTTGAACCCAGGAGGTGGAGGTTGCAGTGAGCCAAGATCGTGCCACTGCACTCCAGCCTAGCGACAGAGAGAGACTCCACCTCAAAAAAAAAAAAAAAAAGTTGTACTAAGCCTAGAAAAAACAAGACATCTCCTAACTCAATTTTATACTCTAATATATACTGGCATTTCAAAATATTTGAACATATATTTAAGTCCTGAACCCTCGTGTAGGCAAATTGGTTATTTATTTCTACACCAGGACATCTAAAATAATACCCTGTTTCCTCCCTTTAAACTTATAAGTAATTGAGAAATAAGACATAGGAGACAGTCAAGTAGCAAGAAGCAAAATAACAGCTTTACTTCTAATAAAGCTGATTGAGGAAACTGACCTTAACATAAGCAAGGCTCATGTTTCAGAGAAGCATTTCAGAGAAGGGGAAATAGGAATGTCCCTTAAATAGTTGCTAAACCTTATCAACTAACTAGGGAAATGCAAGTGAAATCACCATAAGATACTGTTTTGCCCATACCATAGAATTAATTGGAAGTGCTCCTTCCTCTTGTATTTTTTGGAAAAGTTTGTGAAGAATTGGTTGGCATTAATTCTTCATTGCATGTTTGATAGAATTCACTGATGAATCCATCTGGGTCAGGGTTTTTCTTTATGGGAAGCTTTTGATTACTAATTCAATCTCTATACTTGTTATAGGTCTGTTGGGATCTTCTGTTTCTTCTTGAGTCAATTTTATCAGTTTGTGTTTTTTTAGGAACTTCTAAGTTTCATCTACATTATCTAATTAATCTAATTTATTGGTATACATTAAATTGTTCATAGTATTTTCTTATTATCCTTTTATTTTATTGATATAAAGTTGGTAATGATGTCCCTTCCTGTATTCCCAATCTTGGTAATCTGAGTCTTCTCCCCTTTTTTTCTTCATCAATCTAGCTAAAGTTTGGTCAACTTTGGTGATCTTTTTTAAGAACCTACTTTTGTTTTTGTTGTATCTCTATTTTTGTATCATTTATTTATGCTCTAATCTTTATTATTTTCTTTCTTCTTTGGGGTTTAGTTTGCTCTTATTTTCTAGTTTCTTAGGGTGGTAGCTTAGGTTTTTTATTTGAGAGCTTTCTTCTTTAATATAGGTGTTTATAGCTGTAAAAACACTTTAGCTGTATCCCATAAGTTTTGGGTGTATGTTCATTTCCACTCATCTCAAAATATTTTCTAATTTCCCTTGTGATTTCTTTTTTTGATACATTGGTTATTTAGGATTGTGTTCATGACTTCTTTATATATTGTTACATTTTCCAAATTTATTCTGCTATTGATTTCTAATTTCATTCGTTTGTGGTCAGAGAACATACTTAGTATGTTTCTAACCCTTTTAAATTTATTTAAGTTTTGTTTTATAGTCTAACCTGGAGAATGTCCTGTGTATACCTGATAAGAATGTATAATCTGTCTTTATTGGGTGGAGTGTTCTATACATGTCTGTTAGGTCTAGTGGTTTTCTAGTATTGTTCAAGTCTTTTATTTATTTATTTCCTTTTTAATCTTCTGCCTCGTTCTATCTATTAGTGGAAGTGAGATTTTGAAGTTGTCATCTATTATTGTTGAACTATCTATTTTCCTCTTTAATTCTGTTAGTTTTTGCCTCACGTATTTTAGAGCTCTGTTGTTATGTGCATATATATTTATCTCCCTGATGTATTCACCCTTTTATTGTTTTAAAATATCCTTTTTTGTCTCTAGTAATAATTTGTCTGAAGTATATTTTTTCTGATATTCGTAAAGCTACTCTAGTTCTCTTCTGGTTTTTTTTATAGCATACTTTACTCTTTACTCTTAACATATTTGTGCCATTGGATCTAAAGTATTTTCTAGAAAGCACATAGTTGGATAAGATTTAAAAATCTATTTTGCTAATCTCTGCCTTTTTATTAGAATTTTTAATTCATTTATGTTTAAGGTAATTACCTACAAGTTAAAAGTTATGTTTACTATTTTACTATTTGTTTTTTATATGTCTTATGTATTTTGTTCCTTTATCACTCCATTATTGCATACTTTTGTGTAGCTAGATGTTTTCTGTTTTAATTCCATTTTTTTTTTTTTTACCCTTAGTTACTTTTTGAATGACTGCTTGGAGACTGCAAGTAACACCTTAGCTTCAAAATATCTAGTTCATATTAATTCTAAACTAATTTCGATTTTAAACAAAGACTTTGCTTTAATATACCACTATTCCCTCCCCATTCTCTGTGCTGTTGTCAACCAAATTATATGCTTATACATTATAATGTCATCAATAATTTCATAATTATTTCTTTATGCATTTATTTTTTAAATTAGAAGAAAAAAGTTAACAAATAAGATCAAATTAGAACAAAATATAATTCTTTTTAAATTAAAATCCTGCTTCTGTAAAAAAATACATTTCTATTGTCTATTATATTTACTTAATTATTGGTTACATTTGTTTATATATTCATGTGGATTCAAATCACTGTTTAGCATCCTTGTATTTCACTTTGAAGGATTCTATTATGAAATCCTTTTTTTGTTCAGGGCTTCAAGTGACAACTTTTCTCAGTTTTTATCTGAATAACTTACTTAATTTCTCCTTCTTTTTTTTTTTTTTTTTTTTTTTTGAGATGGAGTCTCGCTCTGTCACCCAGGCTGGAGTGCAGTGGCACAATCTTCGCTCACTGCAAGCTCCACCTCCTGGGTACACACCATTCTCCTGCCTCAGCCTCCCGAGTAGCTGGGACTACAGGCACCTGCCACCATGACCAGCTAATTTTTTTGTATTTTTAGTAGAGATGGGGTTTCACTGTGTTAGCCAGAATGGTCTCGATCTCCTGACCTCATGATCCGCCTGCCTTGGCCTCCCAAAGTGCTGGGATTACAGGCATGAGCCACTGTGCCCAGCCTCTCCTTCATTTTTGAAGCACAATTTTGATGGATGGAGAATTCTTTGTTGACACTCTTTTCATGAGCACTTCGATATGTTGTCCCACTGCCTTCTGATGTCCATGGTTTCTGATGAGAAATCAGCTGTTAGTCTCATTTGAAACTTTCTTGTACATTATGAGGGTTTTTTTTTTTTTCTCTTGCTGCTCTCAAGATTCTCTTTCAGTCTTTGGCTTTTAACAGTTTGATTGTATGTCTTGGTGTGGATTTCTTAGAGTTTATTCTACTTGGAATTTGTTGAGGTTCTAGGATGTATAGATTAATGTATTTCATCCCATTTTGTAAGTTTTGGCCATTATTTCTTCAAATATTCTTTTGTTCCTTTCTCTGTCTCATCTCCTTTAGGGAATCCTATATATGTTGTTGCAATTCATGATGTTCCACAGATTGTTAAGGCTCTGCTCTATTAAAATTTTTTAAAATTCTTTTTTCTATCTATTTCTCAAATTAGGTAATGTCAATTGACCTATCTTCAAGTTTGCTGATTCTTTATTATGCCTCCTCATATCGGCTGTAAAATCCTTCTATTGAATTTTTCATTTCATTTACTACGCAAATATAAACCAGAATTTCTATTTGGTAATTTGGTAATTTTTTCATTGATACTCTCCATTCAATGAGATATCATCCTTATACTTTCCTTTAGTTCTTCAGACACAGTTTTCTTTGATTCTCTAAACATACTATGATAGTGGATTTAAAGTTTTTTTCTTGAAAGTCTAACATCTGGGCTTACTTGGGGGTAGTTTCTACTATTAGTTTTTTATCCCTGTGTATGGGCCGTACTTTCCTGTTTCTTTGCATTTCTTATTTTTTTTCACTTCTTGCTTGTGTAGGGCCATAAAGTCATCTAGAGGTAATAAATTAGGGCCTTTTAAGGTCTTTTCTGCACATGCACACAGTCTTACACATGTATCCCAGGAATATGTTGGAGCTTTTCAAATTCCACTGTGGACATCCATTTCCCAAATCTTCCCCTTAAGATTTTTGGGGCTGGGCATGGTGGCTCATGCCTGTAATCCCAACACCTTGGGAGGCCCAGACGGGCAGATCACTTGAGGTCAGGAGTTCGAGGCTAGCGTGGCCAACATGGTGAAATTAGCTGGGCAAAATTAGCCGGACATGGTGGCACACACCTGTAGTCCCAGCTACTCAGGAGGCTAAGGCAGGAGAATCTCTTGAACCTGGGAGGCAGAGGTTGCAGTGAGCCAAGATTGTGCCACTGCACTCCTGCCTGGGTGACAGGGCAAGACTCCGTCTCAAAAAAAAAAAAAAAAAAGATTTTTGGATAGTCTTTTGTTTGGCTTTCACATGACTGCAGTGTTAAATAATTGCCACTGATTGCTTTTAACCAATACCCTGGGGATAGGGCTTTCCTACCTCGGAAGCTCTGAATCAGATCAAATAAGCTCTGGCCGGGTGCAGTGGCTCATGCCTGTAATCCCAGCACTTTGGGAGGCGGAGGCGGGCAGATCACCTGAGGTCGGGAGTTCGAGACCAGCCTGACCAACATGGAGAAACCCCATCTCTACTAAAAATACAAAATTAGCTGAGCGTGGTGGCACATGCCTGTAATCCCAGCTACTCGGGAGGCTGAGGCAGGAGAATCACTTGAACCCAGGAGGCAAAGGTTGTGGTCAGCTGAGATCACGCCATTACACTCCAGCCTGGGCAACAAGAGTGAAACTCCATCTCAAAAAAAAAAAAAAAAGGAAGCTCTGCAAATGAGGTTTTTCCAGTGAGCTCCCAGACAGGTCAGATGGTGACAGTTTTCTGGGGATGGAGCTCTTCTTCAGAGTTCCAAACCTCCTCATCCCCTTTTCATGATGGTTAGGCTGCTAATTTTCACAACCACTGTGAATACAAGGCTGCTAGTTTTCAAGGTTGCCACAGAGTTGGCTAGAGAGGAATGAGAATAGGGTGAGTTAAAACAACACAAAGCTCACTCTTCTTACCAATATTCAGCCATTTTCTTCTTAAATAAGCATGCCTTAGTTTGTTGAAAGCTTCAGGCTAATTTCTAGAATTCTGAAAAAGTTGTTTTTAACAATTTTTTCCAGTGTTCTCATAGTTTCGTGGAAGAGCAGACTTTTGGAAGTGCTTACCCTGCCATTCCAGAAGTCTCTTATGTATAGGTGCTATGGTTTGAATGTTTTCTCACCAAAACTGAGGTGTTGCCTGTGTGACAGTATCAAGAGGTGGGGCCTTTAAGAGGTGATTAGGCCATGAGAGCTTCTCCTTCATGAATAGGTATAAGGCCCTTATAAAAGATCCTTCATGCCAGGTACAGTGGCTTGCGCTTATAATCCCAGCTACTCAGAGGGCTGAGGCAGAAGAATCACTTGAGGCCAGGAGTTTGAGACCAGCCTGGAAAACATAGTAAGAATCCACTTCTAAAAACTTAAAAAAAATAAATAAATTAGCCCGGCATGGTGGCATGTGCCTGTAGTCCCAGCTACTCAGGAGGCTGAGGCAGGATGATCCTTTGAGTTAAGGAGTTCGTGGCTTCATTGAGCTATGATCACATCACTGCACCTTAGCCTGGATGACACAGCAAGACCTCATTTGTAAATGAAAAAAAAAAAAAAAAAGAGTCTCATGCAGCATTTGGTTAGCTTGCCCTTCTATCTTCTACCATGTGAGGACTCAGCAAGAAGGCCCTCACTAGAGGCTGGTGCCTTGATCTTGGATTTCCCAGCCTCCAGAACTGTGAGAAAATTAATTTCTGTTCTTTATAAATTACCCAGTCACTGGTATTTTGTTATAGCAGCACAAATAAACTAAGACGATAGGTTAAGCAAAATGGAAATTAAATATAAACAAAAACTCTTTGAGATTGAGTTTATTTTGATTCACTAGGAAATTAATAGTTCCATGTATTTTCTTATAATAATATTTTAAAGATCTAAAGCAAATAAAGTAAAATCTTAAAAGTTATTAAAGTTGAGTGGTAGGTACGTGAATATTTGTTATATTTTACATTTTCTAGTTAGGGAAATAATAACAAACATAAAAAAATCTTTTTAAAAGAAATATAATTAAGACTAGTTTTGCAATGTAGTCCTAAGGGGAAGTCCAAAGAAGGAACCCAGAAAGGAGGTAAGAGGTGAGGGCCTAAAAGTGCCATTGGCTGTAGTTTACATTCAAACATTAACAGATAGTTATTAACTGCTTCCCAGATGCAATGGTAAGAGTTTGTACTGCCCTTAAGGGGGTACTCACTGGTGAAGGGTTAGACAAGCAAGCAGGTGTGCATGGTATAGTTTCAAAAGATAGCTAAGTGCTAGGTGCTAGGGGAATTTCCACAAAAGGAGGGCCTTTAATCCACAGCTGCTGAGGAAGAGCTGGGAAGACCTCTCAGAAGAGGTAACATCTTAGTCAAGCTTTATAAAGGATGAATAAAAGTTGACGGCCGGGCGTGGTGGCTCACGCCTGTAATCCCAGCCCTTTGGGAGGCCGAGGCAGGAGGATCACCTGAGGTCAAGAGCTCAAGACCAGCCTGGCCAACATGGCAAAACCCTTTCTTTACTAAAAATACAAAAATTAGCTGGGCACGGTGGTGGGCGCCTGTAATCCCAGCTGCTCAGGAGGCTGAGGCAGGAATCCCTCACTTGAACCCAGGAGGCAGAGGTTACAGTGAGCCGAGACCACGCCACTGCACTCCTGCTGGGGAAACAGAGTGAGACTCTGTCTCAAAAAAAAAAAAAAAGAAAATTGACAAGGAGATAGAAGTGTCTTGGTGTCTTGTGCAGGGGAAAATGTACTTGCCAAACTGGTTTTTAATGGCCAGACTCAAGGAACAAGGTAATGGGTGGTGAACAAGAACAATTCACATAGGCCATGCCAATTGTTGAGTTTAAATCCTGGAGGCTATTGCTCTTTGGAAGATTTTAAGGTGGAGAAATAGCAGGGGAAGAAGGGCAGTGAGTACACTGGCTCCAGAGATGAGGGCTGGAATCTGGTGTCAAATTCTGGCTCTGAAACTTACTACCTTGGATCTTGGACAAGTTACGCAAGGTCTCTATGCATTGGTTTTCTCATCTGTAAAATGGAGATAATATTGTCTACCTCACAGAGCTGTTCTCAGCTTTAAATAAGCTAACTGATGTTAATCACTCAGAGGTATATCTAACCACATTGTAAATGCTTAGCAGCTACTAGGAAATTCAAGCAATTTTATGTAAAGATTGGATCATGCTTTAGAAAGATGGCTTTGACAGCACTGTGGAGCAGCTATGATGGGAGTGGGGAGATTGCAGGCCAAGAGACCTTTAGACGATTGGTGCAATCAAGGTGTAGGCCTAGGAGCAGCAGTCAGCATCACCTGGTGTATTAGTCCATTTTCACACTGCTGATAAAGACATACCTGACACTGGGTAATTTATACAGGAAAAAGGGTTTAATGGACGTACAGTTAGTTAGTTCCCTGTGACTGGGGAAGCCTCACAATCGTGGCAGAAGGCAAGGAGGAGCAAGTCTTACCTTACATGGATGGCAGCAGGCAGAAAGAGAGAACTTGTATAGGGAAACTCCTTCTTATAGAACCATCAGATCTTGTGAGACTTATTCACTGTCACAAGAACAGCACGGGAAAGACCTGCCCCCGTGATCCAATTACCTCCCAAAGGGTCTCTCCCACAACACGTGGGAATTCAAGATGCGATTTGGGTGGCAACACAGCCAAACCATATCACCTAGGAACTTGTTACAAGTGTAGACTTTCTGGAATGGGGCCCAGCAATCTAAGGAGCACCAAAAGTCCCTCCAGGTGAATCTTATGTACATCTAAGTTTGCAAAAAGAGAACTGAATAAGTTTGCAAAAAAATTTGCAAAAAGAGAACTCAGCTGGTCAAGCTGAGAAGAAATGAGAAACTGAATAAAACCTAACCATATGGAGGGCTCCTCATGGCCTAGGTACTGAACATTAACTGGTTTAAACAGTAAATCAAAGGTTATCCTCATTTTATAGATAAACCAAGGCTTAGAAAATGTGGCTGAAGTCCTTGTTCGGCCTCATGGCTGGCAAGTGGTGACACTAGGAATCAGACCCAAAACCTGTGCTCTTAACCACTAGGCTCTTCTCATAATCAGAAAGTGATTGAGGAGAAGGGGAATTTCAGAAATCATAAAGTAATAGAATTAACAAGGCTTACCGGGTGATTTGCTATGGTCATGGAGTCATTGTGGACTCCCAAGTCCCTGGATTTGGATAAATATTGATGACATTCTGTGATTCAGGCTGCATGAATGAAACGGCACGTGTAAATTCTAAGAAATTTTTTTTAACATAAGGAGTTTGAGGTCCCTACAGGAAAACAGAATGTAGAGTCCCTGTAGTTTGGACACTCAGGCTGGGAATAAAAATTTGGGAGGCCTAAGTATACAGGTGGATGCAGCTGAAGATGTGGGTGTGAGTGAGACAATCTTAGGCAAGTATGGCAGGAGAAAAGAAAGCGGGCCAAGGGCAGAACCCTGGGGAACAGGTAGAAGAAGAAGCTTCTGCAAAGTAGACAGTAAAAAGAACCAAACAGAGGTAAAGGAGAAAAGGGAAAGGACCCAGACATCCAGGAGAAAATCAGCTCAAAGTCAGCTCAAAGAGAGGCTGGGCCAGCATGGTTGTTGCTGAGAATCTCAGCCTTACTGCAAGGCAGAATCAAATTACTATCCCTCTCCTACCACCCCTCCCCTATGAATAAACTGGGATACATGACACCAACAACAAAAAGGCTCTCCCGGGTGGTAGAATGTTAGGAGAGGGTACCCTAGGCCTGAGGCAGTCATTAATAAAAGCTTATCAGGATGCTGACAGAATGCCAGTGTACGTGCCCTCTAAAATTGTAATTAGTGAGATTGTACTCCTTAACATGCAACTTGGTGTAATAGCAGTAATCTTGATGAACTGTGGTCAGTATGGATTCAGGGAGGTCATCCGTACTAATAAAAGTCTAATTCATCACAGTTAATACACTTTGGGTTTCATATTACACTCCCAGTGCCTTTAAGCACTTATGGTGAGCATAATACTTATTATTTTCCACCTCAGTTCTAGTGTCAGAGCCAGCACATATACAAACAAACAAACAAACGAAACCTAACTGTATGTATGTAGTCTAATGGCCGCTCAAATATCTGAAAGGGCAGATATGGATTTGAAGTCTCACACATAAGGAAACATTTATTGAGTGCTTCTGGTGGCCAACATTTTACATAGGTTATTTCATTTTATCCTCATAAGCACCCTCTGAGATAGTTACAGAAAGAGCCAGACTTAGTGAACAAATGAAGTTGAGTTTTACAGTGCTATTAACTAGCTAAGGTCATACAAATAGTAACTGGAGCTAAGATTTGAAACCCCTGTCCATCTCATTGCAAGTTCATATTATTTTCATTAATGATGCCAGAATGGAATTGGTATTAAATCATCTTGCACATTTTACAAGAATGTCATACAATTCCAGTAAATAAGCTGAATGAAACCACTTTTAAACTTTGAGAAGAAGAAAGCGATATGTAGGCAGGATATTTTTTATTTCCACCATGAATATCAGAAGTAGCATCTGAAAATATAAAAGAGGCCTCAAAATAATCTCTAAAAGCACATTCTTATTAATAGTTTCCAAAAAGAAAACCTTAATCTATTTCCATTTTTTTCTTGACTTTGCTGTTTATCAGTACCCCCAGGAGCTCATTTTTATACATACTACTTTATGGAAACCACCTACCCCTCTACTGTCACCCTTAATATACACAGCCCCATAGAATTTCTCCTTTCCTTGCTATTCTACTGAGCCATAGAGCAGAACTGGCAAGAGAAAACAAAAGAGAGCAAGCCGTTAACCTCTCTGCCTCAGTGGCTGTTTTATAAAATGACATGACTTCATTATATTCCTGATATCAGAACAACTCCCTGCCACCACCACCACCCTACAGCCTCCCTGAAGTTTTCAGCAACCATGAAGAAAAGACTGAGCACAAGCTGGCCCATGGAAACTTGGGAAACTTTTTTACCTCATGCCTGCAGATACCGTGGGAGTAGACTTTGAGCTGCTTCATGCCTGTCTCAGACAAAATTTTACAGACTGTCTCCTATTTTCCATTTTACAGTTTCCAAATCAGCAACTGCTATGGTCTAAACATGCCTCCCCACCTGAATTCATATGTTGAAACTTAGTCACAAAAGTTAGTACTAAAAGATAGGGCCTTTAGGAGACGATTAAGGATTAGTGACCTTATGAAAGAGGTTGAAAGGAGTGCCCTCGTGCCTTTTGCTCTTTTATGTCTTCGCCATGTAAGGACACAGCATTCATCCCTCTTCCCCCACTTTTTTTTGTTTGTTTGTTCGTTTATTAATTTGCCCCTCTGCCTTTTCCACCATGAGAGGATGCCATAAGAAAGTGGCACTTATGGATCAGGCCCTCCCCAGATACTGAATTTGCCAGGACCTAGATCTTGGACTTCCCGGCCTCTAGAACTGTAAAAAATAATTTTCTGTTATCTATAAATCACCTAGTCTCAGGTATTTTGTTATAGCAGCCTAAATGGACTACGACAACAACCTCCTCCTGTCACTATTATAATAATATCAATAACCAAGAGATGCCAAAGTGGGAATTTGGGTATTTCATCATTTAGAGGACTACCAATTAGAGTCAGACTTCTAGATGGGCCCAGGCTCCCAATATTTTTGCTTCCAAATATGTTTTTCAAAGCCATATATCTCCTTCCCCATAGATAGCATCCATACATCAAAATCCTCAGTTATATGAAATAAGAGAAAGAAGGCCTCTAATGTGCCTACTACATTCTACTCACAACACAGGATATAGAAACAATCTCTGTTGAGAAAAAAAAAGGAAAGCTTCCAGAAGTTCTTCCTTTGGTATACTCCACCAGACCTTAGGAAAGGAATGGGATGTCAGAGAAGACTTCTAATCAAAATAAGAGGAGGAAGAAATTTTAGACAAATGGACTTGATCTCAAAAACCACACCTACCCTCCCTCTTGAAAAGGGGCCCAAAATGGTTCACCTCCACTTTCTTTTATTACTTTCCTTTATAAGCTGCTGTCACAGGCTCCAGAGGACTGGTAAGTTCTCTTCCAGAGAAATTCAGACAGGTCAGAAGATTGTATTTCTGAGAAGTACTGAGGGCTGGAAGAATCAGATGTCCTTGTCTGTTTGATAAAGCAAGAGGTCAGTGCAATTATGGCAGAAAATTCATGAAGATACCACAGGCGCAAGCTGGAAAGTAGTGGTTATGGTGGCTTTGTAGATTCCAGTGACCTGGAAAGAAAACCATGGGAACAAACAATTGTTGAGCAACAACTATGTACCAGGATGCATATTGCTGAAACCAAAAGAGGTAAGGTCATTTGCCTGAGGGCATTTAGCTAGACTGTGAAGCTAGGTTGTCTGACTCCAAAGCTTATGTTCTTTTCATCACACTCTGTGACAGAATAGCTCTTCTCTGACTTGTGAATGGCAGCTATGTATTCTGTCCTTTTTTTTTTTTTTTTGAGAGAGAGTCTCACTCTGTCACCCATGCTGGAGTGCAGTGGTGCGATCATAGCTCACTGCAGCCTCAAACTCCTGGGCTCAAAGGGTCCTCCCACCTCAGCCTCCTGAGTAGTAGGACTATAGGTGCATACCACCATGCCTGGATAATTTTTTAAAATTTATATTTTTGTGGAGACAGGTCTCGCTGTGTTGCCCAGGCTGGTCTCAAACTCCTGGGCTCAAGTGATCCACCTCAGCCTCCCAACGTGCTGGGATTACAGGCATGAGCCACCACACCAGACGATTCTCTATACCTTAAAGCAGCAACACCAGCAGTCCATGAGGAGGTTTTAGCCAATTTAACTTACCCGCTAATGATGCTGTTCCCAAACAGCTTTCTATAAGGGCCACTGAGTGGAAAATAGGGCAACAAGGGTTCATAGTAGCATCTTCCTCTGCCTGTGGGGGAAGAAAAGAGAAAGAAAGAGCAAAGTCTAACAGGGCTGACCTATCACCTTCTTGTCTCCTTACCACATCCCATACTCCTTCAGCCCATTTTATTTTAGGGCTTGAACACAAGAGACCATTTTAAAATTACTCCTTTGTAATAGTAGCAGTAGAGATAACCAAAGGGCTAAAGAGATTTCACCAAATGGTTAAAGTGGAGCCACTTTATTTTCCTGTAAGTGGCAGCATGAAATTACCTTCATTCTATTCTGTTAGGGTTAGGTATTCCAGTATTTCAAAGAGCGATCCTACCCTCACCTTTGTCCATTTCTCTATCACTCAATAGGTCACCCCAGAATAATTTGTGAATACTCAAAGTGTACGAAAAATGTATTACAAGGGCTGTCTTTACACATAAATGGAGTTGCTCATCACCTACCTGATACACTTTGAAAAGCACATGGAAGGCTTTCTTACTTACATATATAACTCCTACTAGCATATGACATTTCCTGAAATCCCACCATTGAGGATTCCTGCCCTTGTGTTAGTAGATCAATTGCTATTATAGAAACTTGCTATTCTCAGGTGTTCAACTAACACCTAGGATCCTCAAACCAAGGCAACAGGAATCCTAATGAGGGGATGGGGGTGAAGAGGGAGGAAGTAGAGGTGGCAGATTTTGAAGGCTTGGAGCATGCTTATGAAGAACAAATATGAGTACAGTGCCTCAGTACAGAGAAGTCCTTTTTTTTTTTTTTTGAGAGATAAGAGTCTTACTCTATAGCCCAAGCTGGAGTGCAATGGCATGATCTCAGCTCACTGCAACCTCCGCCTCCCGGGTTCAAGTGATTCTCCTGCCTCAGCCTCCTGAGTAGCTGGGATTACAGATGTGCATCACCACGCCTAGCTAATTTTGTATTTTTTTTTTTTTTTTTTTTTTTTAGTAGAGATGGGGTTTCACCATGTTGGTCAGGCTGGTCTTGAAATCCTGACCTGAGGTGATCCACCCACCTCGGGATTACAGGCATGAGCCACCGCCCCTGGCCCACAGAAAAGTTGTAAAGTATTGGGTGTTAAGGGATGGGTCACATCCAGGGAGGAGATAGAGTATCCTTTGAGATAAGAGTCAACTCCCATTCACAGTTTCTACAAAGAAAATAAAGTACCTAGGAATACAACTTACAAGGGATCTGAAGGACCTCTTCAAGGAGAACTACAAACCACTGCTCAACGAAATAAGAGAGGACACAAACAAATGGAAAAATGTTTCATGCTCATGGATAGGAAGATCAATATCATGAAAATGGCCATACTACCCAAAGTAATTTATAGATTCAATGCTATCCCCATCAAGCTACCATTGACTTTCTTCACAGAATTAGAAAAAACTGCTTTAAATTTCATATGGAACCAAAAAAGAGCCCGTAGAGCCAAGAGAATCCTAAGCAAACAGAACAAAGCTGGAGGCATCATGCTACCTGACTTCAAACTATACTACAAGGCTACGATAACCAAAACAGCATGGTACTGGTACCAAAACAGAGATATAGACCAATGGAACAGAACAGAGGCCTCAGAAAAAAATGTGACACATCTACAACTATCTGATCTTTGACAAAGCTGACAAAAACAAGCAATGGGGAAAGGATTCCCTATTTAATAAATGGGGTTGGGATAACTGGCTAGCTATATGTAGAAAACCGAAAATGCACCCCTTCCTTATACCTTATACAAAAATTAACTCGAGATGGATTAAAGACTTCAACGTAAGACCTAAAACCATAAAAACCCTAGAAGAAAACCTGGGCAATACCATTCAGGACATAGGCATGGGCAAAGACTTCATGACTAAAACACCAAAAGCAATGGCAACAAAAGCCCAAACTGACAAATAAGATATAATTCAACTAAAGAGCTTCTGCACAGCAAAAGGAACTATCATCAGAGTGAACAGGCAACCTACAGAATGGGAGAAAATTTTTGCAATCTGTCCATCTGACAAAGGGCTAATATCCAGAATCTGCAAGGAACTTAAACAAATTTACAAGAAAAAAGCAAACAACCCCATCAAAAAGTGGGTGAAGGATACGAACAGACACTTCTCAAAAGAAGACATTTATGCAGCCAACAAACTTATGAAAAAAAAGCTCATCATCACTGGTCATTAGAGAAATGCAAATCAAAACCACAATGAGATACTATCTCATGCCAGTTAGAATGGTGATCATTAAAGTCAGGAAACAACAGATGCTGGAGAGGATGTGGAGAAATAGGAACACTTTTACACTGTTGGTGGGAGCGTAAATTAGTTCAGCCATTGTGGAAGACAGTGTGGCGATTCCTCAAGGATCTAGAACCAGAATTACCATTTGACCCAGCAATCCCATTACTGTGTATATACTCAAAGGATCATAAATCATGCCACTATAAAGACACATACACGTGTATGTTTATTGTGGCACTGTTCACAATAGCAAAGACTTGGAACCAACCCAAATGGCCATCAATGATAGACTGGATAAAGAAAATGTGGCACATATACACCATATAATACCATGCAGCCATAAAGAAGGATGAGTTCATGTCCTTTGCAGGGATGTGGATGAAGCTGGAAACCATCAATCTCAGCAAAGTAACACAGGAACAGAAAACCAAACACTGCATGTTCTCATTTATAAGTGGGAGTCAAACAATGAGAACACATGGACACACAGAGGGGACCATCACACACTGGGGCCTGTCGGGGGGGTGGAGGACTAGGGGAGGTAGGGGAGGGATAGCATTAGGAGAAATATCTAATGTAGATGACGGGTTGATGGGTGCAGCAAACCACCATGGCACGTGTATACCTATGTAACAAACCTGCATGTTCTGCACATGTATCCCAGAACTTAAAGTACAATAAAAAAATAAAAGAAAATGTGGCACATATACACCATGGAATACTATGCAGCCATAAAAAAGAATGAGTTCATGTCCTTTGCAGGGACATGGATGAAGCTGGAAGCCATCATTCTCAGCAAACTAACACAGGAACAGAAAACCAAACACCACATGTTCTCACTGATAAGTGAGAGTTGAACAATGAGAACATATGGGCACAGGGAGGGGAACATCACACACTGAGGCCTGTCAGGGGGTGGGGGGCAAGGGGAAGGATAGATGACTAGTTGATGAGTGCAGCAAACCACCACGGCACATGTATACTTGTGTAACAAACCTACACATTCTCCACATGTATCCCAGAACTTAAAGTATAATTAAAAAAAAAAAAAAAGAGTGAGCCATCTTGCAGTTTTGACTGAGCTTTGTTCTGCTTATTGAATAGGTAAGTAACCCAAACGGAAAGAAGTGGTGAGCAATGCAGGAAGTGCTCAAGCCTGATGTAAAACAGGAAAACTTCTGTTTCATGGTTTGTGTTGCACAGCGCCCCTCGGCCAAAGAGGAAAGAGCTAATTTTGAGATAAGTAACCATTGCTTCTAATTCTTTAGAAAGTGCTTTTGACTGTAGACAGACATGCTAAAGGCTGTGCCTCATTGTTTGAAGTCCAGATACGTACAACTACTCCTTGTTGTTACTGTAAAAATAGTTCCTGAAAGAATGACTAAAAAGAATAGGAGATGCAAGATTAAAATAACATGAATGGGAGAGGAAGTACAAGACTAAAACTTCCTCATGTCAGAGGTAAGATTGCTTTATTTCCCAACTAAATAAAATCAGGTCATGTATGATTGTTAATGGCAATTCTTGCCAGGAACTTAACCAAAGTTAAAATAATTTTACAGGTTGCTCTAACTTTCCCAGTTTCTGGACATTCCCAATAGATGACTTTGTTATTTTCAAGGACATTCTTGGGGTTTGAACACATTGTTTCTTTTTTGCAGTGCTTTTCAGCATATGATTGAACGTACTCAAGAAGGGTCATGGTTAGTTCAGCAAGCTGATTTCAACATTTGGTGATTGTCTCCAGTTAATGAGCTATACATATGATGTCCGCTTTTATTTTCATCATCATAAACCACAGAAAAAAGGGGAAACAGTATACCAGCAAGTCAGCAAGTCCAAATCAAGCCATGACTCAGATTTCCTAAGAAAGAAAAGATCAGACTCTGCTTTGACATATTCTATCTTAAATTTTGAAATTACTTTGGGGACAACATTAATTATCCAGGTCAGTGTGGGGGAATAGCAGTTCCTCCTTGATCATCCTCTTCATATGGTATAATCACTAACTTCACAGATCTGTACTGAAAAGTTGTTTACCTTTGGGGAAATGGCTCATTATAAGTATGTATATAGGGAATAGTAATATAAGAAAAAATCATAAAGATTTGAGGGTAAGTAGAGAAGATCAGACCCTGTGGAAGTTAATAGCATGGCCCTTGGAACCAGATTACCTAGATTCAAATCCCATCTTCTCTTCTTAATACCTCTGTGACCTTGGACAAATTACTTACCCTTTTTGTGTCTTAGTTCAACCATCTGCAAGATGGGGATATGAGAGTATTATTAGTAGATTGATGTGAGGATTATGTGAATGAGTGTTTGTAAAGCACTTAGAACAATGCTTGTTACAGAGTAGGTGCTCAATAAATGTGACCTGTAATTGTTATCCTTCAGTAATTGGTAAATTTTATGTCTGTAGTCATAGAGTTTGGTTCTTAACCCAGGCCCGGTGCCATTCAAGACACTGCAGAACATAGTGCATATTCCTTCATGTTTATCTAGGTTTTTTTCTCCTTTTTAATGTTACCTTTAGTCCCATACTAGTCATTATCAACCTGTGGTCACCAGTCAGGGAAGTACATTCGTATTGATTGCTGCAAATGCAAAGGTGCTTTCAGAGCAGAGATCCTTGATTTTAAGGGACTCCCATTAAGGTTGAAAAGATGGGACAAGTCCGTTTTTCCTGCCAAGAAAGACATGGCTTCCATGAAATCTTATTTACTATATTTTTGTATCTAACAAGTTCTCTAGGAAGCCTCTCATTTTTGAATCGTAAAAAAGGTCTGTATTCAAAGCAAAAATCCTTTAAAAAAATCTTTGATAATTCTGATCTCTGTGCTTTGCTAGCCCAGATTTTTATTATCTGACCCTATGGTATCCATAAGCATGGTTTTAAAGGTATGTCCACAAGTTATTTGATACTTCTCTCATTGCGGTGGAACTTAATTCTTCTCCCTTTGAGTGCAGGGAGGACTTTATGATTCCTTTGTAGTGAATGAATATAGCAGAAGTGATGGGATAATACTTCTGAGACTGGGTTATATAAAGACTGGCTTCTGACTTTGGTTTGCTCCTTTGCTCTTTGTCTCTGGAATCACATGCTCAGGGGGAAATCAACTGCCATGTCATGAAGAGATGATACTTGGGCAGCCAGTGGAGAGACCTACATGGTGAGGAACTGAGGTTTGCCAGAATCCATGTGAATGCACTTGGGAATGTACCCTCCCCTACTTGAGCTTTTTTTTTTTTTTTTTTTGAGATGGAATTTTGCTCTTGTTGCCCAGGCTAGAGTGCAATGGTACGATCTCAGCTCACCGCAACCTCCACCTCCCAGGTTCAAGTGATTCTCCTGCCTCAGCCTTCCGAGTAGCTGGGATTACAGGCATGCGCCACCATGCCCGGCTAATTTTTTTTTTTTTTTTTTTTTGGTATTTTTAGTAGAGACGGGGTTTCTCCATGTTGGTCAGGCTGGTCTTGAACTCCCGACCTCAGGTGATCTGCCTGCCTCAGCCTCCCAAAGTGCTGGGATTACGGGCGTGAGCCACTGTACCCAGCCCCTACTTGAGCTTTTGAGATGACTGACAGCTTGACCACAAGCTCATGAGAGATCCTGAGGCACAACCACCCTACTAAGCCCCTCAGGATTCTTGATCCTCAGAAACTCTGAGATAATAAATATTTGTTGTCTTAAGCTGCAATTATGTTGAATGAATCTATCTTGTGTTCATTTCTTCAGCAAGACTGGGTCACATTGCCTCATAAAAATGTATGACAGTGGCCGGGCGCGGTGGCTCACGCCTGTAATCCCAGCACTTTGGGAGGCCGAGGCGGGCGGATCACGAGGTCAGGAGATCGAGACCATCCCGGCTAAAATGGTGAAACCCCGTCTCTACTAAAAAATACGAAAAATTAGCCGGGCGTAGTGGCGGGCGCCTGTAGTCCCAGCTACTCGGGAGGCTGAGGCAGGAGAATGGCGTGAACCCGGGAGGCGGAGCTTGCAGTGAGCCGAGATCCCGCCGCTGCACTCCAGCCTGGGCGACAGAGCGAGACTCCGTCTCAAAAAAAAAAAAAAAAAAATGTATGACAGAGGGTTGGTTGTAGGTTGCAAATATCAATAAACATAGTTAAGAGTTTTATTTTTCTTGTATTTTTTAGAGACAGGGTCTCTCTCTGTCACCCAGGCTGGAGTACAGTGGCACAATCATAGCCCACTGCAGCCTCAAACTTCTGGACTCAACCAATTCTCTGACCTCAGCCTCCTGAGCAGCTAGAACTACAAGCATGTGCCATCATGCCTGGCTAATTTTTATTTATGTGTAGAAACGTGGTCTCACTATGTTGCCCAGGCTCAAACTTCTGGTCTCAAGAGATCCTCTTGCCTTGGCCTCCCAAAATGCTGGGATTTGTTTTAAAAAAAAAAAAAAAAAAAAAAAAAAAGCAAAATTGACTCCATCCTGACATCTTTTTCATTCTTTATTGTCAGCACATCTTTTTGGTAAATATTATAGTCTAGTCTCCCCTCTTAAGTGATTAATCTGAAAATCATGTGAACATTCTTCCATTTCCTTTAGTGATTCTGTCAGAGGCATGTGAACCAGAGCAACTCTATCTTAAATGGGAGCTGGGAAAAATGAGCTGAAATCTACCGGGCTGCATTCCCAGGCAGTTAAGGCATTCTAAGTCACAGGAGAGATAGGAAGTCAGCAAAAAATACAGGTCATAAAAACCTTGCTGATAAAACAGGTTGCAGTAAAGGAGCTGGCCAAAACCAGAACCAAAATGGTGACGAGAATGACCTCTAGTCCTCCTCACTGCTACCCTCCCACCAGCACCATGACAGTTTACAAATGGCATGGCAACGTCAGGAAGTTACCCTATATGGTTAGAAAGGGGCAGCATGAATAATCCACCCCTTATTTAGCATAACATCAACAAATAACCATAAAAATGGACAACCAGCAGCCCTTGGGGCTGCTCCGTCTATGGAGTAGCCATTCTTTTATTCCTTTACTTTCTTAATAAACTGGCTTTCACTTTGCACTGTGGACTCGCCCTGAATTCTTTCCTGAGCGAGATCCAAGAACTCTCTTTTGGGGTCTGGACTAGGACCCTTTTCCTGTAACAATTTTGCCTCTCACCAATTAAGAATGAGACAATTCTGAGGACTCTCCTTTGGAAAAATGATCAAGGTTCTTGGAACTCAGCCATGTTAGGAAGTAAGGTGACTGAATGGGGAAGCAGTAAGGAGGGGGCGTGTATTTTTTCATCCGAAGCTGTTCTAGTGTTGGAACTTTCAAGGTTCCAGCCTCACTTGGAATTTTATGAAACTCATACCTCATATTTTATTTTTTATGTTTTATTTTTTGAGACAGAGTCTCGCTCTGTCGCCCAGGCTGGAGTGCAGGGGTGCGATCTCGGCTCACTGCAAGCTCTGCCTCCCGGTTTCATGCCATTCTCCTGCCTCAGCCTCCCGAGTAGCTGGGACTACAGGTGCCCGCCACCACACCCGGCTAATTTTTGTATTTTTAATAGAGACGGGTTTCACTGTGTTAGGATGGTCTCCATCTCCTGACCTCGTGATCCGCCCGCCTCGGCCTCCCAAAGTGCTGGGATTACAGGCGTGAGCCACTGCGCCCGGCCATACCTCATATTTTAAATGATAACAAATAACTTCTTCCGTGTGGCAAATTTAGATAGAAAGCATTGAAAGAACCTGCTTCCCATCTGCTGATCAAACTGGAGCCTGAATCAAATAAACTTCTCCAAATAAATGCTACAATCCTGATTTCTGCAAGCTTTTGGACTTTTAAAACTTGGTGTTCCTATCTCAGGCAACATATACCTCTTTGGAAACTGGGTATAAATCTACTGGGTTTGGATGTGGAATGGGTTGGTTATTTCATTTGTGTGCTCTCTTTAAGGTCATGAGAATTTGCCATGGTTCATGATCATAGTTTAAACAATATTAGCTGGCTAAGTGCTGGTGCTTAGTGAAATACACTCTTTTATCTTTAGACACCCCTTTGCTTTCTTCTTTGATATGAAGCCATTTCTCTCGAGTGACACTTCAGCATTTTTTTAATTGAAATTGTAAGTACAATACATAGTTTGATCATTCTGGTCTCAGAGATTTAATTCTTAAGTAGTGCTAAGACCTCGCCCACCTTTTAAAACCTCACCTGGATGTCATTCATCCATTGTATCGAGGGACTGATATAACATGTGTACTTAATTTAAGATCCTTAAGGGTGGGTATTTTCCATTACCATTAGTTAAAATTTGCAAGTAAGAGCAACATGTTCCCTGACTCTACATAAAGTTAAACATGCGAACTGAAAATAGAATGAGAGAAAATCGAGCATGGTTATTTACTTTCTGCAGTGCTCTAATTGGGCACTATAGCATATGGCCAAAACCTTTACTATTAATTAATCACAAAAAATCCATATGGATGATTTGTGAACATTCTAAAGTCAGAGTGGGAATTTGCTTCTTTTCTATGTGAGGACTAATCTCTGATTTTTTTTTTATCTTGCCCAAATTCCTATCTAAGGGGTCTGGGGAATCATACCCTACAAACCATAAATTCTCATCAGATGGGTTTTATTTAACCCTATATATTGTGACTTATTTTCCAACCTGACTCTGGCATAACATTACAAGACAATTAAGAAAATAAAATTATTTTATCCCCAAAACATGTTTATTTGCCGTATCTTGAAATGGCCCTGCAAAGCTGTCCTTTGTGGGGGAAAATTTGCATCTGTAAAGAATCTCTGTTAACATACCTAGATCTGTTTCTTCCAGGCCTTTCCAATCCTAAAGAGGTTACCTAAGAGTCTAGCACCTTTTAAAGATCTGAACAGGAAACATTTGTCATCTACTGTCTCTAAGGGCATTCACTATAGGACTTCAAAGGAACCTTGGCCTCCACAATCTTTTATCTTAACCTGGACATTTTCTTTCTGTCAACTCCAGGTCTTTAGACAAACTCAACCAATGACAAACTCAACCAACTGTCAACCAGAAAATGTTTAAATTTACCTATAGCCTGGAGATGCCTCCCCCCACTGGCCCCGCCCTGGCTTTGAGTTGTCCTGCCTTTCTGGACCAAACCAATGTATTTCTTAAATGTATTTGATTGATGTCTCATGCCTCCCTAAAAGGTTTAAAACCAAGCTGCACCCTGACCACCTTGGGCACATGTTCGCAGGATCTCCTGAGGGCTGTGTCATGGTCCATGGTCACTCATATTTGGCTCAGAAAAATATTTTACAGAGTTTGACTCTTTTTTATTGATGATGTTTTCTTTCTAAACACATTTTTTCACTTTGGGAGGCCAAGGCAGGCAGATCACAAGGTCAGGAGATCGAGACCATCCTGGCTAACACAGTGAAACCCCATCTCTACTAAAAATACAAAAAATTAGCCAGGTGGTGGTGGGCGCCTGTAGTCCCAGCTACTCGGGAGGCTGAGGCAGGAGAATGGTGTGAACCCAGGAGGCGGAGCTTGCAGTGAGCTGAGATCACACCACTGCACTCCAGCCTGGACAACAGAGTGAGACTGTGCCTCAAAAAACAAACAAACAAAACAAAAAACACACACACAATTTTCTTAAAGGGTGCCTGGATCTCTATTAATACTTAGAATTTGGTAATGTTTAAAAGCTTTGACATTTCTTAATGTCAGAAATTTCCATATTGAGATTTGACATATATTTGGACTCACATTAAATGAGACGTACTAGTCATCATCATTGTTAAAAAATATTTTTAAATTTTTAAGTATGGAAGATAAAATAAAAACCCGTTCTCATTCATTTACTTATTCAACTCCCCACCACCACACATACATATACATACTCATACATGCACGCAATACAAACCTTCCTCCCCACCACCCTTGGCTAACTCCCCATTCATCAGTCAAAACTCAGCTCAAATAGTTGCTCCTTGTATCACGGCAGGCTGGTTTCTGTGGTTGGTTCTGTCAACTTCAACTGTAATAGAAATGTTGTTTTTCTATTCTTCCTTCTTTGGCCTCCCATTAAGCTGTCACTTCTTTACCTAGGGAATGCATCTTTTGTTTCTGAGTTCACAACACTACCAGAATGCCTGGCATGGCAGAAAGTGCTTGTTAAATGCCTGCTGAATGAATGAATAACTTCAGCCACCAGCCTAGCAAGCAGATGAGTTCAGAGGTTATATAAACAACATTCATAAGCTCAGCCAGAATCTTGTTTGAGCCAGAGCAGCAGAAGCCCAGAAAGTCAGGGACAATGCCACCCTGGGGCTTATAAGTCCTTCAGGGGCTACACAAGGCCAGACCAACTCAGGAAACCACCTGCGAAGGTGCCCTCCCTCCCCAGTTCCATGCCACCTGGCAGTTTTGTGCTGTCTATGGGCCTAGACCAACTCAAAGTGAAGAAGTTCTCTGAAAACCTTTTACTTATTAAAGAACTCCAATAAGCAAAATAGGTAGACATATTTTCCCTGGTGGAGCCCTAAGCAAAATTCAATTATGTGAATCGTACTTAATATTTAAAAACATTGTGGGTTTTTTTGGCCAGGCACCGTGGCTCACGCCTGTAATCCCAGCACTTTGGGAGGCTGAGGCGGGTGAATCACGAGGTCAGGAGTTCGAGACAAGCCTGGCCATCATGGTGAAACCCCGTCTCTACTAAAAATACAAAAAATTAGCTGGGCGTAGTGGCAGGCTCCTGTAATCCCAGCTACTCAGGAGGCTGAGGCAGGAGAATTGCTTGAACTGAGGACACGGAGGTTGCAGTGAGCTGAGATCACGCCAGTGCACTCCAGCCTGGCCAACAGAGTAAGATTCTGTCTCAAAAAAAAAAAAAAATTGTTATTTTTTTTTTTTTTCAAATCAGTGGTTGACTTCATTACATTTGCCTGGAAAATAGACTGGTAACAAGTGAAAAACTACCTGAAGAAGCCAGTTCAACTTAGAGTGAATCCAAAAGGGCAGTGGGGCCATGAGAAGCTTCATTTCTTAGCAGTCAACCAGAGGGAGTTTCCAGGGGTCCTGGGAGGAGGGTTTAGATAAGTGAAAGTTGTGCCCCTTGCAGTGCTCTTATTTTTCAGTTTAAAAGATGCCTCCTGCCATCCACATGTTATGCAGTTGGGGATTTCAACCCACTTACAGCATAGTCTTCCCTATTTAATCATAGAATCTCCTCATTTTTAACTGACCTGGCCAGCTTCTTTATCAATTTTGTTCACATACTGCGGGCCTCAAGTGTTCATTTAAACGTTTGGGACTGTAACTGCTAAAGCTGTTTTCACATGTGGAAAATATGAGCCTTTAAGTTTCGTTTAGCAGATGCTCAAGCCAGCAGCCAGCAATATGCCCCACTTCTAGGGTGGTGCCCAGAGTACTGGACTGAGCAGCTGAAATGCAGCTTAAGTTCTGGTTTTATTGCAAATCAGCCACCAATGTTGAATTGGTTTCTTAGTCCCTGAGTCTGTTGCCTTATTTGATGAATTAAAATAAGTAATATAATTCAGGACCCTTGGGAGAAGTGTTTTATATCACTTTGCTAACACTGAAGACTCTCCAGTTCTCTCTCTGATGCACTGGAAACATTGCGTTCTAAATACCCTAAGAGCCCTTTCAGCAGTAAATTGGTCTCAGGGTGCTGGAGAGGATGTATCTGGTGGTGTTTCGAAAGTGATCAACTCCTCCCACTCACTTTACCCCTTGGGCTTGTAACTTTCTTGTTTCTGGCCTCCAAGGAAATCACATCTTCCAGCTCAGCCATGAATTAAAAAAACAATTAAAAATATTTTATACCTCATTTGTATGCTGTACCAGAAAGATTTATTTGAATATCTCATTTGTATATTGCTCTGTGTATGTTTTTTTGAGACGGAGTCTTGCTCTGTCACCCAGGGTAGAGTGCAGTGGTGCGATTTTGGTTCACTGCAACCTCTGCCTCCTGGGTTCAAGCAATTCTCCTGCCTCAGCCTCCCGAGTAGCTGGGATTACAGGCATGTACCAACACGCCCAGCTAATTTTTGTATTTTTAGTAGAGATGGGGTTTCACCATGTTGGCCAGACTGGTCTTGAACTCCTGACCTCAAATGATCCACCCACCTTGGCCTCCTAAAGTGCTGGGGTTACAGACGTGAGCCACTGCACCTGGCCTGCCCTGTATTTATTTATTTATTTATTTATTTATTTATTTATTTATTTTTTAGTGGGAGCAAATGCAAGTTGAGCATTGAAAATTCAAAATCTGAAGTGTTCCAAAATTCAAAATTTTCTGAGGACCAGCTGGGTGCAACTCTAATCCCAAGCACTTTGGGAGGCTGAGGCAGGCAGATCACTTGAGCCCAGGAGTTCAAGGTCAGTCTGGGCAACATGGTAAGATGTTGCTGAGAGATTTTGTCACCACCAGGCCTGCCCTACAAGAGCTCCTGAAGGAAGCACTACACATGGAAAGGAACAACCAGTACCAGCCACTGCAAAAACATGCCAAAATGTAAAGACCATCGATGCTAAGAAGAAACTGCATCAACTAACGAGCAAAATAACCAGCTAACATCACAATGACAGGATCAACTTCACGCATAACAATATTAACCTTAAATGTAAATGAGCTAAATGCTCCAATTAAAAGACACAGACTGCCAAATTGGATAAAGAGTCAAGACCCATCAGTGTGCTATATTCAGCAGACCCATCTCACGTGCAGAGACACACATAGGCTCAAAATAAAGGGATGGAGGAAGATCTACCAAGCAAATGGAAAACAAAAAAAGGCAGGAGTTGCAATCCTAGTCTCTGATAAAACAGATTTTAAACCAACAAAGATCAAAAGAGACAAAGAAGGCCATTACATAATGGTAAAGGGATCAATTCAACAGGAAGAGCTAAATATCCTAAATATATATGCACTCAATACAGGAGCACCCAGATTCATAAAGCAAGTCCTTAGAGACCTACAAAGAGACTTAGATTCCCACACAATAATAATGGGAGACTTTAACCCCCCACTGTCAACATTAGACAGATCAACGAGACACAAAGTTAACAAGGATATCCAGGAATTGAACTCAGCTCTGCACCAATGGACCTGATAGACATCTACAGAGCGCTCCACCACAAATCAACAGAATATACATTCTTCTCAGCACCACATCGCACTTATTCCAAAATTGACCACATAGTTGGAAGTAAAGCACTCCTCAGCAAATGTAAAAGAACAGAAATTATAACAAACTGTCTCTCAGACCACAGTGCAATCAAACTACAACTCAGGATTAAGAAACTTAATCAAAACCGTTCAACTACATGGAAACTGAACAACCTGCTCCTGAATGACTACTGGGTGTATAACGAAATGAAGGCAGAAATAAAGATGTTCTTTGAAACCAATGAGAACAAAGACACAACATACCAGAATCTCTTGGACACATTTAAAGCAGTGTGTAGAGGGAAATTTATAGCACTAAATGCCCACAAGGGAAAGCAGAAAAGATCTAACATTGACACCCTAACATTACAATTAAAGGTACTAGAGAAGCAAGAGCAAACACATTCAAAAGCTAGCAGAAGGCAAGAAATAACTAAGATCAGAGTAGAACTGAAGGAGATAGATAGAGACACAAAAAACCCTTCAAAAAATCAATGAGGGCCAGGCGTGGTGGCTCATGCCTGTAATCCCAGCACTTTGCGAGGCTGAGGTGGGTGGATCACGAGGTCAGGAGATCGAGACCGTCCTGGCTAACACAGTGAAACCGTTTCTCTATTAAAAATACAAAAAATTAGCCAGGCGTGGTGGCAGGTGCCTGTAGTCCCAGCTACTCGGGAGGCTGAGGCAGGAGAATGCTATGAACCCAGGAGGCGGAGGTTGCAGTGAGCCGAGATCATGCCACTGCACTCCAGCCTGGGTGACAGAGCGAGACTCTGTCTCAAAAAAAAAAAAAAAAAAAAAAAATCAATGAATACAGGAGCTGGTTTTTTGAAAAGATCAACAAAATTGATAGACCGCTAGCAAGACTAATAAAGAAGAAAAGAGAGAAGAAGCAAATAGACACAATAAAAAATGATAAAGGGGATATCACCACCGATCCCACAGAAATACAAACTACCATCAGAGAATACTATAAACACCTCTATGCAAATAAACTAGAAAATCTAGAAAAAATTGATAAATTCTTGGACACATACACCATCCCGAGACTAAACCAGGAAGAAGTTGAATCCCTGAATAGACCAATAACAGGCTCTGAAATTGAGGCAATAATTAATAGCCTACCAACCAAAAAAAGTCCAGGACCAGACGGATTCACAGCCGAATTCTACCAGAGGTACAAGGAGGAGCTGGTACCATTCCTTCTGAAACTATTCCAATCAATAGAAAAAGAAGGAATCCTCCCTAACTCATTTTATGAGGCCAGCATCATCCTGATACCAAAGCCGGGCAGAGACACAACCAAAAAAGAGAATTTTAGACCAATATCCTTGATGAACATCAATGCAAAAATCCTCAGTAAAATACTGGCAAACCGAATCCAGCAGCACATCAAAAAGTTTATCCACCATGATCAAGTGATCTTCATCCCTGGGATGAAAGGCTGGTTCAACATACGCAAATCAATAAACGTAATCCAGCATATAAACAGAACCAAAAACAAAAACCACATGATTATCTCAATGGATGCAGAAAAGGCCTTTGACAAAATTCAACAGCCCTTCATGCTAAAAACTCTCAATAAATTCGGTATTGATGGGACGTATCTCAAAATAATAAGAGCTACTTATGACAAACCCACAGCCAATATCATACTGAATGGGCAAAATCTGGAGGCATTCCCTTTGAAAACTGGCACAAGACAGGGACACCCTCTGTCACCACGCCTATTCAACATAGTGTTGGAAGTTCTGGCCAGGGCAATCAGGCAGGAGAAAGAAATAAAGGGTATTCAGCTAAGAAAAGAGGAAGTCAAATTGTCCCTGTTTGCAGGTGACATGATTGCATATTTAGAAAACCCCGTCATCTCAGCCCAAAATCTCCTTAAGCTCATAGGCAACTTCAGCAAAGTCTCAGTATACAAAATCAATGTGCAAAAATCACAAGCATTCTTATACACCAATAACAGACAAACAGCCAAATCATGAGAGAACTCCCATTCACAATTGCTTCAAAGAGAATAAAATACCTAGGAATCCAACTTACAAGGGATGTGAAGGACCTCTTCAAGGAGAACTACAAACCACTGCTCAACAAAATAAAAGAGGTTACAAACAAATGGAAGAACATTCCATGCTCATGGGTAGGAAGAATCAATATTGTGAAAATTGCCATACTGCCCAAGGTAATTTATAGATTCAATGCCATCCCCATCAAGCTACCAATGACTTTCTTCACAGAATTGGAAAAAACTACTTTAAAGTTCATATGTAACCAAAAAAGAGCCCACATTGCCAAGACAATCCTAAGCCAAAAGAACAAAGCTGGAGGCATCATGCTACCTGACTTCAAACTATACTACAAGGCTATAGTAACCAAAACAGCCTGGTATTGATACCAAAACAGAGATACAGACCAATGTAACAGAACAGAGCCCTCAGAAATAATACCACACATCTACAACCATCTGATTTTTGACAAACCTGACTAAAACAAGAAATGGGGAAAGGATTCCCTATTTAATGAATGGTGTTGGGAAAACTGGCTAGCCATATGTAGAAAGCTGAAACTGGATCCCTCCCTTACACCTTATACAAAAATTAATTCAAGATGGATTAAAGACTTAAATGTTAGACCTAAAACCATAAAAACCCTAGAAGAAAACCTAGGCAATACCATTCAGGACATAGGCATGGGCAAGGACTTCATGACTAAAACACCAAATGCAATGGCAACAAAAGCCAAAATTGACAAATGGGATCTAATTAAACTAAAGAGCTTCTGCACAGCAAAAGAAACTACCATCAGAGTGAACAGGCAACCTACAGAATGGGAGAAAATTTTTGCAATCTACTTATCTGACAAAGGGCTAATATCCAGAATCTACAAAGAACTCAAACAAATTTACAAGAAAAAACCCCATCACAAAGTGGGTGAAAGATATGAACAGACACTTCTCAAAAGAAGACATTTATGCAGTCAACAGACACATGATAAAAGGCTCATCATCACTGGCCATCAGAGAAATGCAAATCAAAACCACAATGCGATACCATCTCATACCAGTTAGAATGGCAATCATTAAAAAGTCAGGAAACAACAGGTGCTGGAGAGAATGTGGAGAAATAGGAATACTTTTACACTGTTGGTGGGACTGTAAACTAGTACAACCATTGTGGAAGACAGTGTGGCGATTCCTCAAGGATCTAGAACTAGAAATACCATTTGACCCAGCCATCTCATTACTGGGTATATACCCAAAGGATTATATATCATGCTGCTGTAAAGACACATGCACACGTATGTTTATTGCGGCATTATTCACAATAGCAAAGACTTGGAACCAACCCAAATGTCCATCAATGATAGACTGTATTAAGCAAATGTGGCATATATACACCATGGAATACTATGCTGCCATAAAAAAGGATGAGTTCATGTCCTTTGTAGGGACATGGATGAAGCTGGAAACCATCATTCTCAGCAAACTATCACAAGGACAAAAAACCAAACACTGCATGTTCTCACTTATAAGTGGGAATTGAACAATGAGAACACTTGGACACAGGAAGGGGAACATCACACACTGGGGCCTGTCGTGGGGTGGGGGGAGGGGGGAGGGATAGCATTATGAGATATACCTAATGTAAATGACGAGTTAATGGGTGCAGCGCACCAACATGGCACATATATACATATGTAACACACCTGCAGGTTGTGAACATGTACCCTAGAACTTAAAGTATTAAAAAAAAAAAAAACCACGGTGAGACATCATCTCTCCAAAACATACAAAAATTAGATGGACGTGGTAGCACATACCTCTAATCCCAGCTACCTGGGAAGCTGGGGTGGGAGGATCACTTGAGGTGAGGAGATCGAGGCTGCAATGAGCCAGGATTGTGCCACTGCGCTCTAGCCTGGGCAGCAAAGTGAGATCCTGTCTCAAAAAAAAAACCAAACCAAAACAAAACAAAACAAAAAAACCCTAAAACAAAAACAAGAAACTTTCTGAGTACCAACATGATGCTTAAAGGAAATGCTCATTCGAGCATTTTGGATTTTGGATTTTTGGATTTGGGATGCCCAACCTGCATAAACTTTAAAGAATCCTTAAATAAAGTTATATGCTGCTAAAACTAACTGCCTCCTTGCCACACTCCTAATAAGGTTCTACATCTTGCAGAAATTTTTAAAAGCCTGATTTAGGGTGTCAGACCTGGGTTCAAAATCTTCGTCTTCTACTCAAAAGCAATCTGATATTGGTGAGCTTCTTATTCCATATCTGTAGAATGGGATAGGGGATGGTAATAATAATCCCATGTACCTTGCAGGATTTTTGTGAAACTGGATAAGGTCAGGTATGTGTGAACAGCAAATGGAGTGTCTGGCCCATTGTAGCTGTTTAGTTAATAACATTTCCTGTTGTGACTTGATATCTGGTTTGAGATTCTGGCATCCTGTAACTCCTCCTCCTCACCAGCCCTGCCCTCCATCAGCCTGGTCCCCTGTACAGTGTGACACCTACTCAGTAATTGCCCATAGCAGAAACAGACTCACCAGCTGTTCTAGAGCTGGCTCTCCCTGGTCAAAGCTTCCCATGCAGCAAGTGTTTCATAATCAGCCTGTTCCTGCTGCCGTCTGCCACTTTTCCCCCGACCTTCCTGGCCATCCCTTGTCCCTTCCTGGGCAAAAGCATCTAACCATGTGGTATGGTGGTGTCACCTGAGTGTGGTGTCAGCAAACCCAGAGCTTTCCAAGCCTCCCATGATGAGTCTATGACCTGGCGTTCCCTGTTCCTTCTGATACTGTTTTTTCTTTCTCTGGAACTACATTGGCCAAAACAGAAAACAGGGAGTCAGTAAGGTTTATCAATATTTCACTTGCATAGCCGCAGTCTTAAGTTACTGAAATGACAGGTTGATCCAGTGAGGAAAATCAAACAACTATCAAAAAGACCAGTCAAGTCATTGTAGACCATGACAAAAGACCCTCAGTAGGAAAGGAAAAAATGCCTAACACCAAGAAACATGAAAGTAAAAAGCTCTGAATTTGGTAAAAGTGAAGTAATTTCTATAAATGAGTCATATTGTATCTAGGAAATTAGGAAAATTTCAGAAAAGTTTTTTTAAAAATTCAAATCAACTTTAAAAGCTGATATCCTTTTTTCTTCTAATATCTTTGGCATATATTTGTATACACATTTCAAGTATTTAAATGAATGAAATTGGAATTTTTATATATAGTTCTTTTCAAGTAAAAATGCTAATGTAATATTTATTTTTAAATTTTATAAGAAGTGTTTTATTTTTTACTTAAAATATGAGACTTTCTCATGACAATATATATTCTTCAGAAACACTATAATTAATGTCCTTGTAATGCTTTCTTGTTTGGATAGTTAATAATGCATTTTGTCATACTATAGCTACTCATTTTGGCTGTCTTCATTGTTTTGCTACTTTAAGTAATTCTATGAGGTCAATCCTTGTACATAAAGCTCAGTTCAAATCTCTGATTATTTCCTTAGGATAAAATCCAAGAATTGGCATTATTAGGTCAAAGAGCATAAACAAGTATTTTTTTCTATTCTTTGTTTTGAAAGTGAATTACAAAGAAATCCTCTCTTAAAAGTTGCTCCTTTCATTTGGTTTTATTCTACAGATTGCTTCTTTACCTCCTTCTTTGTGTCAAGAACCATATTAAACTATGTGAATTCCTCTCTGTTGCATCTTTAAGAGAGAGTTGAGGTCTCACTTCCTCCCAGCTATCCTCTCCACCACCCGCCATCTCCTCAGACTGAGACAAGTTCCCTTCTCTGCTATCACCCACACCCATACATCTGGGCTCTCATAGTACTGTCATAGCATTTATCATGCTGAATTCTAAGTGTCTGTTTGGTTTTATTTTGGCATTAGACAGTAAGTGCCTTGCGGGTAAGGACTATATTTTATTCATCTTTATTTCTCCAGAAAACACCGAGTACTTTGTACATAGTAGGCACTGAATGAGGGAACAAGGAACACAGAACCATTTAGTCACTACACACACACACACACACACACACACACACAACCATCCTGTCCTATATTATTAAATACAGGAGATAGAAGTGTGAGGGAGAAAGAGGGTCATCTTCATTCAGTAATATGCTTGTATTTTCTCAGATATAGATGTATGGATGAGATATCACTTTTTGATATGTGTCCAGATAGGCCAGATATAACTAATATCAGGATTTTATCAGGTCATTGGGACCACAGCCTTCCTGGAAACATAGCTTTAGAGTCAGTTTTATAGTCTGCTGAGCCCAAAACAAGCTAGATAATTAATAATATTATTGGATCAAAATGGCCCAAAATCTGATTAGGGGTTATTTATCCTACATGTACATGATAGCATAGTCTTTATTTTGTCCCTCCAAGTGAGTTTATAAGTGACTGTGTTCTGTTTGGATGGAAAATATCATCTGGAAATAATTTATGAGTAACTGCAGAACCTGCCAATGGCATGCTTTACAAGGGCTTATTTCATTCACTTCCACGTATATCCCATAATTTCCTGATTTTCTCAGGTTCTTTTGTGTAAATACCAAATTGACCTTATGTTTTTGTCCGCCTTTTCCCCAGGGGCGATCTAAGTGTCAGGATGGTGTTATTGACCTGGCATCTGCGGGGGCGACCCAGAGTTTCCATGACCTGTGGTTGGAAGGCCCACTCATTGGGGCACTGAAGCTCCTGAGAGTTACTGTTCTCACTCAATGGGAGGCCAGCGGTTCTCAGCAGTTTTCTCTGCTTCACACCAGACTGTCCAGTTAGCTTCTTATTCAGCCATTGCCTTTCCATACTGGAGCAAAGGTTTATGATTTATTAGGCTATTCCCAGGAAAGCAAGTTCTATGTCTTCTGTGCTTTGAGCTCCACATAATTCTTGGAGATCCTCACATCAAAGACTCCCTCTTGGTTTTCCTCTTTGTCTCCCTTGCATCTTCCTCTACTCACACCCCTGCTGTCTGGCCAGCCTTACTTATCAGGGAGAGCAGGAAGAGAGGATTCATGGGCAGGAAAACTCACTGTTTGCTCCATCTTCGTAGTCCTGGGGTGTGGCCCAAAACCTTGGTTGATAGATTTGTAAAAAGACCTTTATCTTGAGAATATTGTTGCTTTGTGAATTTCCACAGTCTCCTTGAAATTCAAAAGCTGAGCATAACTATTTCTTTTTCTTTGCATTTCAGCCATAGCAATCCTAATAGCCCCTAGGACAATGAGTGTCTCAGGCTGAATGGAAGAGGGTCATATACATGCAAGGGGATGGGAATTTAATATCTCTAAATATCATCCTACCAACACATGTATATGTAAATAGATTTATAACTATATGGTCATTTGTATAAGGATAACCTAATAATATCAAAGGACAGGTTCATTTTAAATTAAAACTATAGGGAAGAGTGTTGATTCTACACCAATAACAAAAAGGTTAAAGAAAGTGTAATTCTCTTTTAAGTACCAGATGCTTCAGACTGTGCCTCTCATTTTCAGCCTTCTTCTCCCCTTTTCCTGTCTCTGCCTTTCTCCTCTCTGCCTTTTATTGAAAGGCAAATGCCCCTTGTAATAAGGTTCAATTTCAGAAGTTCCTGTTATACCCCACTCCCATAGCATTCATAAAAAAAGCAGAGACCGTAGTTATAATTTGCTGGGAACCCTAAAAGAGAAGTGAGACAACTCACTGAAGAATCCTCAAATAACACGAAGACGTGAAAAAATATAGCTGGTGCTTCTCTGGCTTATGTAGGAAGAATCAAAGCAACCATGAAATTAATTTTATTTACCATTAAAAGATACTGGACTTAGAATTCAGGTTGTGATTATGTAATTATAAATTAATTTCAGTAGCATTGTATAATCTGAAATGCCAGCAATAGTTATGAGAAGTATGTTAATGAGGATCAGAAAAGCTTGTCTGCTTGAATGTACCTCAAAATAGTCATGCCCAGAGAGTATATATGAAGCCTCCTGCAGCAAGTGGACCCACTGTGGTTTCCTAAGACTCTCCAATGCATGTGATCAGTTTACTAGGAAGCAGCTCTCTTTAATATGTTCATACTTAACAGAAAAGGAAGGACCAGAAGGTTGCCCATAGGCTGCACCCAAGTGTGAAATAAACATTATTATTACAGCAGTTGAAATGTGAAGTTGAAGAACATTTTAATTTCAAAATAGTATTCATGAGAATCAGATGACACATCTATACTTTAACTCTGGTGAAGTGTGAAAATTAAATGAACACTCCGTCAGATTCTGAAAGTTGAATTATGACCCCCACCTCCCTCACTAAAGAGATATTTTTTCATATTTAGGGTGGCATACCTCATTTGTGGAAAAGGTCTTTCTGGCACTCATCCCCTGTTTCTCAATTTATTGTAGCCATCTTATTAATCACTGTGTTTGCTGGGGAAGAGCCAAAGTATACCTAAATCTAGAATTAAACTATATAGCACTAGGGTTTAAAATAATAGAATTTGTCATCAAGTTGACTGCCTCATATTCATCCAGTGTCAAACTCAATAGTTGATATGTTTGCTTATGCAAAAATATCAGAGAGGAAAAGAAAATTTTAATTTGTAATGGATCTATTTCTCATAAAATGTCATTCCTGCCGCTCTGCTCTTTAGCACATGATGAGGGGAAGCTGAGGCAGCTTCTATTGTAAAGGAAGACCCAAGGAGGTGCCATTTTAGGGGACCTTCAGTCTCCACCCAGTTCAGGGGATTCACATGAGCCTCCCTGCATATATGGGCGTGTCCCATCACTGCTTCTTCTGCTTGGAAGCCCACAAAGATGGTTTGCTATCCTAGTACCTCAGGTCTTGATGGAAGAAGGCCTTGGTGTGTTCTTAATTATATCCTTTGCCTCAGATGTTTTGTTGTCAGTGTTTCACTCTTCCCAGTCAGGTTTTAGGGCTGCTACCAGTCTCTCCATGAAATAGAAACCCCCTAATGTGCTGTTCTGCTGAACTTCCTCATTGACTGACCTTGTACTATGATGTCTTTCTTCCTGGGGTCAGTGGGTACGGGATAAAGCCTCTAAGCAGGGTTGCCCATATGGTTGTGTATGTTTGGATTACCCCACAGCTCTGGACGGCACCATTCACACTGTGGTCATTGTCGATTTAAATATGTATTATGGCCATTTTATGGAGATGGTAGTAAAGGGTCTTGATGAAGACATACCTTTTTCTGGTTTGCACACAAAAAATTAAACACAAGGTAGCAATGGCCTGCCCTGATGTTGAAAGCAAGACTCTGGCAACAGGCTAGGTGGGTTCTACCCCTTACTAGCTGTGTGACCTTGGGCTAGTCACATAATCTCAGTTTTATCATCTGTAAGATGGGAATAATAATAGTACATCATAGGCTATTAGGATTAAAGAAATTATGTATGCCAAGGACTAAGTACAGAGCCTGACGCATGGTGAATGCTCAGTATATGGCAGCTGTCACAATGTGGCCCATTTGTGTCCTTCCATATAGATAGATCATTTTCCAATTTCCAATTACTTTCTACACATCCTCTCTTAACATAAAATGACTTTCAAGCCCATTACTACAAGACTTATTACAGGGGACCTATGGACTTGTGATTTGAATCGTAATTAGTATTAATTTAATAGTCTCTTCACAGAGTTAGACTAATATGTCAGGTGACACAGTGTCTTAGCCCAGCCACACACATTGATATGACTCTGATGATGGCCTGCCTCTCAGTGAAGTCAGAGCAGGGGGTACAAGGACTCAGGCAATAGACAAGAGAGAAAAGAAAGATTAAAGCTTACTGTTTATAGTGTTTTCCACACAAGGTATCATCCCTGACAAGTCTTTCTATGCCATGGCATTGATTATTAGAAGAAAGACTCGTAAAAACCTCTAGGCAGGTCAGATTTTGGCAGACTTAAAGATTATGCAGACAAGAGTAGGGGTCAGGGAGTCTTATCTGAGAGCTGCCGGGTACTTTATGTGTGTTTCAGGACAGGGCTGACCACAGTGTTGGCTGTGGAAGGTGGGGGCTGGAAACCTCTGCTGACAGTGATCTTATCTTTCCCATGTGATAGTTTCATTAATGACTGCCTTCACCTGCTCTTTTTCCAGTATGTTGCACTCCAATGTAATTTCTGTCCGTTATCAGGCCTTGATGTCATCTATGCCCTGAAATTGTGTTATTGAACTAACACTCATTGTCAAACCTTTACGAGATAAACCTATTTTATTTCTCCTCATCCTAAAAATGTGTTGATTCTCCTGTGCTGTGTATAATGAATGGCCCTTTGGCTGTTGTAACACCTTCACTGAAATCCTTGAAGTGTGTGTGTGCCTATCTCTCTATGTCTCGCCCCCTTTCGCCTCCTCCCCTTCCTCACCCCTTGCCACCCCTTCCTTACCCTCCCCAATCTCTCTCTCTCTTTCCTAAAGAACAAAAATGGCAGTTTCCCTTATTCTCATAGAAAAGACTTTATGTCACAGAAGGGAGCTGCTATTAGCATAAGCAGTCTGGCATTGTGTGGGTGAGTGTCCATGTGCATTATCAAGCAAGGCTTATAAACCATGTTAATTCCACACAACTTTCTCTACTCCATCCAGCTTCCAATCCGTACCCCACAACATAAAAAGTGACATCACTCACTTAAGAAAATGTTGCAGTAAGGTGGATTTTCATAAAATAAGGATTCTCAGGACTCCAATTTTTAAATCATACCTGTGTGCCTACAGAAAGGTTGGAGGGGGGCAAGGGAGTGAGGATCTTAATTGGCACCCAAGGCAGAATGTTTGCTCTGAGGAGAAGGATTGAGTGGCACTACTTAAGAGATGCAGCAAGGCAGTGCAGGGAGAGCCTAAAAGCAGCTGAGGCTCTCAATGTCACCCAGACACTGATGGACAGTCATTGATATTTGAATCTGAATCTGAATGTGTACTATCAAAAAGGCTGCTGTCATCATTGTCACCACTATTCCTCTGAGTCCTTTTCCATCTCTACCATCTTACTCTCTGTAACGGGATTGTAAGTTCTATATTTTGTTTTATATCTTGTATACTTTGCTTGATGCAGTAAATATGCTACTGAAACACTGTGAATAAGTAAAACTTCACCTGACTGCAACATTTAAATAACATTAAATTCATCTGAATACAGAAAAATATAAAGAAGAAAACAAAAAGGTCTAAAATCCTATCACCAAGATAGCCCTGTTAATATTTGTTAAAAATATAAGTATGTGTGTGGACATGATTAGAGTGTCTATATTTGCATAGTATAAGGGGTAAATTATACTAGTACAATTAATAGGTATAAATTGAAAAGCACCTACATTTCTTTCGCTCCTACCCCAATCCTTAGCCCCTCCCTCAGCATTATGTCTGTGCAGTGTACAAAGCACTCTTATAAGAATACAGCAATGGGCCGGCACGTTGGCTCACCCCTGTAATCCTAGTACTTTGGGAGGCCGAGGTGGGTAGATCACCTGTGGTCAGGAGTTCAAGACCAACCTGGACAATATGGTGAAACCCCGTCTCTACTAAAAATACAAAAATTAGCCTGGGCATGGTGGCGCACGCCTGTAATCCCAGCTACTTGGGAGGCTGAGGCAGGAGAATCACTTGAACCTAGGAGGCGGAGGTTGCAGTGAGCCGAGATCGCGCCACTGCACTCCAGCCCGGGCAACAAGAGTGAACTCCATCTCAAAAAAATAAAAAAGAATACAGCAATGACTAAGGCATCTCCCTGGCCCTAAAAGGGAGTTTCAGCCTAATGGGTCAAAGAATCATAAATAAGGCATATAAATAGCATGATATGTGATGTACAGTAAGTTGGCAGCTGGCAGCCATGAGATGTGATGCCAACATTACCCTCAGCTGCTACAGGTCTCTGTTGTCATCCCTTCCCTCCTCCGCCTCACCTAACTAGCCACATGACCTTAAAGAAATACCTGAACTGTCTTTACCCATTTTATGCATTTATAAGGTAGATGTGATAATTCCTCCCTGCCTGATCTGATGAGCTTTGAGAATCGAGTGCCAGAATGGGTAAGAAAACACTTCACGACTCATAAAACAGACCAGAAGTGTAAGGTTTCATTGTCAACTTTATTGTTATACAAAGGGGTACTATGAAGAATCATAGTAATCTTGGGCGTTAATTTAATAGAAAGCCCGGGAGCACAGGGTCACCAACAGCCCAGATTTGACCAACAGCTGCCTTTCGCTTGGCTTGTACTGCTTTTTAAAAGAAAAGTTGCTAACGTTTAAAAATCAGGAGAGTTCATACAAAAAAGACTTCCCTTGAAAAATCGGAGGAAACATTCACAGTGGACCTGCATTCCTACGCGGCAGCCATTTTCGTTGCTGAGGAACTGCTTTCCCCTGAGCACGTGTTCTCCCATTTGTCACAAGCCCCCCCGACTCCCTTTTGTAGCCCCAACACTGAAACCTGATGTCAGTTTCACTTGTCATCATGCTTGCCCTTCCTTAGAGCCAGAAAATGTTTTAGAACCCAGGTTCCCATCAAAAGTAGCAGGGTAAATAGCTACTCCAAGAAGGCCAAGATTTTTCTTATACCTTACCTGAAAGCATTGGAGTTTGCAATTTCAATTTAAGATCTGCAGAATATTCAAGCTGAAAGGGGCCTGGAGGTTAATTAATCCAAACGTCTTGTTTTTGAGTTCCAGAGAGGTTAAGTATATAATAAAATGTTTAGCATTATAATAAAATACTTTAGTAGGGTCCATCATTTTCTTTCCTTTTTTTTTTTTTTTTTTTTTTTTGACGCAGAGTCTCACTCTGTCAGCCAGGCTGGAGTGCAGTGGCACGATCTTGGCTCACTGCAACCTCTGTCTCGCGGGCTCAAGCAATTCTCCTGCCTCAGCCTCCGGAGTAACTGGGATTACAGGCATGTGCCACTACACCTGGCTAATTTTTGTATTTTTAGTAGAGATGGGGTTTCACCATGTTGGCCAGGCTGGTCTCGAACTCCTAACCTCAGGTAATCTGCCTGCCTCAGCCTCCGAAAGTGCTGGGATTACAGGCATGAGCCACCACACCCAGCCCATCATTTTCATTATTACTAAAGTAACAATTTTGGATTCCCAGGTTTTTTAGTCATTTAGTCATTCAGTACATATGCATTGAGCAATGTAATCAGGGATAAGACACTTGGGGTTTCATGGAAAAGAAACTTTTTATCATAGTGCTTTGTATACTATACAAACTCATAATGCTGGGGGAGGGGCTGAGGATTGGGGTGGGCGTGAAGGATAAGATATTTGAGGTTTCTGAGTCCCGTTTTCCTCATCTGCTTAGAGGGAGAATACCTGCCCTCCCCACTCTGAATGTTTGAAAATCAATTGCAAGTATGTTTGTGAGCCACTTAGTAGAGTTTATAGTACTGAACAAATCGTTATTACAACTTTGTTATGAATTTAACTGAGAAAGTTTTAAAAGTATTTATAACTAGGAATCTAAAAGATGTCTGAGATACCCCAAGTTACATAACCCTCATTAGGATTTACAGTTTTCTCAAGCTCTACTTGTCAAATGAATTAATTGTCTAATATTATCTAAGCAAAATACTTAGTTAAGCTTAGAATAACTTTTTTGTATACTGTTACTTTGTCTGCATTCCAGAAATTAAATCAGAGGGGAGAATGTTGGTTTACAGGAATAGACTGATACATAATTTGCATTTGTGTGTCTTCCCTAAGGAAAACAATAATTATTAGTCCAACACAAAAACATGCCCATTTTGCTGAAGTACATATTGAGTTCAGAAGTGGACACAGATTGTCCTCATAATGACCACTGTAATGTACCTTTATTGCTTCACAAGGTGCCATGGCTTTGGATGGTGTGGTGAGGATGGAAGCCCTACCCATATGTTATTTGCACTGGACCAGAATCTTGGATGGAGGAAAGAACTTTGGACATATCTGGGCCAGAAGTTCTCTCCACCTACCAGGAGTGAGCATGGGAGCATGAGCTATACATGTACAGGAGGGTCATCGTGTTTTCATCAGGGTGTAAAGTGTATTTTGCTACATCTGATAGCTCTTTTTATGGCAATAGCTGGACAATGGTGTTGTCCATTGTGTACTGAACTGGGCTGACCTGTCAGAGCAAGACTTTAGAAGCTTAGCATTATGTCAGGTCAGGACATTATGTGTGAACGCTTATTCATTCATCTATTAATTTGCTTATTTAGCCTATGTTGGGTGCTTTTAATATTCTAGACATCAGCATTGTAGTGGGAAAATCCAAAACTTCTGATACGGTTTGGATCTGTGTCCCTTCCCAAATCTCATGTCAAATTGTAATCCCCATTGTTGGAGGTGGGGCCTGGTGGGAGGCAACTGGATCCTGGGGGCGGTTTCTCATGAATGATTTGTCACTGTCCTTCTTGGTGCTGTTCTTGTGATAGTGAGTTCTTGTGAGATCTGGTTGTTTAAAAGTGTATTGCACCTCCCCCCACCCACTTCCTTCTGCTCCAGCTATGTGAAGTGCCTCATGCCTCCTTTGCCTCCTGCCATGATTGGAAGCTTCTTGAGGCCTCCCCAGAAGCAGAAGCCACTATGCTTCCAGTACAGCCTCCAGAATCATGAGCCAATTAAACCTCTTTTCTGTATAAATTACCCAGTCTCAGGTATTTCTTTATAGCAGTGTAAGAATGGACTAATATATCTTGTGAAGTTTATATTCTAAAGGGAAAGACTGACACTAAATAAATAAATAGTCTAAATAAATAAGCAAGATATCTACATAATTGTGTGTTGTAAGGGCAATAAACAAAGAGGAAATACAATCCCTGTCAGAAAAGGCCTCTCTGAAGATGTCACATTTGAGCTACAACATCTTCATATGGGTCAGTCAACCAATGTCAAGGACAGGAGAACAAGCCAGGCAGAGAGAACAGCGAGTACAAAAGCCCAAAGATGACAAAAAGGTTGGCATGTATGGGCAACAGGAGGGAGGCCTTGAGCAAGGAAGGGAGTGGTGTGACATGATATTAGACAAATTAGCTAGGGGCCAGGTCATGCAGGACTTGCCACCATTGTTTCTCACCTGGACTACTGAAATAGCCCGGGGGCTAAAATGACAGTGGTTGGGACTGGAGTCAATGCTGTGAGAACAAACTGGAAGGGTTTAAGAGATATTTTAGAGGTAAGAGTAACAGAACTTAATGATGGACTGAATGTCAGGAAAGAGGAAAAGAGAAAAATTAAGGATGATTCTTAGGTTCTGGCTTGAGCAATGGAGTGGATTATGGTGCCATTTTCTGAGGCTTAAAAGTCAAATAACTTGCCAAACCTCACTTAGCTAGGACATTGAAGTCTGGTCCATGTGAATTCGCTTTTTTTTTTTTTTTAAGCTTTTTGGGTTTTTTTTTAAACCCATGAGATAAGGTTATTAGGTTAAATTTCCAAGATCTCTTTCAGATTTGCAATTAAGTTCTCATCTAGATTAAATTGTTAATATGGAAATATCCTGAGGTTCAGAATTAAGTAACATTGTCTGGCCCTGGTATTTTTGATAAATATAGTGCTATGATGGAATAAATATTTTATCTCAGAACTAATAGCCAGAATTTTGCAAGTGTTTTGTCTCAAGCATAAAAAGAAAATGATTTTTTCATTTTCTCTTGGGCATAATGTCTTTTCTGGAGTTTCCCAGCAACAAGCAGTTTGTTCTGTCAAGTAAGATGAGATTGTAAACTATCTGTTATAATCCTGAGCTAAAACTGCAAAGCCCAAACAGTAAGTTTTTTTTGGTGTCCTGGTTTGTTTCAGATCATTCTTAAGCCTCCCACCCCAGTGCTCAGCATTGCTTTGCACGTATTATTTCTCCAGAACCACACAAACCTCACCCAGGATAGGGGCAGGTTTCCTCTGTAGAGACAGGAATGGAGACATTTCAGTAATTCAGAATACCACCTATAACTCATAACCCTGCCATCTGGGGCTCACCCATTTTGGCCAGGTCTAAGATTCTGTTGCTAACATAGGCAGGATAGTCCTGAAAACTTCACCATGAGGTAGATCTTAATTTACCCATAGAAACAGTGGGATTTGTTTGTGACAAAGGCGGGTCATCGATCTTAAGTATGTTCAATAGCATGTGAGTACAGTTGGCTCTTCATGTCCATAGGTTGTACATTTGTGGATTCAACCAACCACAGATCAAAAATATTTTTAAAGCAATAAAAAACAATATAACATCATACAAATTAAAAAACAATATAACAACTATTTACGTAGCATTTACATTATAGATTATAAGTAATCTAGAGATGACTTAAAGTATACAAGAGGATGTACATAGGTTATATGCAAATACTAAGCCATTTTATATAAGGGACTTGGCCATCCGTGGATTTTGCTATCTATAGGGGGTCTAGAACCAATCACCAGCAGATCCCAAGGGACAACTGTGTAGCTAAACAGCCACACTCTAAATCTCTCATCAAATTCAGATATTACAGGGAACAACAACAACAAAAAATTCAACTCAAAAAGTCTCAAACAAGAAAGGCATTTATTGTCTCATTGAACAAGGACAGGGCAGCTCTAGGCTGGCTCAGCAGTTCCCTGATATTCTCCAGGACTCAGGCTCTACTGTTTACCTCTGTGCTCTACCATCCTGCACTTGTTGCCATGACCCTAAGGGATATCCCTTCATAGCTGCAAGATGGCTGCCACACTTCTGGGAAACACATAGGCTAGCACTGGGCCAAATAAACAGTCATTGTCTGTTCTGTGTCTCTTTTAGTGGGGGGGGAAAAAAAAAAGCCTTTCTCAGAAGCCCCCAGCAGACTTTTTTGAGTCCTCGTCCATGGAATGCCCAGTTTCTCCCATCTAGATATACGGGTATTATCCTAAACTTCTCCCCTCATCCTTTATTCTCCTCAGTTTCTATGAGTGATCCATTCTGGTTTTTAAAAACCTGTCACAGGAGCTGGGCACAGTGGCTCACACCTGTAATCCCAGCACTTTAAAAGGCCAGCAGGCGGATCACTTGAGGCCAGGAGTTCAAAACCAGTCTAGGCAATATAGTGAGAACCCATCTCTACAAAATAAAAAATAAGAACCTATCACCTACCCTCTATCCCTATATTTATTACATTAATTCAGATCCTCATTAATTCCACCTGTTCTCACTGCTCCCAATTTGTCTATCTTCTGCATTGCCCCTGGAATCATCTTTTAAAATATGAATCTCATTGTGTCACTATCCTGCTTAAAACCCTTCAGTGATTCTTAATCAAATATGGGACTAAATTTTATTTTATTTTTCTAGCTGCAAGAATGCCTCCTTCTCCCTTTTTTAAAAAGAAATCTTGCGTGGCAGCTGACTTGTTAGCTGTTAACACGTGGAAGCAGAGCTGTCCTAGTTGAAATGCGGCTGGGGAAGGGGCCTTTAACTCAGCCAGCTGGATTCCTCCCCTTCCCTCTCATGGAGGCCCTAAAGCCTTTCCTTGGATCCCCTGGAGTACAGGCAAATGGAAACGCCTACTAGGCAGTTGGTGTAGACCTCAGGAGTGTCAACCAGCCTAACTGCATAGACTTAGAAAGTGTGGAAGCCAAGGTCGGCGACATGCTCACCTAGAAAGTGCAGAGTGAGAAGAGAAGAGAGTCCTATAGAGAGAGGACTCCAAGAGTGATGCTGAAGTAATGCCTACAAGCCATGTAATATCCCATGAAGCAATCTTTCTATTTTACCTTTCAAACTCTAAGACTGTGCCTTATAGGAGAATTTATGCTATGATTGTGTAGGATAATTTAATTCAATCAGATGTTTGGGGACAAAGTGAGGATATGTTGAATACCAAAATTTCAGTTTCCAATATAAAAAAAAAATCAAAAACTGGTAACAACAATTTCTAATTGTGTGGATTGTGCTTTTGCTTAATTTTCATTCTTATAGCTTTTTAAAAATTGTTTTGATAATCCATGAAATTAGTCTTTTTTTTCCCCCAAGGCCTTTTGTATTAGAAATCCTGTGTTAACCAACATTTCATGTGTTTCCATATCTGATCAAGGCATTTTTAGTTAAATAAGCTTAAGAATGGAATTTCAAGCAGAACTATAATAACTGATTATATTATGATAGTTATTTTAATTCTCTCTGCTCTTGATATCAACCTGTGTTTATTCTTTATGTCTATTTAAGAATTCAGTGTTGTTGTTTTTTTTTCTGTTGGTGGGAGTCTAAATTAGTTCAACCATTGTGGAAGACAGTGTGGCAATTCCTCAAGGATCTAGAACCAGAAATACCATTTGACTCAGCAATCCCATTACTGGGTATATACCCAAAGGATTATAAACCATTCTACTATAAAGACACATACATACATATGTTTATTGCAGCACTATTCACAATAGCAAAGACTTGGAACCCATCCAAATGTCCATCAATGATAGACTGGATAAAGAAAATGTGGCACATATACACCACGGAATACTATGCAGCCATAAAAAAGGATGAATTCATGTCCTTTGCAGGGACGTGGATGAAGCTGGAAGCCATCATTCTCAGCAAAGTTACACTGGAACAGAAAACCAAACACCACATGTTCTCACTCGTAAGTGGGAGTTGAACAATGAGAACATATGGGCACAGGGAGGGGAACATCACACACCAGGGTCTGTCAGGGGGTGTGGGGCAAGGGGAGGGAGAGCATTAGGACAAATACCTAATGCATGTAGGGCTTAAAACTTAGATGACAGGTTGATGGGTACAGCAAACCACCATGGCACATGTATACCTATGTAACAAGCCTGCACATTCTGCACGTGTCCCAGAACTTAAAGTAAAATTAAAAAAAAAAAAAAAGAATTCAGTGTTTTTTTTCAAGCCAGCACCATGGCATGCACCTGTAGTCCCAGCTACTCCAGAGGCTGAGGTGGGGGAATTGCTTGAGCCGAGGAATTTGAGGTTTCAGTGAGTTATGATCACAACACTGCTCCCTAGCCTAGATGACAGAGCAAGACCCTATCTCTTAAAAAAAGAAAAAAAAAATCGGTCTTTTTTGTTGTTCCATGAAAACTAAAGAGCCATTTAGATACAGTTGACATTCTTGTTATAGAATATGACCTTAATGAGGAAGGAAACGTTAATGAAGACTAATTAGTGCATAATTTTAACGAGGGAGATATGTTTGAGTCAAGAGCTGAATGGGTTGTGCATTTCAGCAGGTATTTGCATATTGAGTGACACTGTCAAAAAGGAAGAGGTGAACAGAAAGGAGCTGGACAGGGCAGGCTCCAACTAGACCAGACCGTTCAACTCTGTTTGCTTTTATCCATTCCCATGTCAAAAAGGATTTGAGCAGAGCTTGTCCTTTGTGTCTTGTGTGGGCTTCAGGCAAGCACGTCTTCAATCTTGCTTTCTTCTGACTCGAACCACCCTCTCCCTAGGCCTCAGTTCTGTCAACACCAGAGCTTTCTCTGCTTCTGTCTTTATGGTCTGCCTCCATCACACCCTGGAGTGGACCTGTTTCTGGCCACCAGTCTTTGCTGTCAGACTTTGTATAGGCAAGCTCAACCTGTCCTGACATCAGCAGCTTCCTCATGCTCCACATGATTCAGCTGTTGGCATTTCTAGGCCCTCCTAGAAATGAGGAGCCCACCGCACACCCCCATCCTTCCCACTTCCAACTGGGACTTCACAGAAACTCAGCACCAAGCAGAAGCCAAAAGTGTGTATCAGTTGACTGAAACTTCAAACGATTTTGTTTCTCTCCTAATCCTTTTAAATGTGATATGTGTTTAAGAGTAGCAGAGACAAAGTGATTTAGGAAAATTATAATGTTATCCTAGCCTATTTTAGTGACACTCTAACATGGTTAAGAAAATTGACTGTCAGATTTGATCATTGTTGTCGAAGTGAACAGCCATCATTCTCAGAGTGGCTGGAGTCAAATTCTCACCCAGCAGAAGCAATTTTAATGACTGAAGAATCCAGTTACCACAAGAAGCAATGGAACCTGAATGCACTGCTGACCTCCCGCGTTCTCTCTCTCTTCTATTTTTCAGGCACAACGTGTTTGATTGCTCTGCTATCAGATAAAGACCTCACTGTGGCCAACGTGGGTGACTCGCGCGGGGTCCTGTGTGACAAAGATGGGAACGCTATTCCTTTGTCTCATGATCACAAGCCTTACCAGTTGAAGGAAAGAAAGAGGATAAAGAGAGCAGGTGAGCTTGTGAACACCTCCAAGAAATGTCTGCTGTCTTGCTGGTGAACAAGGCGGCTTGCTTGGAGAGCTCCTGGATAAAATGTCCAGTTATGCAGTATTAGAGAGGCTGCTACTGAGGTAACTGAGATTGACTTTGTAACATTACCTATCAAATAAATGGCCACTAAATCTGTCTTCCTTCATAGCCAAAGATTCCAAAAGAACTAAAAAGCCCATTTCCAGTTTAAAGGCTAATAAGATCTTTGGGCCCCGGGTTCTCACTTTTCTCTAGCCTGTTGCTATATGCTGCTTCCCTCGGAGCCACAACTAACTACTAATCATTCCTAAAAAGACCTTGTTTCTGATACCTCTGTGCCTTTGCAAGTGCTGTTCTGGGTCACAATTACTTGTCCCATAAAACTCAGTTTAAGGTGTTCTTTTGGAAGCTTTCCATGTCACACTGTGGCAAGGGCCTTCCCATTCTGGGGTGGATGCCCCTCTGCCTTTCCCCAGCATCCTATGTGGACGTCTTGGGTCACCTTTTACAATACATGGACATACCTGGCTCTCCTATTTGCCTTGCCTTCCTGTCACCTCTTTGAAGACAGGAACTTGGTTTTGTTCATCTCTATGCCTTGAGCATTTGGCTTAGTGCCTGGTATAAGTAAATATTTCAGAGCAAGGTTGGGGGTAGAGGGGTCCCTTATTCATTCATTCATTGGTTTATTCAATATTTTAGGAGCTGGGGATAAAACAAAACCCCATTCTCAAGCTTTCATGAAACTTACATTCTGAAATTGGCATGGGGGTGAGGAATGGAGTAAATAGACATTAACAAAAAAAAATAGTAAAAGTAAGTCATTCATATAGTATATTAGAAGTTGATAACTGCTATGGAAAGACATGAAGCAGGTAAGGGGAGTGTCAGGGAGTTGCAGTTTTAAGTAGTGTGGCCTGTGTGGGCCTTGCTAGAGTGATGTTTGGACAAAGACTCGGAGGATAATTATCAGTTGATTATTACATTTTCATAATTCGATTTCAGAGAATACCTTTATACCTATGTAAGGGAAGAATTCTGTAACTTTTCAGACTGAGAGCTGCAGGATGTATGCTCTTCATGATGTGCCAGGCAGCAGGCCAGCTGTCAGAGGGGAGCAAGCGGGGTGCTCATGTACCCTAGTATCTGACCAGGATGGGCCCTTGCTGTCTGGGTTAATCTGCACATTGACTCTCGATCTCTACAGGTCAGCTTCTGCCCAGTGAATGAACTGAATGAACCTAATCAACATTTTAGTTTTCACAGTAGGGAACCATACTGTTAAGTCAAAATGTGTTGAATTTTATTACAATCTCCTGCTTCAGTGACTGCTTGAGTTGCAAAATAGTTTTTAATGAAAGCATTGGTCAGGTTTTCTGTTGATGGGATGAAACGAATGATATTTTAGGAGCATCTATCAAGCTTTGATGACCTCCAGGCAGTAGGAGCAAAGTTCTCTGGCTTCCTACTTGTAAAACACCATCTGCCTGTAGGAGTCTGCTGTGAAATTAAGACACAGTTAGCTCAGTCTTGCATCAGCATCAGGCAAGGATGTGTACACAATACACCTGCAAATGTCATCTTACCATTCAGTGCTCTCTTTTGAAATATCATGGCCATTTTATGCTTCCTCTTCTTCCCTGTCATACCCACTACCCACGCCTGCACCCTATGTTGATTCTTTGTAGAAGCAAATTTGCACACCGTCTCCAAGGAGGTTAATCTAACCTCTCTGTTCTTTTACATAATTTGATCAATTGCATATTTTACACAAGGCTTAAGAAACAGTGATTGGTTTTACCATCTTCATGTGTGTTTTCTCTGGCCTCAGCCTCTTTTCAGGACATCTTTCCCCCTCCTGCTTAGCATGACAGTAAGGTCCAGCCAGTCTGGGCCAAATACATGTCTTTCTGTCGCCACTCCTTATACTGTTTCCAACAACAACATTAGCTGTCATTTATTGTGTGCTTATCCTGTGCTGGCAGCAAAGCCTAGCACTTTACACATACACTTTCTCTTTGCCTGTCTTAAGAGGTTGATAATATTATTCTCATTTTGTAGCCAACAAACTGGAACTTCACAGAGGCTTATGTGCCCAAGCACACACAGCTAGTGAATGGTGAGACCACAGCTGAAACCCAGGACTGGGTTTTATGCTCTTGCCTACTAGACCATGCTTCCTGGAATGTCCTCCTACATATCCTGCCCATAGATGTTTCACCCATCGCTCAAAGCCCACCTTTAATGTTCATTCTACCCTCATGATCAGAACTGGAAATCATCCCTCCCTTCTCCATCTGCCTACAGCATTTAGCAGACACTGGTCTCGCCCTGAAGAATACCACTTTGTGCTTATTGTATTTAATACTTTTTGTGGCTTAATTCTCCTGCCAGGCTGTCTACTTTTTTAAAGAAAGGTCTGGATCTTGTATAACTTCATATCCTGCACATTGCCTTCCATGGAGTAGGTATTTAGTAAATATCTGACAAATATGTGGATGAAGAAAAAAATAATAGATACAATTGTTAAGTGCATATTATGTTCAGGGACTGTGCCAAATGACTTATGTGGAATAAGACCTTCATTTCTCAACAACCCAATAAAATAGATACTGTCTCTATTTTGTAGCCAGGGAGACTGAGGATCAGAGAAAGAGTTTCTCATCCAAAGTGAGACATGGTTAGAAGAGACAGAGCCAGGAATCACATTCAAGTAGTCTGACCTGAGCCTTTAATGACTATACTAGTGTGTGCTTTTTCTTAATCTTGATCCTATTTGGGGGGACAGAGCTGTTTTGAGACCTATATAGGCACACTTATGAGTGGCCTCAGGCCAAATGATATATACGGTGCCTGTTCACCTGCCTTTCAGCATTCCTTTGCCACTCTCCTCAAATCCCTACCCTCATGCTCTCTACTGTCAATCACTGAGCCACCACGGTGTTAAGTTAAAAACCAATGCCCTCCCCCATATGTATCCGCCACCTTCAGTACTCTTATTGATATATTATTGAAATCCTTCAAGATGCCAGGATGAGGGTATGAGGATCAACTGGTAGAGTATAAAACCCCAGGCCATGCAGTGGGTCCCAGGAGTGATGGGGTTAAGGGGAGTGCCCACAGCCCAGTTCACATGAAGTAGGTCACCCTGTTGCGCACGTACCTAGACTATCCCAGGTAAGTGAGATATCAGCTGGTCAAACTAATGGGCTCATCCTGTCTTTCTAGGTGGTTTCATCAGTTTCAATGGCTCCTGGAGGGTCCAGGGAATCCTGGCCATGTCTCGGTCCCTGGGGGATTATCCGCTGAAAAATCTCAACGTGGTCATCCCAGACCCAGACATCCTGACCTTTGACCTGGACAAGCTTCAGCCTGAGTTCATGATCTTGGCATCAGATGGTCTCTGGGATGCTTTCAGCAATGAAGAAGCAGTTCGATTCATCAAGGAGCGCTTGGATGAACCTCACTTTGGGGCCAAGAGCATAGTTTTACAGTCATTTTACAGAGGCTGCCCTGACAATATAACAGTCATGGTGGTGAAGTTCAGAAATAGCAGCAAAACAGAAGAGCAGTGAACCCTTCAGGGGTCTCAGCTGCCTTAGACTAAAGGACTTTCAACACACTGGTCTCTTTTAATTTAGTGAAAAGTGTGGGAGTTGTAATTAGGATCATCCACCCCAGACATGGAATCCCCCCTCCCTGGTGGTCTTAGGTCTATAATCAGTGACGAACAGAGGGTGCCCTTGGCCAATGTAGTTAAGAAACTGGAAAATGGTTTCTTCATGTTTTCCCAACTCTTTCATCCAGTGTCCAAAATATATAAGTAAATAGCTGTAGAGTCACATATATGAAGTGAATAGCATATGTGTCATTTAGTCTCCCTGAAGATTCTTTTCAAGATCCTGTTCAGGGTCCTCCAGGCATCAGCTGTTGTGTCCTCTCTTTGTAACAGTGGACAGGACAGACCACCCAGTGCTGCAGGAGACAGGCCACTGCGTCACCTGTGAGTGGTCAGGGGCTGATGTGGCAACACCCTCTGCCAAGAGACAGAGCTGTCCTGAGAATGCTTTGTCCTTCTGAGCCCATGTTTTCTGCTCAGTAGCAGCTTGGAAGCAGATTTGGAATGGTTTACTATTTTGGCTGCTCTTGGGGACTGCGAGAAGCAGAGAGAATGAGAGACCAGTGGCAACTGCCTGCACAGCAGAGATAACCCTCTTCCCTTGCTTCCTTTAATAGTTAAATAGACTTTGTATACCACCTGACCAGCCTTTGTGCATTTATCCTAATCATGCATGACCGTTAACCTTTTGCTTAGTCCTTACCATATGTAATAGGCAGCTGTTAAATTCACCAACAGATACCCTGATTTTTCATCTTACGTGACCAAGAAACCACGTTAGGGGAAATGAAAAAAGCAAGCCACAATACCATGATTCCTTCCATTTTCAACAGTAGATGAAGGAAATGATACTGAATGAGTCACAGTGTTCCCTGGCAAGTAAGCTGTTTGCATTGAGAAAGGAGTGAGCTGGTGAGGTTACCACCCTGAATTGAGCTCCAGCTGCCAGTTTTTGTGTTTTTCCTTGCCCCTTTCCAAGTGGTTTTCAAGTGTCAGGCAGTGTTCTGAGAAGCAGCAGCCTATAACTGTATGTGTGTTCCTTGAAGCCAGGTGCAGAGTTCCCAGCTACTGCAGCTTGGGATTTGGTGGGAAACTACTGGGATAAGCTTCTCCTTGACAATGGAAAGGCAGCAGTCTTCAACATTTGGTTGCAAATCTCCATCCACATCAGGGAGCTTTCCCCAGGCAAATACAAACCGCCCCGTGGCCTGCAGGCCTGCAGGGGAGGCAGCAAAGGGACCTGGCAGTTGCAACACAGTAAGTCAGGAATTCAAGCGTGAACCCATATTGATAAGTGGGCCAGAATTATTTAGGGGCCTGGCTTGCTGCTCTCCATTTCCTGTATCGCTAATTTATCATTTTTCCAACCTTGGTATTTTATATTATTTAGAGAAAATGCTGGGTCACTCTCTTTGCCTAAGGTGACTCAAACAGCCAAACGAAACTTCCGTTGCCTCCCAGCCCTCTGTATCCACCTGGTTTTGTTCTTTCCCTGTGAGCATTTGTGGTTATAGCTTCCCATATGCCACATTCACCGGCCACCTCCTCGCCGTGGAACCCTGCCCTCTCCCCTCCTGCTGCTGTAGAGTTTTCCCAAAGCAGTGTCCAGGAGAGAATTTGAGAGAGTGAAGAAATTGCCTTGTAGATGTGGAGGGCTGCAATCTGTCTTGATTTCTCCAAGCACTTAACTTTCTTTGACTGCACTGAGAATTGCTAATGATTTCCCATGAGATTTGCTTACTTTTGTATACTGTATTTTCCAGCATTACAGAACCTTGGTTATTGTTTTTTAGCCATAGAATCTTCTAGTAAAAAATATCTGCCACCATTTTAGATTTAAGCATTTGCCTATGGGGAGACACTGAATATGTGGATGTGTGTATTAATATTTGGGGTGGGGACAGGGAAGGGAATGTGGAAAACAAATGCTGGCTGTGAGCAGTGCTGAGATGGCCAGGCCAGGCGGCTGAGTTTGCTTGGAAATTCAGGACATTCTGACTCCTAAGAGTTGCCCCCACCCACCATCAAACTGAAATCAGCACCAATGGTGTCAGCACTTTACAGCCCATAGCCAACTTTCTTTATTTTTAACGTAGCACAAAAATGTATAATAGCAAGGAAAAGACATTTTTAAATTCCGGTTATTTTTATTGTCTAAAATGAAAGCAACAGTGTTTTGATAAAGATGAAAAAGAAAAGCTACTAAATTAGTAAATCAGTGGTTACGTGCCCTGCAGAATTTCTTAACAGATGGTGCTGAGTGCACGAGTTACATAACTTTCTCTCTAATTGAGGTTCACAAGGCGTCTTCTAAATTTTGCTTTGTACAATTAATTCATTTCTGATGTTAACCAAATAGAGTGTATATATCCTACTCCCATTACTGCCTCTTTCCCCCCTACTATGGCTTGTAGATTTTCAAAAGATAGAAGTTCTAGGCAAAACTGTAGCAGTTTCATTAATAGTTGTTAGGATAGTTATATCTAAAATCAGAGTATTTTGTTCCCTTCCTTCTGGAGCTCTCTCTCCCTAGCCCTTTTCCAGCTGTTGGGGATGTGCAGACATCACTCCTGGGGGTGCCCTATGGTACACTGGCTGCTCCCCAGGGACCTGGGAATGCTGAATCTAGCCATTAGGGAAATTGATTTGAGATGTTTGCATGTGAAGCTTCCCTAAGCAGCACTGCCAAAGCTTTGGAATTGTCACCCAAGGCTTCCTAGACTCCCTAGCTAGCTCGAGTTCGAATTGCCAATAGTCCCCATGGTGCCAAATTTTGGGATGGTTTTACAGTCTTTTAGAAATGAAGACAGGAATGGCCATGTGCTTCTGAGACCCCAGCACGATGCCAGGCCCAGGTCTCCATTAATGCAGTGCTCTGCTGCTGCTCCACTGGCAATTTGTACTCTTAACATAGGTTGGGGGAGGGACAGCTAGGGAAATTTTTTTTAATTAATTGTATCTAAAATTCTTTCATCATAGGAATAAACAACACATATAGAAAGCTCCAAAGCTGTTCCCAAGACCTGTATTATTTATTTTATATGACCAACTTGCCCCAAGGCAATTAACTCTGAATTGCTGTTCTAATGTGACATATCTGTGTACATATGTACATAGTACTGGTAACCAGTGGCTGCATTTTATTCCTTGCTGTGGACTGAGGTATTGGCTTCTTGAATCTTGTATATGTCATAAGAATATTATACAGAGAGTGTTATAGTGAAGGATGTAAGCTGGATAATTTAAAACAGACCTTATTTCATACAAGTGTAATTATTACATCATTTTGGGTAAATGGCAAACAGGATTGCATGAGAGTGATGGCATCATCATTTCAATTGAATCTGAAGTGATTCTAGGAAATTGATTCCACTGTTGGATTCTAGGAAATTGAGTCCACTGTTTTCCTTTGCGTTTAATTTCCTTTGTGTTTAATTTGACCACAGAAACTTTTTTGAGTAGCACCTAGTAACATTGCAAGGAACTTGTGTATCAAGGTGTATCTTGATTATCCTGATTTTTTTTGTTCTCTAAGTTGTTGCCAGATCTCTCTTGCAACTGTGTCAATGAAAGGTCTGTGTTTAGAAAAGGCAGCATATCATTGTATATTTGAAACTATAGGAATATATACTTTGTATAAAACTTTTCCAATGATTTCAGAAATTCTTTTTTCCTCCTTTTGACCCACAACTAGACTGTTCATACCCTAATAGTTCCCCAAAATTGCCTTAGCATGTCACACCAGCATTTGTCATCCAGCTCTGGAGAAATGACATGACTGTTAGATACTATGCCTGTTTAATTGCCTCTGGATTAAGTCATTGATAGCTAGACTTTTGAGCTAGTTAGCTGTAGAAATAATAGAATCCAGTGTTTCCCAAAGTGTGTTCCAAAGAACACAAGTTCCAAAGATGCTCTTCTAAATATAGGATTCTAGGATGAAATAAGTTTGGAAAACACATACCATCTTAGAAAGTTAGTGAACATGAGCACATCAAAGGCTCTAATTTAAATGTCCTGTGAGGAGAGAAAAACACAACAAATATCTACTGTCAGTTAGCCCAGTGTTTTCCAGATTAATTTGACCACAGAAACTTTTTTGAGTGGCACCTAGTAACACTGCAAGGAACTTGTGTTCTAAAGAACACCCTTTGGGAAATTCTGGTATATTGAAATATTGCTGTGTTTTCATTCACGATGACTCTTAGTAGCAGTACAATTTGCAACTTAGAAGCATGAGCCTTTCATATATGAAGCTGACTTGTTAATAAAAGCAGTGTTAAGAAGTAGTATGACTTAATATGACCAACAGCAGCCTCATATTGATAGCAGAACAATCCTACTTAAAGCTCTAAACATCATCCCCCCCTTTTTTTTTTTAACGGAATCTCGCTCTGTCACCCAGGCTGGAATGCCGTGGCGCAATGTCAGGTCACTGCAAGCTCCGCCTCCCAGGTTCACACCATTCTCCTGCCTCAGCCTCCTGAGCAGCTGGGACTACAGGCGGCCTCCACCACACCTGGCTAATTTTTTGTATTTTTAGTAGAGACGGGGTTTCACCATGTTAGCCAGGATGGTCTTGATATCCTGACCTTGTAATCCACCAGCCTTGGCCTCCCAAAGTGCTGGGATTACAGGTGTGAGCCACTGCACCCGGCCATCCCTTTCTTTTATATGAATAATGAGCAAGAGCCCTGCCATAGCTAAATATGTCTCAAATTCATTCCAAGATCTTTCCATTGCTTTTTTGCAGTTACCTTTGCTTTTTGGGTTGAATCAAAATGAATATTTTTATATTTCATTACTATATGATATTTAAAAATATACAGAAAATCACAGAAAAGGAAAAACAGAAATTTGATTTTAATTCACTTTTGAAATTTTAACGATTTTTAAAACTAATGATCTGTTATATAATAACTGAAATGTAAACTATTAACAGTTATTTACTTTCTTTCCTTTATTGTCCTCTCTGGATTCAGTGAAATAATTTGAAATCAATTAGAGCTCATACCTTCTAAAACTCCTGTCCCATATCATCCCACCTTTCATGTTTTATGTACATAGTTAAGTTTGGCATGTTATCTCTTGCCTAAAATGTGAGGCCTTCCTGTAGTTCCACAGTAGTTACTCTTGGCTGCAGAAATAGGTTTGGGAAGCTATGAGAGATTACCCCAAAGTCATGGATGAAACAAATCTAGTCGAAAACATGGTACAGAGTGAATTAAGGCAAAAGTCATTAACTTAAAATTACATCCAATATTTAGGAATAGCTCATCCTCTGCACATTATCCAAAATATTTTAAAAAACTAAAAGTAAGATCTCTTAGGCTAGGTGGCGGATTGCAAAGGGCAGGGGGCAGTTGATACCATGAAGCTTCCAATAGATGCATTTCTAAACATTTTTTCTAATATGTAAATTTGCTGATCCTTAGTAATGTTAATGCTTTGTCTATTTGTTATTTTTACCACTGTTGAACAGCAAACTGTTGAGGCTAGGGTTGATTATTGATAATTTTTATGTGTTTAGTAATAACCACAGCATCATACGTACAACTGCTTTAATAAATCCAAGTTAAGGACTTTGAGGAGAGCATGTAGCAAGTATTCATTTTAACAAATCATCACAGACAGTTTCCCTGTTCAAAGCTCCACCAAAAAGCAAGCATGCAGCAAAGGCATAGACTGTATTTAGAGATGTGGTTTCATTTATTCTTGAAGTCCTATAACCTTGCATTATTTAAACACAAAATCCCACCTAACATTTGCCAAATCCAAGTTAATCTCAAAAACCTCCGAGGACATTGAGCACAAGCAGATTACTGTAAGGGCACTGGTGGCAGATTGTGGTGGAGAGAGGGCTGAGTGACCCAGAGCAAAGCCTGCCCGGGTTACTCGCTGCCACTTCAGGAGAGGGATTGTATCAGCTCTCATTACCTTTTGTCATGAGGCAGTTCATAAATTAAATATGATATCATGCATTATCTCAAAATATTTCTATATTAATTAGATAATTCACGATGTAAAACGTGTTCATGCAGAAGCAAAGGCGGATGTAATAGTCAAGTATCAGGGAAAAACCCCTTTAGGATACCCAGACATTAAAAATGTAAAAAGTAGCTTATAAGAAATGTGGATTATCAGATTTTTACTATATATAGGTTGTGTTTAATAGTAATTTCTGACACCTGCACATAGATGAAGAAAAGGCAGTTGTTACCACTTTTCACCATTCAAAAAATGGGCTTGTCTCTTAGAGTATTGGTTAATGCTTTGCTTATTTGTTAATGAAGACAGCATTTTAATTTTAAAGCTTCCTTTTGTAGGACTGATGGCACGGGCAGAATCACATTTAAGAAAAATGGTTTGGAACACTTTTTAATAAAAAATTGTAAAATCAGTTTCCAGTGTGGTCAAAATTAGAATGTAAAGGAAAGCATTTTTAAGAAAATACAGAAGCCCAAATCAAGGGAGAGTAATATAAAAGGAAATATTTTAAATTAAGAAAAGGAGGTGTTATAGTTTATTACATCATGAATTATGCTTTCTGTACTTACGCTCTTAGTGAAGGAGATAACATTGAAGTGAGAAAATGAACATTCTCAGTTATTTGCGAAGTTAGTAAAATTGCAGTCCCTATTCCATTTTTTTCTGATGAAAATGGATACATGAGATCTCATTTATTGCTCTCCTCAACACCTTTACTGTCCCAGATTCCATTCACGTTCCAAATCGTGGACAGTAAAACTGAAGTCAGATAAACACAGTCACAGGTACAACTGGGAGCGAGTTTTAACATAGTGGTAATTTTGCAAATGCCAACATGAATACTAGTGAGTACTCAATTTACGACAGACAATTTCACAAAAACCAACCACAGAGTGATTTGATATTCTTGCTTCTTAGAGAGTTTTCTAATCCATATAATGCAATGGGTCAGGTTGCTCATATGATTAAAAAAATTAATCCTGTAGAAATGATGTATTAGACATCTCTAACCCAAGAAAAAGATGTCTTTTGTATAACTTTTAAATTCCCATTTGTCTATCTTAGGACAAATGATGACTTCTTCGTGTAGTAATGAAAACGTCTAAATCCTGCTCTGTGGAGAAAAGCTAGAACCATGGGACATTAAGCAAGAATACTCCTCTGATTTAGGCTCCCAGACTACAACTAACAGTCTTTATGTATTTATCATCTTGGTTATTGTTTTATCTCAAGCATATACAGTGTGCAGAAAGTAGAATAATGAATAAAATATGACCATGGAGAAAACCCATAACTTTTGCTTCTATTATAGAAAGCAGTGTTTGTTCTTTTTAATTTATTACATGTTCACATTGAAACATTAACATCTACAATATTGTCTTTCAGTTTACTCTTCAATTACTAAAGCAAATGATTTTGATTTATAGCACTTACACAACTGCAGTTCAGGTCACAGAATTGAAATCTATTTGATAATGTCTCAGCATTCTCATGGGCAGCCAGGAAAAAAAAAAAGAGAGAGAAAGACAAATAGAAATTTTAGTGGGTTCAGATAAATGATTATTCTGACAAACCTGGAAAATAGTAATTAAACAGTTCATTCCAAAAGACCCCAATGTAAACTCTGCTCACATACATAATTTGTATAAGGAAAATGTATGAGTTTTTTTCTTAAAAATAAATAGAAGCATCATTGCATTTATAACAGATTGATCAATCTTATGAACAGATTACATTGGGAAAGTCACTATTATTGCTGTGTGTTTGTATATTTTATTCTTTCCTTTTTTGTGTGAGCATCTACTATGTGCCAGGCAGTGACTGTGTCTGAGTGAATGTATCCATGGTGAGCACTCAGGCGCCATCACTGCCTTCTTGGGGCTTACACCCTATTGGGGTGTCAGAGATATTATAACACTCAATATTGACCCAATGGGATGAAAATTGTTATCTTCATGATTTCTTCCAATGGGCTTAGATTTGTTGGGACAGGGCAGAATTAGAATAATTATTTCTCACATATAAGAGTAAGTGATATGAGATTGGGAATTTCTTGCCAACACTCAAGCAAACTGCAGAAGATAATTACTCCATTTTACTAGCTCACCTAGTTTCTGAAGGATGGGGTGGGGAGTGAGACATGGAGCCTCTGGGGACAAGGATAGGGGGGTGGGACTGTCCCAGTGGAGGGTGCCACTGGAAGCCTCCACCCAAGTGGGCCAGCAGCTGTGCAAGGGTGCAGCAGTAGGCTGGTGAAAGCCAGGTTGTCCAGATCTTTCTAGGGGAAGAGAAGGATTATAGAAAAGGAGAAAAGGGAGGAGCAAGAACATCTCTCCATGGCCTATTTTTATTTTTGTTCCCAAGAGACTAGTGTAATAACCTTATGCCCCCAAAGACAGCCCAGAACTGAGTATCTTCAGTGTTCCTGAGTGTAAATCAGTGAATCTGTTATATAGAAAGTTAACATTTCAGGAGCACAATTATTTCCTGATTTCAAATATGAACAGAAGACTAAATGTCATTTTTTTAAATCATAAATTTGGTATCCATAGTTACTTTACACATTCCAGAGTCTAAGCATGGAATTTAAGTTTTGTATTTTGAACAAAAATAGCAACATCTGTTTTCTGTATGGCAAAGAAAAACTAAATCCCAGACTTTTATTTTTAACCACAGAAACCATCACTTCTTTCTAAATTATTTGCTTGCCTGCTCATTTCCCCTAAACATCTCTGTTTATGCCAATGGCTTTTTAAATCCAAATAATACTAGTTATTGCCAAATTGCATTAGAATCCTATTGAATTAGAATAATTCATATACTTCATATACTAGGCAGTAAATGGTTAGAGACGGTAAAGATCTGATTGTGATCAAAAGTAGGGTTTTTGTTTTGTTTTTAATCATGAGCACATATAAAAGGAAATTCAAATGAAACCAAGCCAATTTCTGATTTAGTAAGATTAAAACCATAGATGGAGCTCAGTTATTAAGGATGGAAAGGAGGAAAGCACAGAGTGAGGAGAGAAAAAGGGGAAGGAAAAAAAGTAGTGTTTTTTTGGGGAACAGTATAATGTCTCAGAAGTTCTTCTCTCTTATCCTGCTGATGTTGAGACAGTGGCTTTGTATAAGCTTTTATTTATACCTATTTCAACATCATGAAAATTTTTCCATCAGCATTTTCTTGCAACTTTAAAAATCACAAGGGATTATTTGTTTATAAAGAGATACAGGATCTATAATTTATTGGCAATACTTTATTTTAGGAATCTTCAAATTGTACTTAATAAATAAATCACAGGTCAAAATGACTGTAAAATCAATCAGGCTTTCTCGTAAGTTATTTCCTGAAAACCATCCATGATAAATACAACAAGGCTTGGCGAAACCTCATTACTCTTGGAAGTCTTCAGAGGTTATTATACCTACTGATCTGTATTTGTCTCTAAGAGACATTTGAAACACAGTTACAATGTCAATTTGGTGTAACATTACCTGTAGTAGAGCTCAGAGTATATGGCAGTGCACGGTCACTCAAGATGCATGGCGTGTCATTTGGGTCGCTTTGATGGGTGCTCGGGTAGAATTAGCCTTGTAGAGACTAATGTGTTCATGCTATCTCTGATCCTGTGGTGTTGTATAAAAATGAACAGCTAAAAATTTACCCATGACAAGATTAAAGCAAAAATAAACACAAAGTTGTTAGACTTTAAACATGAGACTGCTGGTATTCTTTTAAGTTAAACTCATTTTCCATTCTAACATCTGTTCTTGAATTTTATAATTTCTCTATGCTTTTGAGTTGGAGTAGCTTGAGCTAGGGTTCTATGTGGAAAGCAAAGAAACAATTCATGGGTAGAGGATAAGACCAAAGCCTAACAGAAGCAAGAGGCAGGAGGTTTTGAGACTTTGGTGCTTTCATTTGGAATGGGAATAAGCCTGGCTCTGGTTCAAAACAAGGCAATTTATAAACATATATACAATGTATGCAACAAAAAATGTTTATTGTAAACCTAACACAACTTTTACCCAGCTTTATAGTAACACATCGACAAAGTTTATATAGTAATTACTATAAGGTAACAAGGGTTACATTATACACAGATGTAGGCTCCAGCAACACAGCATGATGCACCTCTGAGAAAAGTGTTCAGAACAGAATATCCATCTGCAAAGGTTTTCACTCAATGCAGGAAGAAATACTGTAAAATTTGGAGACAGAATGAAATAGAGGTAAACTCTCTCCAGGATTCTAGACTCTGAAGAGTGGGTAGTACTCATGGCTTAGGCCATATTGTAGTAACACGGTGACTTGGACTAACCATGTAGATGGAGTTCGTGGATTAGACAATTCTCAGAATTTTCTAGAAAAAGTTGGGGCCAGACATAGTGGCTCTCACCTGTAATACCTATACTTTGGGAGGCCAAAGCAGAAGGATCACTTGAGCTCAGGAGTTTGAGACCAGCCTGGTCAACACAGTGAGACCCCATCTCTTAAAAAGAATAATTTTTTTTAAAAAAAAAGGGGAAAGAAAAGGAGTTTGTTACGCAGACGAAACAATTGCCTACTCTACCTGCTTTCAAATTCAAGTCTGATAAATATAAAAGTTCATTTCTACCTATAAAATGCTTTTTTAAAAAATTATCTTGTTTATATGCTAAGGTTCACTAAAGGAGAAAAAAAAGGAAGTGCAAAAGTTTTAAAGGTACATATAAAAAGGGATTCACTACAAAAGTGAAGTTAAATTTCTCTCCTAATCCTACTATTCATTGAGCTATGAGATAGAGTGAACTATCACTTGATTTGTGAACACCAAATTAACCTCTACCTATAGTTTTTCAACTGTTCTTCTCCTGAAACCGTGAAAGACTTTTTAAAATAAATCAATCACAGCAGCCTTGAGGGATGGGAGAACTGCAAGATCTGTGTCCAGAGAAACAGTCATTGCAATGTGAATTTACCAGAAGTCAGAAATTTTCCACCTTTTCATTTGTGAAGAGGGCAGAGTGAATGTTGTTAACATCAGGCCCAGAACCTACTTTGTGCCAGGTTCATAAAGTAAACCTTCCCTGATGCTGTTCAGTGAGTAAGCAGTAAAAGGCAAGCAAATGTGACCCTGTCCTCTCTCCTCGTTCAAATGGGAAGACCTGGCTCCATATTGTGATGGCTTCATTAGTGAGAGATGTGTACACTCTTCAGGTTTGTAACCAGGATGCTGTGCCCCTTTCCGTGCTCCCAGCAGATAGGAATTCAGACTCTGCTGCCTGAAATGGAAGGTAATCACCTATTGAGGAGCAAGGAAGAGAGGAACAGAAGGCATTTTTTAATTTCCGCTATCCCCAATCCATCAGTGTGGGCTGCTCACTCAGGCTGGGATCCATTCTCCAACAAGATGCATCCCAGAGCATGGAGCTCCTGTGTCACGGACAAGCTGCTTTCTATCTGCCTCATAGGAAATTGGGTTTATCTCTTCACTTCGGCCCCGCTCATCATTGGCGCTGACCCTCAGGAAGAGGAAAACTGTTTCGTATGTTCCTAAACTTTGGATGCCCTCAGCTGTAACAGACCACTGCACCCACCATGGTGGTGAACTCACATATGCAGGGGCAAGAAGTCTGTGGTCACAGGGTTGGTTCAGTGGCTCAATGATGCCATCAAGAGCCAGGGTCTCCACCTCAGCCACTGCCCTGGCCTTTAGGCTGTTCTCATGGGACCCACACGGTTGCTTCAGATACTATCATTGCAGACACAACATCTGGCCAAAGAAAAGAATTTCTCCTTTGTCTTTATTAGAAAGGAATACCCCCAGAAGCCCACCAGCAGACATCGCCTGGGGTCCCACTGGCTGGGATTGGTTCACATGTCAAAGCATGAGGGGCAACAAAGGCTGGTAAAGGGCAGTGGCAGCCTGAGCAACATAGTAAGCCCCATCTCTACAAAGTTTTTGAATAATTAGCCAGGTGTGGTGGCACACGCCTGTAGTCCCAGATACTTGGGGGGTGCTGAGGTGGATCACTTGGACCCAAAAGCTCGAGGCTGTAGTAAAGCTATGATCGTGCCACTGTATTCCAGCCTGAGCGACAGAGCGAGACCGTCTTAAACAACAAAAGTGACTGAGGATGGGAGGCAGCCCCTGCCTGCACAGAAGAAAGCGGGATGGTGGGCACGTGAGGCTGGGGGCTTACCGGCAAACACAGCATTTGGCCTGCACCGCAGCAGCCTTTGCTCATAACATTTTGATGCCACTTTTTACCTTTACCTAAATTTGTTAATGTATTTGTTAAAACATCTGTGTTATAAAAATGATTTATCCTCATTGTTGAGAATGTAATAAAAGGTACTTTTAAAGTAGGAAGAAATCTTTTGAGAGGCATTTTCTGTTCAAATTTTGTTATATTTTCATCCTGTTTCTGTAGTTTGTACATATGTTGCAAGAGAGGGAAGAGTGGCATTTAGAACCATCACAGCAGCTGCTGCAACCTTTTAAAAGAATGACAAAATTTATCTTTAGAGAAGTTGATTTCCTTTTATCTGGGAAATGCCTTGAATGAGTTTTTTTGGGGGGAGTGTGGGGGGGGAGAAATGTTAAGCAGCATTCACCCCTGCCTTGCTTCCCACATGGTCTGAAAGGAGAAAGTGAAACAGAAAGAGGGCTAAGTGGAAAGGAGTTTTGGAAATTACTCGTTGATAACCTCAAGCAGGGGTAAGGCCCGGCATGTATAGAGGAGTGGCCAGATGTGAGGAGAGAAGTCTTGGCCCCGGGGCCACAGACAATGGGAAATTTCCTTGGTGAGAAATGTTTTAATTATCGTAAGAAAGCATCCCCAAAGTTGGCAGCATTAGGCAAAAATTATTTCTTACATTTCTGGTTTACAGGGCCTAAATTGGGGTCTGTTGCAGAGTTGTCTGGCATTGTCTGAAGGCTCCCTCTCCCTTTCAGACACTGAGTGTGGCAGCTTACAGTACGACTGCACTCAGTTTTTCATTCCCCATTCTGTGGAACAATACATTCCTGCATGCTGCAACATCACTTGCAGTTACTTCCTGCAAGAGAAATATACTTCCCCACCTCAGTGACACTGGGCTTGGCAAGGGATTCATCTCAGCCAGTGGATGTATTAATATATGCCACTGTGCTTCCACCAGCTTTTTAATTTCCTTCTATAAGAACAGCATGTTCCAAACGGGCTGCCCATCAGCCTGGATCCTGGAATGAAAAAGACATAGAGCAGGGTTGCAGCCAACCACTGCCATGCAACTGAGTGAAAACATTGGTTGTCATCAAGTCTGAGATTTGGGCGTTACTGTAGCATTTGTGACCCTTAGCAAAGCTAACTAATGTGCTAAAAGTCACAAACTCAACACCTGCAGACAAGGAAAGCAAGTGAGGCAGAGGGTGTGTGAAACTATGGGGATGGCAGGGCTAAGGCAGATGGGACCAAATCAGCCCAAGGATAAGCTCCAGTATTAAACGTTGTTATATGAGTTAAAATTTTTAAAGCTGCTGATTTGGTTAAACACCAGGTCATGATTTTAATAACACAGCTAATATTTACTTCCTGAAAGCTTAATATAGTTGAAAACAAAAAATATAATGACCCAATCTCTTAATGTTTTCCTAATCATTTAACTTTGTAGGTTCTTTTAGGCACCAATCTTCAGTTCAAAAGAAACAATCTTCTGAAACTTGTTTGTTTTTTTTTTGTTTTTTGGTCTTTTCTAAAAGTGAAAGGGAATTATTTTTTATGTTAAAAGTTCTCTCTAGAAATGTTTTGAGTTAGCTTCCCAAACATCGATATACAGAAATGTGGCACTTAGCAATGGAGATACATTCTGAGAAATAGGTGATTTTGTCGTTGTGCAAACATTAGAGTGTACTTACACAAACGTAGATGGCATAGCCTACTATACACCTAGGCTACATGGTAGAGCCTATCGCTTCTAGGCTATAAACCTGTACAGAATGTTACTGTACTGAATACTTACTGTTGGAAACTGTCACACAATGGTACTGGTGTATCTAAAATAGAAAAAGCACAGTAAAAAAAACCAAACAGTATAAAAGATAAAAAATAGTACACCTGTATAGGGAGGGCACTTACCATTAATAGAGCTTGCAGGGGTGGAAGTTGCTCTGTGTGAGTCACTAAGTGAGTGGTGGGTGAATGTGAAGGCCTCAAACATTACTGTGCACTACTGTAGACTTTACAAACATGGCACATTTAAAGTAGGCCACACTAAATTCATTTAACAATTTTCTTTCTTCAGTAATTAACCTTAACTCACCGTAACTTAACTTTACAAACTTTCAAACTTTGACTCTTTTGTCAAAGTTTTTTGACACTTAGCTTAAATTTAAAACACAAACATCTTGTAAAACTGCACAAAAATATCTTTATATCCTTATTCTGTAAGTTTTTTCCTATTTTAAACTTTATTTTTCTACTTTTTAAACTTTGTTAAAAACTTAAGACACAAACACACACATTAGCCTAGGCCCACAGGGTCAGGATCATCAGTATCACTGTCTTCTATCACCACATCTTGTCTCACTGGAAGGTCTTCAGGAGAAATAGCATGAATGGAGCTGTCATCTCCTATGATAACAATGCTTTCTTCTGGAATACCTCCTGAAGGACCTGCCCAAGGCTCTATTAAACATTTTTTTAATAAGTAGGAATAGAACACTCTAATTATAAAAAGTAAATACACAAACCGGTGTCATTTATTGTCATTATCAGTATTACATACTGTACATAACTGAATGTGCTGTACTTTTATACAACTGGCAGTGTAGTAGGTTTGTTTACACCAGCATCTCCACAGACACGTGAGTAATGCACTAGGCTATGACATTAAAACGGCTAAAACATCATGAGGCAATAGATTTTCTGCTCCATTATAATTTTATGGGACCACTATTGTATATGTCATTATGCAGTACATAACTGTAATCTTCTGCAAAACCAGTCAAATCTAACCATGCCACAAAAATAACTACCACCATCTGTCTTAAAGAACGTGACTCCTATATGGATGGAGATTAACAAGGGCATAGATCGATTCTATAGAATATTTCATTTAATTGATTTTATTATAACTGGATTAGGTCTGAGCCCTGGGAAACAGACATCACCTTGTTATACAGAATCACACATTATAGTTTTAACTGAAGTTGTTTTTCATATAGGACAATCATAAATATGAGTATTACAAGAGCTGACTACATACTTTCAAGTTTATATTTCCTGACAAAGGATATGACCTTTTTCCATCCTGTAATTCAGAGAAAAAGAACCACTTGCCCTATATAAACTCTAAAAAGAAAACTGCATAAACCCAGGAACAGGGGGCAAGGAGTGCTCCCCTTTGACCTACTATTAGCAGGTCCAACAAATGATATATCACCACGTCTATGAAGAAATTTCTTTCTATAAAAGCACAAAATTTAAATCGGATTTGACTTTACATATTAGGGCTTTCATCTTGATGAGAAACTCATAACAGCAGCAGCTCAAACTGATTGTTAAAAGGAAAAAACACAGGGCAGATTAATAATGCAACTTGGATCTTCACTCTTCTCTTTCCAATTCAAATGCTGGAATATGACACTCTTTTTATAATATTCTGCCCATGAGGTTCTCTCCCTTCTTTTCTGCCTTCAGAGTCCTTTCCAAAAGGAAATTACTGCCTTGCATTCTACATTATTCCTAATTTCCAGGTGGAAAAATGAGACAAATTAAGTGACTTCTAAAAACACTAGGAACTGTATTTTTTAAAAACAAGACAATACTTCAGATTTTCTTGCTTTAATTCTTCTCTATATTACCACAGTAAAATATTTAACAAAGTCCAAGAGATTACTGATATGCAATAATGACCTATGACTTTACATTAATGGAGTGATGTATCAATAATAAACTGATCAGTTAAGTAACTGGAAAATGTTTGCATGTAAAGAATGATTCACTATCCTTTTTATCTTGTATTGAAATCGTCAAAACATTTAAAAACACAAAGTTGAAGTAATTTTAAATAATAATAACTGTGAAATACTGCAACATCTTGAAGTACTTTATAAATGACCAAAAACAGGTAAAATTTTGTTCAGTATAACTTCAGTGAAGAAGTTTTTTGACACAGAACTACATATATTTTTAAATTGGTAATCCACATAAGATATACACAAAACCTTCAAGTGACTACATTGTTCAATAAATAAAACTCTACATTGTTTTGTTTTTACAGCCTAGTGAGCTTATAACTCAGTAACACCCTTTTAAGAAATTCTAGTCTACAGAATGACATGTCCAAATTGTTTGGTCCTATTAATTTCTTTAGCAAAAACCTCCAATTCCTTTATATTTAATTCCTCCACATATCATCTTTGAAGGGCCTGACTAATAAATCACAAGTGTAACCCTCCAGTCTCCAGTCTGGGTTTTTCATGAGTTTCAGTTCAGTGTAAGCCAGCACACTGACCTCCCCATGAATTTTCCACAGTACCTACTTTATTTAACACTTTCCACAAAGTATCCTGTCCTTCTAGGCTTTTTGTAGAATGTGAAGTTAATAATGGCATGTGGTGTTCCTTAGCATGACCTGCCAAAAAGTGATGATCTCCTTGGAAGAAAAGCCATGGGCTGCAATCACACGTCTCAGTTGACAGACATCCAAATGGATTCTATATAGAAAGAAAAGATTTGTGTCTTCTGGAATATGAATGTTCACTTTTAATAAATTCAAACAGATCCCGACATAAACATCTTCAAACTTGATGGGTTTTACGTGACCCATCATTTCATAGATCCTTGGCACCAAATCTCTGGACATTATATAACCCAACCCACTGCAGTATGGAGGGAACACCTTGAAAGGATACTCCTGGTAAGAAATATGGGTTTTTTGGTAAAATCCTCTATAGGAATAATTATCAATTAGAGGATAACCTGTGAAAAACTTCTCTGAGTGGTTTAGGTTTAAAAGATACTTCACTAAATTGCCAGTATTGATGAAAACATCAGTGTCTGTCTTCATTACGTACTTGGCATTGGGGCAAAACTCAGTTACCCACCTGAATGCCATAATGGTTTTCAAGGTCAGGTTATTATATGTGTCTAAAAAATCTTGTCGGATTATGTCACCATAAAGAAGGTGTTCATCCTCTAAGGACAATGCCAACATTTTGTCTTCCTTTTCAGCCTCTTGGCCTAATAAGAAAAATGTAAGAACCTCATATCCCCACCAAGACTTTTTTTCACCCCAAGTAACTCTAATGGCCTGCCTGGCTTTCACATCTGAAGGGTGGGAGGTCACCAGAATGACCAGAAATGGATTTTGATGAGAGCAGTTTGAATGCTCTCGAAGTGTGAAGTGAAAGTCTTGTCTGTAAATCGGCTCATACTCATAGAAGTACATCCAGTTCACGCGTTCTATCACATTGTAGTGGGGAAGGCTGAGGTACCACATCACAAAGAAACTCAGGAGTGACAGCAGCAGGAGGCTCCATTTGAGGGATCTCAGTGACATCCTACTCGGAAGGACAGTCCAGAGAGCCGAGGCCATCCACAGCAGCTCAGAAGCACGCGAGCCGAAGGTTCTGGAAGAGTTATCAAAGATTGGGTTAATATTCCACACCGAAAACACATTTTCAAAAGACATCTGACTATCTACTCAAGGAGAAAGAGTAGGAGAACAGAATCTCCAGAGTAAAACAAAAAATCCTGACTTGAATCTACTTCATTTAACTGTAAGCAAATAGAAACCAATAACCAAAAATCTATTTTAGCTTCTTACATCAAGACCAAGGTTAAAACATATCCTTTGATTATTTTGTAGTAGTTATCCTACTCTACCTAAATTAACAGTTTACTGTTAAATATAATTCTATCCTAGGTGCAGATATGATAGGGACAGAAAGAGATGGGTAATGATGGGTTAAAAAATAAATCTACCATAAAAACAAATAAATAAAATGTATCTCCTCTTTATAACTATAAAAAAAGAAGGATTTAATTCAAGGGGATGTTACTAGCCACATGCCCAAATAAACGAAGGGTCTTTCTCAGCTGTGTGTTCTGATACGGATTCTAGCAAATCTGGATAAGAAAAACCCTATAGTGATCATTATTCTATTCTTAGTGACTGCTGATGTGGGATAAGGCAGAGATTCTTCACCTGAAAGGCAAGTCCTCCAGACACAAATAGGATCATCTCTCTTGAGTTTTCAAACACTGACTATGAAACAGCTTTTACCTGCCCCAAACACCACCTCTCCCCTCCTTTTACCTCATTGGTTAAACTCAATGCTCAGTCTGCATAGCAACTGTTTAAATCAAAGGCCCGTCCTTAGTATTAAGTTTTCACATTTCCCATTCCAACCTCTTCAGAAATCACACACCCAATCAGAATCATGGGATGGAAACTCCTAAAACACTTGCTTTTACACAGAAGCTCCAGCTGAGACAAGAGGAGGCACAGAACATTCAGATTGTGAAGTGACAGCTCTGTTCCTGATCTCAAGGCAGAGGGTGGTTTATAATTCGGGATTCCATAGAGCTTTCCTTGCACCATGAGCATAGACTTCAGTCTAAGGGCATTCATGTATGTATATTTACTGGACATCTGCTTCCAAAGACCAGGCACTAAGGAGACCAAAGGAAGTAGGAGACGGGAGAAAGAAGAAATCCCAAGACAACGTATAAACATGGCAGCACAGTGCAGTACACACTGTTTACATCAAATGCTAAGGAACTTTAGCATAAGGGACAGATGAACAACATGAGGAAGGGTGGGCTGAGGAGGCTGCTGGCAGGTGCCCTTTTACCCACAATTATATGGGGGAGGGTTCTTGGAAAGCTGGAATTAACTATGGAGGACAGACATTAATGTCCTTATGGGAAGGCTAGTCTACCAAGGGTTCTACCTTGGGTCAACTTTAGGGTCTCTGGACATACAGCTCCTCTGTCTCTTAATACATATGAAAATAACAGGATTTCAAGGCTCCTTGTCCTCTTCATCTGGTCATCTCTTACCTGCCCTGATTACGTCTCACCACAATTATCTTTTCTATATGTAATGCTTTCCATATTTTAACCCACACAACGCAATGTAATGTTTTAGCAAACTCTCTCCAGTTTGGTTCCACGTATATGTGTCTTGCCTCTCCACTTACATTCTATGACCTTGTTGGCAAAAACAATTTTTCTCTCAGGAGTCAAAGTGCAAGACAAAGGGAGGCCTACAGCAGGAGTGCAATGGACACTGAGGCTTGATATGCTATCTCCATTTGTAAAAGGATAAAATATAGATCTGTCCACCCACCTCCTATCCTCCCCTATCCCCTTTACTTGCCATACACTGCCAATCCCAGAAAAAAACCTGAAATGGAATAGTTTGAGAGCAAGAATTATGAAAGTAATTAACACTGCCTTTATACGTTTTCTCCTCACCTGGCTACTGGGCACTACGCAACCCTTGAGGGAACCATTTACAACTCAGCCACTAACGACTTGTACATTTATGACAACAAATATCTCATTCTAACAAATCAGCATATTTCAACAGATTTTGGAAAAACAGAAGGCAAGTGTTGTAAGAGGTGCCATTTATAATTGCATATGGATGATGGGGGCCCTACTACTCTTCAATAATGGGAAGAACTTAAAATGGCAAATCTTATTATAAAAGTTATTTTTTGCACATTCTATAAGCCATAGTTTCTAAATGTGAGAATGTGACTATGGTTATGATGTCTATCATTTATGGACCCATGAATAAAATAAAGCAGCAGCAAAAAGAGGAGAAACTATCTAGTCCAAAAGCAAGGAACGGACTCTAAAGAACTGGCCAGAACAGACTAGGTCACCTACAACACAGGTGGCTCCAAAGCCAGCCACCAAAGTCCACTCTCCAGCTCTGTCCTTTACCAACCAGGATGAATGGGTATGTTATGTATCTCTTGAAGCCTCAGTTTCCTGTCTCTATATTGAAGATATTAATATAGTGCAAATTAGTGATAATATATGCAAAACTTCTGGCCTGTGTTAGGTATTCAACAAACAGAAGCTGTTATTATCAGCTGTGGTTCTACCCTTGGCATCATTTCCATTCTATTTGTGTTCTCTAAAATGATTCTTACTGTCAAAATAGATTATCCTGAAAAGGAGGGAGGGGCAAAAAATTTTTTCATGTGGTTAAAAAATGTAACTAAAATACTAGGTAAAAATGACATGATGGCTACAAAAAGATGTTTCATAGGAAAAGTAAAATATGCTAACATTCTTAGTATATTTTAACAAAGAGATATGAATAAACCTTCACATTTTGCTAAAAACTTCATTTAAGAATGTACATTAACCTTTACATTGATCACTGAAAGAACAAATATAGAACACTATCTTCCAAATTGATTGAGAAATAGAAGACACAAATTAAGTTATCTGTCTATTCAATATAAGGTAGGAAAACGGGAAATAAAAAGAAAAAATGCATGCAAACACAAAATGCAAAAGATGATGGCAGGAATAAATATAAATGTGCTGTTAATTAAGGTAAATGTAAATGTAAACTTATCTACTAAAAAAAAAAGACTCTCAGGCTGGGCATGGTGGCTCATGCCTGTAATTCCAGAACTTTGGGAGGCCAAGGCAGGCGGATCACCTGATGTCAGGAGTTCAGGACCAACCTGGCCAACATGGCAAAACCCCATCTCTACTAAAAACACAAAAATTAGCCAGGCATGGTGGTGCGCACCTGTAGTCCCACCTACTTGGGAGGCTGAGGCAGGAGAACTGCTTAAACCTGAGAGACGGAGATTGCAGTGAGCTGAGATCCTGCCACTGTACTCCAGCCTGGGCAACAGAGCAGCAAGACTGTCTCAAAATAAATAAACAAACATCATTAATAAGGGACAAAGGAGATGTTATTACTAACAGAAGAAACCATCCAAAAAGATACTTTATCATAAAGCTCTGTAAGAAGAAACCATCCAAAAAGATAATTTAACAATCATGAAGCTCTATAACCATAAAAACACAGTATCAAAATATATAAAGCAAAACCTGAAGAGTATGGGTATAAATGGGAAAACTTATAATCCTAATGGGAGATTTTTAATACATCTAAGTAACTGATACATCAAGCAGATAAAAAAGGATATGAATGTTTCAAATAATATTATTAATCTTGATCAAATGAAACATTTAGTACCTTTCATCCAATAAAAAGAATAGAAACATTCATTTTTAAGACAACATAACACATTTAAAAAGAAAACTAATAATATTAGGTAATACAAGCCTTCTCAACAATTTTAAAAACAATAATACAGGCTACATTCTCTAACCACAGCATAATTATAAATCAATTGCAAAAAATATGGAAAACACTTAAAAAATTTAAAAACCATAAAATTTCTTAAAAATTTGTTTAGAAGCCCAAGGTGGGTGGATCACGAGGTCAGGAGATTAAGACCATCCTGGCTAACACGGTGAAACCCCATCTCTACTTTAAAAAAAAAAAAAATTGTTTAGAAGCTCAAAATCCTTATATACACAATTTGTTTCATCCATAAATTTAAAGAGAACACCATATCTGCACTGCACATGAGCAATGTAAAATGTTTCAACTCGGTAGCTACTATACCAATCTCTTACTTGAAAATTACTGGGATGATGGAGGAAAGACAGCATTTTTTATTTCCTGCTTTAAAGAATCAATCATCTATAGTTCAGAGGAAGCAAATAGCTCTAATTGAAGAGAAAAAGCTCTTCTTTATAGAAAAATGCCACTTATAGGCTGGGTGTCATGGCTCACACCTGTAATCCTAATGCTTTGGGAGGCTAAGGTGGGAGGATCACTTGAGACCAGGAGTTCAAAACCAGCCTGGGCAACATAGTGAGACCCTGTCTCTACAAAAGAATAATAAAATTAGCCAGGCATGGTGGCATGAGCCTGTGGTCCCAGCTACCCGGGAGGCTGAGGCAGAAGGATGGTTTGGGTGTGGGAGGTCCGGGCTGCAGTGAGCTGTGATTGTGCCACTGCACTGTAGCCTGGGTGACAAAGCGTGACCGTTTCAAAAATAAATAAATAAATAATTTAAAAATTTTTAAAAGAAAAATGCCAATTAGAAATGTCTAGAAATTACCCCTGCAGTTTCCTGGCCCATAGTTTCAGTTATCCACAGTCAACTACAGTCTGGAAATATTAAGTGAAAAATTCCAGAAATAAACAATTCATAAGCTTTAAATCGCGCACTGTTCTGAGTAATATGACAAAATCTCGCACCATCCTTCTCTGTCTCAGGTAGAACATGAATCCTCCCTCTTCCCAGCGTATCCACACTATATATGCTACCCACCTGTTAGTCACATAGGAGCCCTCAGTTACCAGATTCACTGTCATGGTATCTCAGTACTTGTGTGCAAGTCACCCTTATTTTACCTAATAATGGCCCCAAGGCAGAAAAGTAGGATGCTGACACTTCAGATAGGTCAAAGAGAAGCTCAAAGTGCTTCCTTTAAGTGAAAAGGTGACCTTGGCATTCTTTGGGTAGGGTGTGGTACTATCATGGTTTCAGGCATGTTTGGGGGACAGGCTGTTGAACACAGCCCCCATGGATAAGCAGAGACTACTATAGATGGAATGACAGAATAAGAAAACTGTCATTTTGCAATCTTTCATGAAATTACTGATGATGATTATACATCAGAGTTTTGATAATAAATAAAAGGTTGATGGACAATTGGCTATCTGTATGATGCCAAAGTAACACCACGAAGATTACTTTTTAGTTGCAAGAACTGAAAAAATATAAACTTTACATTGGAGGATCAGGGTGTCACCATTCTAACCCAATAATTAATCGTAACATCATAAATGATGGAACAAACACCTATTATGTATCTCCTAATGAGATACAATGTAATGTTTAACTGGAATCTAATCAAATTTTACAAGAAATACAGAGGATAGAAAGAAAAGCTAAGGAACATCACAAGAAAGCAATCAAATCCATAAATATATGTCCATAAGATAATAAATAAAAGTTGGTATGTCTTCCAATGGAATCCTATATGATAGCTAAATGAATTGGATTTGTATACAGAACATCAATTTAACTCTCAGAAATAAAACGTTGAGTATAAACAAGTTACATAATGATATATGTATAAATTATCATTTATAAAAATTCTAAAACTACACACAAGAAGTGATGAACCTTTAGAAGCAACTACGTATAAATAATGATTTTTTTCTAATGGGACTACAGGAAAACATACCACACCTATCAGCAGGAAGAATGAAAGGAACATGTGGTTAAAGGGGGAAAAAAACACTGGTCATAAATACTGTACTGTAATTAACAGCTGCTAATTCAGGGCGATGGAAATATAGGTGTTCTCTAATATTTACAGTTTTCTTTGTATATTAAGTTTATTAAAACAAACAGGAAAAAAGCATAATAAAAATGCTTTGGATATCAGAGCCAATCCACCCTAAATCTTGACTGCAACAATGACTAGTTGTATGACCTTAGGCATGTTAGTTACCTTCTCAAAAGTTTCATTTTTCTTTTTTTTTTTTTTTTTTTTTGAGATGGAGTCTCGCTCTGTCGCCCAGGCTGGAGTGCAGTGGTGCAATCTCGGCTCACTGCGCCTCCCGGGTTCACACCATTCTCCTGCCTCAGCCGCCTGAGTAGCTGGGACTACAGGTGCTCCACCACGCCCGGCTAATTTTTTGTATTTTTAGTAGACATGGGGTTTCACCATGTTAGCCAGGATGGTCTCGATCTCCTGACCTTGTGATCCACCCGCCTCGGCCTCCCAAAGTGCTGGGATTACAGACGTGAGCCACCGCACCAGGCCAAAAGTTTCATTTTTCAGCTATAAATCAGGCATCACAAAACTAATTATTGTGAGGTTTAATGGAAAGAACTTGGATTAACCAGTCAGCACAGGGCCTGGTCCAGGACCAAGAGCACTTAATGGTTTCTGAATATTCCCAACATAAAGAAATGATAAATTTTTGAGGTTATAGATATCCTGAATTTCTGATTTGACCATTACACATTTATGCATGTATCAAAATATCACATGTACTTTATAAATATGTACACTTATCAATCAATAAAAATATTTTTAAAACGATACTCAGGCATGTAGATAAATAAGGGCTCAATTGAAGTGGCCTCTGTGTTCATAGCATGTGTGTATCATAGAAATCAAACTGGCCAGAGATCTCGGATTGGCTCATTTCCTGATAGTGAGAGCACAGGGCAGCTGGCCTGCCTCCTTAGGACAGCTGAGCAGTGGGCTACAAGGACCCCGACACTGTTCTAAATCCCATGTCCCAGGGGAGGGACGGAGAGAAGAATCAACAATATTGACGAATAGAAAACAATATGAAAAGCCCCAACAGGGAAGTACACTATTATTTTATTACTGACTTCTTAAATGCCACACATCACTGTCAAGAAAGAAATTATAACTTAAAAATAATTTCCATTTTCTAAAAGATAAACTTGTGGCCAGGCACTGTGGTTCACACCTATAATCCCAGGACTTTAGGAGGCTAAGGCGGGAGGATCGCTGGAGGCCAGGAGTTCAAGACCAACCTGAGGGAACAGTGAGACCCCATAGATAAAAAAAAAAAATTTTAAGATAAACTTGTGCTTATATTAACTACATATGAATTTGCCAACTATAAGCAATTTCCATTAAGCAAACAGTATCTTATCTATCCCACCAACTTAGTGCAATGCTGGGTGAACAGCAAGCCACCAGTAATTACTTGTTGATTTAGGGGTTGATCTGCAGCAGCTGAAAAAACATCTCAAATACTAGAAAAGCTCAGAAAACCTCCAAAGATAAAAAAGGTTATCAGTTTCCAGTGTTGTAAGTGGTAGAGACAAACTCAAACAAGACTCCAGATCTCACATTCTTGGCTGCTAGATCCCAGGGAGTGTGCTGCCTGCTCACTATGCTTCCTATGCTAAGGAGCTCTTCTGACCAGAGCTGCTTTGAGTTTTAATTTCTTGCAACCATTGAACTTTGATATAAACAGTATGGCAGCATCACAGCCTTATCATTTTCACAAGGAAGACTCAAAATTCCTACCCTTAAAACCTGAAATACAAATTTTTAACAAGAACAGTAACTAATTGTTCATGCAGATATACACCTTTTTATTTAACACCAAAAACATACTGGACGTCACTAGAAAATAAATGGAGGTATCAGTGTTTAAATGCAAAGATTCCAGGAAAACAGACAAACAGAGATACTACAATGGCACAATTATTTAAGCCAAAATAACCTGAAACTCTTTCCTGGGGTGCAAAAATGTTGGCTATTTCCTGCAAAAAGAAATCAAATGTAATTATTTAAAAAGTAATTATTCTAATTTCAAATGTAATATATGTTCATTAGAGAAAATTTAGGGAATGCCAGAAGAGCACAGAGACAATAAAAGCTTAAAAATAACAATATTAACATTAAAAAAAAATTTAGAGATGTGTCTTGCTATGTTTCCCAGGCTGGACAGCAGTGGCCATTCACAGGCACAATTATTTTGCACTGCAGACTCAAACTCCTGGCCTCAAGTGATCCACCCCAGTAGCCAGGACCACAGGCATTTGCCACAATGCCGGGCAACAACGTTCACATTTTTTATGAAGATCTGTCAAGTCTTCTGGCTCCATGGGTTTATATAAGCCCCTCTTTCATCTGCTACAACTACTCCCTCCCAATCCTATTTCAACCACAATGGCTTCCGTTCTTTTTTATTCTTTTAATCTTTTAATTAAAAAATATATAAATATATAGAGATGGGGGTCTTGCTATGTTACCCAAGCTGGTCTCGAACTCCTGGACTCAAGCAATCCTCCCACCGCAGCCTCCCAAAGTGCTGGCATTATAGATGTGGGCCACCAAACCCGGCCTGACTCCCATTCTTATCCCTGAATATGTCAACTATTTTCCTCTCTTGCAGAGCCTGCACTTACTCTGCCCCTCCAACCAAAAAGCTGGTTGTTGGAAAGGCTGGCTCCTTCTCATGCCTCACATCTCAGCACAGTGTCACTTAGGAGAGTCCTTCCCTGACCCCTTATCTCAAGTAGTTCCCCCAGCACTTATTTTCTATCACATCCCTCATTATTCCCTTCCATAAAGTATATGAATGTGCTTTGGTTAAGGAATAGGCTAAGGCGAATATCTGGGCCAAAGTGACTTAGCAAGTTTAGGGCACAGGTGCATACTTCACTTGTTAGATAACCTGTCTTTGTAAGTTTATACTTGGCTTTGAGTTGCTATTGTTTGTAAAAGGTATAACTGCCCTGCTGATGCTGCCCATGGGGTTTGGGTTGGCTTGACATGGCTTGGAGGTGCACTAATGCCCAGAGAGAGTAATGCTACTGACCCCTGTAAGGAAGAGTGGATTGCCTTGAAGGCGGGAAGTGGGGACTTATGCCCAGAGGGAAAAAATTAAGCTGCTAACCCTGGTAGTATAGGCCAGGGAGTGCAGCTGCAAGGCTGGGGGCAGCAGGAGCAGGCTCATAAGAGGAGCCACAAAGCTGAAGCAAACAGCCAAGATAAAGAAACTGTGAGAAACAGTTAGTGTGAGGAAGCTGCTGATTAAAAAGCTGCTGAATAAAACTACATTTCACCTGCCTAAAGCCCCCCGAGTGTTCTTTCAGCAATTCGCCCATCCACCCACTCCCCTCGGACCTCAACTGGGACTCAAACCTAACACCTTGTTGGACCTCAGCTGGGACTTAAACCTAACACCTTCTCAGCATTTAACCCTGTCTAGACTTTTAAAAATCTATTTCTATTTGTTTATTGTCTATTCCCTTCAAAAGAATATAAGATTGGAGAGAGGGAAAACCTGACCCCACTTATTCACTGCTATATGTCCAGTGTCTAACACATAGTAGGCTCTCTGTAATATTTGCATACTTTGCAAATGATTTGGTAATGTACTTTTATCCACTTAGTAAATATTCCTAAGAATAAGCTGAATCCAAAAGTAACCTGAATTTGTTGATTATGTTTTTCTTCAGCTGTCTTCTAATAACAAAACCTTATTGTAATAGGCTATGCTGATTCTGATCATGTGCATTTTAAAAGGTCCAAAAAAACAAGAAACAAATTTCAGTTAAATTTTAGGTCCAAGCACGCTAGAGTCAGGATCATCCATATGCTAACTATTATAGATAATTACCAAACTACTGTCAGTTTTGCAACATTCTAACTTTTCTTCTACATAAAATACTGCAAAGGGAGTGGAAATCTTAATTGCCTAAAAAAAGGTCCTGTGCATATTAAGTTTAATTCAAATCATCATTACACCAATCATGTATATTCCTTATAAAGGGAAAATAACTATCAATTCACATCTTTGAGGGAAATTCCCCCACTACCCTTTCAAACTAAACACATTAACTCATAAAGCAATATAAAACTCTACCATTCAATTAGACTTGTCAATTAAACATCTAATTATTTTCACAACTCACTGCTGCTTTGTGTTTGAGGCCCTCCCCTGATTATATTAGAAATAAACACAACCAGTGCCATCTGACCACTACTTTTTCTTCCCCTCTTCTTTAACCCAGTGGTTCTCACTTTGCGGCACATTATAATCTCCTGGAGAACTTGAAAAATACTGGAAGCCAAGCGGGATCCCAGGCCAACTAAATCAGAGTTTCAGAGGGTGGCAGGGCTCAGGTGGCAGTAATTTTAGTATACGTGCTGCCAAAGCGAGCACCAGGTGGCAGTATTTTTAAAGCTCCCAGGTGATTTGAATGTGATGCCTAGACCCTCACCACTCAAAGTGCATGGGCACCACCTAGGAGTGTATTAGGAATACAAAGCCCCAGGCCCCACCCTAGACCTAGTGAATCAGAAACATTTTTAACAGGTGGCTTGTGGACATACTGAAGTTTGAGAAGCAATGAAATCCACTTGAGCAAATTACTCAACCTTTTTAAGCTTCAGTTACCTTATCTGTAAAATGGGAGCAATAATACCTTCTTTGCGGGTTTATTGCCAGAGCTACATGAAATAATACGCGCTAAACATCTAGGATGGGGCTGGCACACAGTAAGGGCTAAGTAGATGGTATTGCTGTTATTATTAGAGTCCACACTATATGCTTCCTCTACATATATTATTTGTCTACATTTCCTTTACAAACCTTGCTCCTAACTCCCAAATGTGTCTTACATGGCATGACATGCTCTGTAATACAATTAAACATGCAAATAAATCTTAGTGGATCCACCTTCTCCTTCCAAATCAGTAAGTCTTCTCCTAGAGTCCAAGGTTTCTGTTTTCCTAGAATCTCCCAGTGCCTGATGTTCTGCTATCCTGCAAATACGAGCCCCAAAGAACTACTGGTAGAGGTCCACAAAGCCAAACGCACATTTCTGGGTTCCGCCTCTGCACATGTGCTCCCCTCTCCTGGGATCCTTCTTTCTGCCCCATGGTCTTTCTACAACTGAACATCATTTTTTCTGGGAACCACTCACACTGTCAAAAGTCTCACCATAGGCACTTGTAGCAGCTGGAGGAGAGCTGCAAAATACAAGAAATTTTTCCAGCTGTAGTGCGTGTGATATTCAAGTGGTGTCAGGCTACTTTGAGGATTGTGCATATTTGATATGGTTTACATTTTTCTCCTTACTTTGGAGCATACAGCTGGACATATAATAGGAAGTGAAATTTTATTTACTGAATGAATGAATAGCAATTGGTATATCTGCTTAATTTGATAACACTTAAAAATGAAATATGCTTTACTCTGTCAGGGTAAATAGGCTCACATTAAAAAGAACCTGCTTTCTACTCTATCCAATTTCTTCATACTCCCCTCTCTCCAAAATTTTAGCAATAGTCCTTGCTTGGTCCTGGCACTGTAGTAAGTATGTTTTATATTTCCATTCGTTTGATGACTGCCGCAATCTTATGAAGTAGGCACCAATATTATAACATTTATCTTTCAGTTAACCAGCTTGAAATTTGGACACCTGTTCAGGAGTCAGGGTGTCAGAGCCTGCAAAGCAGCACTAAAAACTCAGGTATATTCACCACCCCAAGTGGAGTCTGTAGCCACTGCACTACAAAAGCTTCCCTCCTGCCTTGTTTTATCCTATTGGCCTGGTATCTTCATACTTTCACAGTGCAGCACCTCTGTTCTTCTTCAGAGGTGAAGAGTTGTCAGAGCTCAACGAGAAACTTTTGGCCGGGCATGGTGGCTCATGCCTGTAATCCCAGCACTTTGGGAGGCCAAGGCTGGCAGACTGCTTGAGGTCAGGAGTTCAAGAGCAGCCTGGCAACATGGTGAAACCTCATCTCTACTAAAAACACAAAAATTAGCCAGGCATACTGGTGCATGCCTGTAATGCCAGCTATTCGAGTGGCTAAACCAGGAACTTTAAAGAAAGGGAAGTTTAGTCCAATTTCCATGCAAATCATGCTCACCCAGTTTTCAACAAGTCCTCTCCAACAAGTTCACTTTTTGGCAATGGAGAAATTCCTGAAGGGACTAATGTTAATGCATCTGTATTCCAAATAACCCTGAATAAGTTGCTGAGACTCTGTAAACATTAGTGAACACTTATGACACAAACACAATGACCATCAGGAGCTAGAAGAGATTCACTGAGAATGCTCTGTTTGACTATCCTAAGCCCCATTTTCAATAGGGTTCTTCAATAGAAGATCAAGGTAACTCGCAGGTAACACCTAAGAATCAAGCTTCTCTGTAAAGAGAGCTGGACACTTAAAGTCCTTCTGAACAAAATGGGAAAATGTGAGTAATAATAGTAGCTAGATGGCTTAAAAATTGGCTGATCCATCATAGCCAGTGTATTTTTCATGCAGTCATTTGTTCAAGAAACATTTCTTGGGCTTGTGCTGGACTCTGGGAATAGTGTTCCACAAAAGTGCCAGAGACTTGTCCTCCTGCTGATGTTCTAAGGTTGACTGGAGCATCTTTGTCAAACTGGGGAAAAAAATCACAGGCCTATCTTTAGCCTTTTCTCATTTCATATTTCTAATTAAAGAACGTGGGCTTATTCAATTTTGTAGGCAGGAAAAAAAATGACAAATTCATTAAAAGATGTAATTACAATCCAAAAGGTTTTAACAGGTGAGAAAAAGCTAAAGACAGCAAGATGAAATTTGATGGGAACACATTTATTGTCCTATGTCAGAGTTCGAAAAACCAGCTGCACAAGGGCAGGATGGGGGGCCATTTTAACAGCAGCCTAAACAGACCTTACAGTTTAGCTGAGTATGAGTCCAATATGATAAAAGGTGGTGAAGTAAAGGAATAACTGGGCAGTCAGGAAACAAGGATTCTAGTTCTGGCAGGGAGGCCAAGTCATTGAATTTGAGGAGTTATTTCTCAACAGAATTTTAGGACATTGGGCTAGGATACCTCTCAGGCACCATCTGGCCCTACCAGCAGAGGGATGATGTTCATTCTTGCACACTGTGTCCCCAGCACCTAGCATAGTGCCTGGCACATAGGAAGCACTCCCAAGTACTTGTGAATGAATGGCAGTGCTAACAGAAACTCTACAAGTGAATACTAGATTGTGTCCCCCTTCTCTAACACACACACACACACACACACCCCTAATACACTCCTAGGTTCAAGAAACTGGAAAAGCATCTGGGCAAAGGGGGTCATAATTCCATAGCCCCATATGAGTTCCATTTTGAAAGGGTCACTAACAAGTTAGAAGAGGGTAACTCATTTGGTGAAGGGTTTATCATCTCCCATAAGGATTGCATGACATGTGGCTGAAGGATCTGGGGATGTTCTGTTCTGGAGACAAGAAAAGCTTAGAAGTGCCATGGTAGATACTTTCAAATTATTTTGAATAATAAAATATGTAAGTATCACTCCAGAAGGCAAATGAGAAACCAAAGATAGTGTTATTCTAACAAACGTCGAAGGTCCCTTCTAACTACAAGGTTCCACAACTTTGTTATTGATGTTTAAAATGTAGTTCATAGAAAAGGTTTCATTTTGGCATATTTTAAATTGTTCAATTTTTAAGAATGAATTTGAAGTATTTACTGAGTTTAAGAAAAAAGCCCACCTCGAGCACCACTCTCTGTAGTTGTCACACAGTTTTAGGTAGACAGTGAGTATAAATACCTATACTCATTACCATTTCCCAATTCTGCCCTTGAAACTCTGCTGGTTGTAGCACCACCACCCTCAGGTATCTTCTAAGATGTATGGGAGAATGTCTTTCATTAAAGCTTCATTAAAAGGGAAGCCTGCTGCTTCATTCAGTGTGCTGAGGTATAAGACATCTGAGTTTTTAAAGACACATGTAAGTAAGACATATTATATATACTGTTATACAAACTACTTTCTTGTAGGCAAAACAATCCCTGTATATGGGAATCTCTGATAGACTTCTGGGTTGTGGCATGCAGAATCTTTTAGGGATTTCTGGGTTTGGGCTGAGAAAAATGAGGAGCAAACAAAAGCAGCAGGACTTTAGAAGGAAAATTTAGCCGCAATTTTCTTTTTGCTTCTGCCCTATCTGCATATTCCAATAAGAACATAAAAATCACTCTTAATAATTTGCAATACATGTTAGGATTTTTAGCAGGGCTGTTTTTTTTTTTAAAGGCATAGTGAACTTCTGGGCACTATACAAGTTTATAGTGCTTCTAACTACAAATTACAAAGCACATTTCATGACACTGTAAAATCTGTGTTAACATCAATCCCATTTTCCAGGGAACAGTGCAGCCCAGGTAGAGGAAGACATGGAATCCAAACTCAAGCCCTTCAACTCCAAATGCCAAGCTCCTTCTGCCAGGGCACAGTGCCCCAGGAGAGACCAACCTCACATCTAATCTCACAGCCTCCTGAGATTCCTGGGCAGGGAGCAAAGAATGCAGCAGAAGCAGACACACCTTTACACTCGGGGTGAGTAGTCGGAGAGCACCACGTGATAGAGCAGCCAGCGGGAAGAGCCAACAGGTCAACCGGGTCCAGGGAGCTAAGAAAACTGGAGCAGAGCAAAGATCACAAAGTCAGGCAGAACAGCAGCAAGACTGCCCTGAAAGCTGGGCTTTCTGTGTCTGTTTTGTTACAAAGAGCTTTATCCACTGGAGGAAGAGTATCGGGGAGCTGCTGCAGTTAACATTTCTTCCCATTACTACCCTAAATTGAGAATATTACAGCTCTTTACTATTCTTCTTAGTTAAGCCATCAATTACCTTTGCTTTAGTCATCTGAGGGTATTTCATTCCTTCATTCAGTGTTCTGGACCTGTGTTAGAGGTTGGGGCAGCAGTGGGGAAGCAGACAGACAAGCCCTGTCCTCAAGTTGCCGACACTCAATGCAGAGCGTGGTGGAAGACTCACAACGACACATTTCACACCAAACATCATGAGTGAGGCCCACCTAGAGAACATGGGGGAGGCTTTCCAGCTCAAATGTTTCTAAACTAGTGACCAAAATCCACAGCAGGGAACTGAGTTTGCACTCTCAGAATGTGTTAGTGCCCAATAGAGGCATAAATTTAGAGCCTGTTATCAGTATGGAGAAGGGAACTATTTAATACTAAGAGATAAAACTGGACGGTAATTTTTTATCTTAGAAAGTGCGTAACTCCATTCTCAACGACAAAGTCTGTAACCAAAATAGCAGCCAAATACAATTCCAGATATGAGATATGGTTTGAGCCCTATGACATGCTGCAGGAATAGGTGGCTGCAGGCTTGTGAAATGTTTTAACAGGAGGACTTGTGTATTCTAACTTTTATGAGACTATTCAAAATGCACAGCTTGAGTTTAGCAGAAATCCATGTTCTATCCCAGAAGCGGGCAAACTTTTTTCCCCATAAAAGGCAGATAGTAAATATCTTCTTTGAGGGCCCTAGGGTCTGTCTCAGCTACTCCATTCTGCTTTTGCATAGAAAGTGGTAACTCCATTCTTGAAAACAAACTCTGGAAACAAAATAGCTAAATATAGTTCCAGATAACAGACACAGAAAGAGAAGCAACAGACAATGAGATCCTACCTACCTACCTGTGTTCAGAGTCAGAAATACATGGGGTGGGAAACCGATAACCTACTCTAGCTTTCTTTTAGTTCCTTAATGTCTCAGAGATTCAAGGAGTGCAGGTTATCTCCCCAGCCAAATCTCCCAACCTTCCAGCACTTGGGGCCCTACCCTACAGATGTTCTGTGGCTTCATCTTCCTTCCCCATGCTGATGCGCCCCCTACAAACTGCCGTATTTCTAGCTCATCCTCTCATCTTCCCCTAGCCTCTAATTCACAATATGCCAAAAGGACTGGTAACAAAAGCAAATCAGTATTTATAATATACAATTTTTTATTAGTATAAAAGCATTGTCCATAGTCCCAAGAGAGATGTTTGCCAAACAGCCTGCTGTTAAATGAACTGTAACTTTTGAATGTATCTGTTGTGCAAGGTCATTAAGAGTATCCTGTTTGATCCCACGTGCTTGACCCCATCCATGTGGCTATCTACCACACAGTGGGAGTTTACCCCATAGCGAGCAACCATGATCCATCCTGTTAAAAGCTTCTTTGGTCTGGACATGATATAGTTGTGAAAGGGACAAAGACATTTCCCAAAAGAGGGTTCTACCTGCATCATCCAATGGTGGATGGAACAAAGCTGGAGGCTGGGCACAAGAAGAAGAGACATCATCCATCCAAAGGGGAAAGAGAAAAAGTACTCAATGGAGCATTTTCTTAGGCATAAAGGGAATTGAGTCAGAACTTGAAGTTGAATATGACCCACCAAATTAACTTTTTATAGTTATTGGGTTTTCCTGAAGAACCATGGTATTTTAATAATTCAATTTTTTAGAAAATATATATATTATTAGAGCCGGGTGAGGTGGCACACACCTGAAGTCCTCGCTACTCTGCAGGCTTAGGTAGGAGGATCATTTGAGCCCAGGGGTTCCAGTCCAGCCTGGGAAACATAAAGTGGCCTTGTCTCTATTTTTCAAGCAAGAAAAAAGAAAAAAATATATTATCCAAAATGGCTTAGTAGAGCTTCACTCTTGAATTTCTTCAAATCCTCTGATGAAAGAATCGTACTAGAATATACAACAAACTTCGTGGCTGCATCAACGATACTTAAAACCTTGTAAAGGGCATTATTATGGGCATTTTTAACCAATTAGGATAATTTATAAGTTAAAAGTAGATGAACTTACCTGTGGAATTCCAGATGAAATTAAAGCTTAAGTTTTTTGTTGTTTTCTGTATTCCATGCTTAATTAAAACACTCAGATCTGTTGTGAACTACTGAACAGAAGAACAGAAAAAAATATATATGAGTCATAACATTAGGAATTATGACATCTAAAATCAATGTTGTATACTTAGCAAGTTGTTTTTGGAGCCATTTATTACATATCAACACTTTTTTCATTTTTGGAAAAGCCTTGATCCTCTCTTCTCGCTTTCAAATCACCTCATGCTCTAATCTGAAATTATACTTGGACACTGTTTTTTTGTTTTTTGTTTGTTTTGGAGATGGAGTCTCACTCTGTTGCCCAGGCTGGAGTGCAATGGCACAATCTCGGCTCACTGCAACCTCTGCCTCCCGGGTTCGAGCAATTCTCCTGCCTCAGCCCCCCGAGGAACTGGGATTTCAGGTGTGTGCCACCACACCCAGCTAATTTTGTATATTTAGTAGAGACGGGGTTTCACCACGTTGGCCAAGCCGATCTCGAACTCCCGACCTGAGGTGATCTGCCCGCCTCGGCCTCCCAAAGTGCTGGAATTACTGGCGTGAGCCACCGCGCCCGGCCTGGATGCTGTTTTGACAACAGTGTTTATTTTCAGGTCTGGAGTTATCCAATGGCCATTCATTTGAACGAACATTTTAGTCTATGAGGGGAAAAAAGTCATAGTCTCTTATCTGTTAGTAATAAACGATTCTGTTCTCCAGACTGATACGCGTTCAGTAATTTGTGCTTTTATCAGGCATCGACACATGCATACTAAGAGCACAAATTCAGCGCCCTTCTTTTGCTTAAGCCTCCTGGGAGAAGCTAAAAAACTTGTTCCCAGTTGAACACTGCAAACCCAAATTTTCCTTACCTCTGAAAACAGAAAAAAAGACATGGTTTGGCAATTTCTTCCTTGATAGCTTTTCCCACAACGCAGCCACCTCCTAAACGCAGGCAATCTGTGCAAAACGCAGAGGAAACAAAATCATGAAAGCCCTGCAAATCTCCCTCCTAAATCCAACATTAAGAAGGCGAACGGATACTGAATTCAAAGACTACCCGTACTTGAGGATGGCATCATTCCTTACTGCTTGGAAAAGTGAGACTCCGTTGCACCTCTAGGAATCTTTTTAAAACGCCCTGTATGTTCCTTAACACTGCCTGTAGGAATCCTGTAGCCCTAGCCCCGTGGGATTTCCTTCTCTCTCCGCCCGTTCTCCACATTCCCCACTTAGTTTCACATTCCTTCCCAATCCCTCCGACATCCCTGCGCCGGGGCCCTTCCCTAGCGCTCCGGGAAAGCGTTCGCCGCAGGCCTGTTAGGGGCCCACCAATACCGTAACACCGTTCCCGTCCTCTTCCTCGGCACCGCTGCAAACGCCCCGGGTCGCTACCCGGATTTGACGGTGGCTGGAGCGGCACGGGCGACGCAAGGCAGGTATTGCACCCTGGGGCAAGGCAAGGTGGACAACCAGCGGATGCGGCGCGGCCGCGGCCTGGGCCTGGGCCCTCCGCGTCGCCCACTGCCCCACTGGGCCCCTTCTCCCGCGCTCACCGGAGGCGGGCAGCTGCTCGTCACCGAGACCCGAGACCCACGGTGCGGCGGCTCAACCTGGGCCACGCTCCGCTCTAGAGGAGTGGGCGGTGCCTCCCGGCCTAGCTGCCGGGGTCTAGGCGTTTCCGAGGACGGCGCGTTCCGGGAAAGGCGGGTCCGGTGGCTATACCCTCCACCCAGTGGCAGGACTCAACCGCCTCGGAGACCCTGCAGGGCCGCCCTTCTCACTCACCTCCTGTGCTCGGCGCGCACCCAGCTCGGAAGCGGGAAGGTGGCCGGCGTTCTCTCCCTGCGCACACACGCAGCCTCCCCGCATCCGCACGCACGGCCGGGCGCGCGCAGACCACGCGCCAGGGCCGCGGCCGGAAGCCCCTGGCTGCACGCGCGGGCCCAGGCGGCCCCCAGCCCTGTGAGCTCGCATGGCGCGCCCTCTGGGTCCTCGCGGTCACCTTGCATTCCGAGCACGGCCGTGTTATGTATGCCTTTAGTTGATGCTGGCCAAAATTAGACAACTTAGTGGCAGACGTCGAGCTAGAATTTTTGTTTGAGATCCTTTTTCCCTGGTCGTCTTTCCAAACTGCGTGAGTGCATGGCCTCGAGGCGGCCCTGGAGGGATTTTCTTGTTAAACTTCATACAGAACTAATTAGGAAAGAGGAAATCTTAGGAGGAGTTCTTTGCTGTCTCAGAAGAAATGCCAGTTCTTCTTCCGGAATCGATGGGGAATGGAATGGGGGTAAGAGAGACACGTCAGGTTTCAATGGCCTGTGTATGGATGGGAGTCCCAGGGAGTTGCTTTTGTACACCTGAGCATAGCTGACCTAAACTCCCAGATCCATCTCCTCAAACTCCTTTTACCAAGATGTGCAGTATTGATTGTACTGGTCCTTTCCTCAAAATCAAGTGGGTCTGGATCATGTATTTAACCACTACCAAGCTCAGCCATGAGCACCACCCCTGATTGTAACCCACACATTTGCATCAAGACTAAACGTGGCCCACCATTTCTTTTTGTTTACTGACTCTTTGGCCTGACTGCTTCTTCCTTATAGCCTTTTTCTGCAAAATTACTTAGGATAGTTTGAAGGTTCTCTGAAAATAATAGGGGTGAATATAGAGATCAAAATGGATATACAACAAAAGTAAGTTTAGATAGTAGCAGTGTAAGTCAAGGACTTAGTTGACACTGCATAAATAATCAGATCTAAATTATAATAATCAGATCTAAATTATGGTTGAGATTGTTTTCCTGGTTCCAGCCTTGGCAGGTAGCTGTGTCCTTTGCAGAGGGTAAAGTGATTGCTGCCCTGCTGCACGCCTTTATCACAGCCATTCTTCACCCTACCTGGGCTGACAGTTCACCTCACTAAGTCAAGGAGGTCCATTAATAACAAAACCAGACAGGTTTCACTGCAGATAGATTAATATGCTGAAAAAATAGACCTCTTATTTGGAAGAATGCTTTAGGGCATTAATACTATATTTTACAAATTCCGTTTCTTAAAATTTTAGAAAAGTTGTATTTCAATACTCATTTTTAAAATGTTTTGAATGTCCTTTGAGTAACCAGCAGGTATATGTGCTCATAGCTGCCAAAACTTCCCTGGAATGCAAAGCAGAGCCATGGACAACAGATTGGGGTAAGAAATTCTCCTAAATGAAGTAAGTGAGACAAAAAGGCCCAAAACCTTTATGAGATTATTTCCTTTGAAGCAGTCTCCTTTTTCTTTGTGTAGCATTTATCAGCTTGTGATTGAGTCATCTATTGCTGCAGATCGAACTCTCCCAAAATATAGTTGCTTGCAAAAATGTCAATTTAATATTTCTCATAATTCTGAAGGTTGGTTATGTGGTTCCTCTCTGGTTTTGATTTGGCTCACTCGTATAGATACATTCAGCTGTAGCAGGGGTTGGCCAAGTTTTCTGTAAAACAGGATCAGATAGTAAATATTTTAGACTTTGTCTCTGTCACATATTCTTTTTTATTTAATTTTTATAAACTATTAAAAACCCAAAGCTATTCATAGCTCAAGGGCCATACAGAAGCAGGCTATGGCCTACAGGCTGTAGTTTGCTGATCCCTGAACTGGAGAATCAGCTAAGCTGAAAGTCCAAGGTGGCCTCACTCATGTGTCTGCTGTTGGCTCCATGTGGCCTCTTATCCTGCAGTAGGCTATGTTTTTGGTCTGTGGGCAACATCCAGAAGAGAGCAGGCAGAAGCTGTAAAATTTCTTAAGGCCTAGACTTGGGAGTCACACAAGATCATATATGCCAAATTCTACAAATCAAAGCAAATTGTGAGGCCTCTCCAAATCCAAGGGGCAGGCAAATAGTCTCTGCCTCTTGATGGAAGGAGCTGCAGATAATGTGGCCAGAACTAGCTAAACTAAGTGGCAGGAACCTTATTCTTGAAAGTAAATCATCAAACTTCAAATTTATGATATCTGATGGCAGCTATTGTTCTTACTCACTTCTCTCCCCAAACTACCCAAACCTGTTTATAATTCTGTGAGCACTCACTTGCCTCAGAACTTGTTTACAGATGTCTCTGCCATGAGATTATCAGCAACCTGAGGGAAGAGACAGGCCCTACCGCACTGCCTTGCTGTAATATATCTTCAATAGATATATATGGAATTTAGCTGAATAGCCTTACTGAGGTTTAAAGTCAGGTTATTTGCTTACTTCACAAAAGCAAAATAAATTTAAGTATCCTGCACTATCTACAAATTCCAGAAGAAAAGCACACATCAAAGAGTTATATGTCACACTCACATACCATCTGACCAATAAGATGGAAACCTTCCTAGCAATTTTCCGAACATATAATCAAGAGTTAGGAAGCCATATGCCTAATGATAAGTTTGAACTAGCAGTCACCTTTAAGGCTATATTACATTTTAACCTTAAATTTGTCTGCAGATGAAAATTGAAATGTAACAACAGTTCTTTCGTAATATGTGCTATATATGTTTCAAGGCAGATGTGGTTCTGGGCAGGGTTTCTAATCTACAGGAAATGCTTCTACTAATTGTTCAGTTGAATTTTTCAATATGTGCCTTCTCCAAAATCTGACTGTGACTGTCTTCTTCCACTTGATGGAAAGCTTTGACAATTTATTATGCTTAGAAGCAGCTGGGGTGTATTTCTAATTGATGATTTGTTATATTTCTTACTTGACTATCCACATCTTTCATTCTCTTCAGCATTTTCCTCCAGCACTTCCTGTCTTACTGAATTTGATATATGACACTGCCTTTGTGCAAATGTAGACAATATCTTCAGCCTTCTGCCTCTGTCCTTCAGATTACAAATACATGCGAGAGTCATGCTAGTAACACGTATGTGACACTTAAACATTAATACAGTATATTCACATACACTTTATCAGTTGATTATTAATACACCAATACTGTGGAGGTGGATACTGTCATTACTATCATTTGGCAGGTAGGGAAACTGGCGAACAAATGTCTCAGAGATACCTCAAACTTAACATGTCTAGGCCAACCTCAGTACCTTCCCATAAAATGTGCTTATTCTCCTGGATTCCTGATTTGTATAAAGCAGCTCCATTTATCACTCATCCAAGTTCAAATCTCACTTCATCCTTCTTTCTATTCCACATGTCCAGTCAGTCACCAAGTCCCTGTGGATTCTCTCTCTTTCTCCCTCTCCTCTCTGAGATGCCTGCAGCCAAGAAAGCCTCATTCTTCATTTAGGTTTGTATCAGAGCTTTCTGTCTGCTCCCTTGACTTCCAAGTTGCCCATCAGGTCCTTCAGATTACCACTAGGCTGTCTTCCTCAAACCCAGATCTTGTCAGGCATTCCTATTTTAAATTGGTCAGTGACTTCCCACAGGGCACAATCCAAAGGGCTACAGAACCTTTTGTAATCTACCTCAGCCTACCAGCTCCTGCCATGCATGCATTTTCATGCACTGTCATTGTGCCCACTGTTACCTCAGAGTACAGTTTTATTCTCTGAGTCCCTCCATCCCAGAACCACACCCATCTGACTCATCCAAGTCCCACAACCACTATAGTAATGCTTCTCAAACCTAAATGTGCATAGGAATCACTGGAGAATCTTATTAAAAGCAGATTCTGATTCATTAGGTCCTGGATAGGGCTGGAGATTCTGCCTATTAACAAACCAACTGTGCAGGGCACGGTGGCTCATGCCTGTAATCTCAGCACTTTGGGAGGCTGAGATGGGCAGATAGCTTGAGCTCCTGAGTTCAAGACCAACCTGGGCAACATAGCAAAACCCTGCCTCTACTAAAAATACAAAAATTAGCCTGGCATGGGGGCGTGCATCTGTAGTCCCAGCTACTCAGGAGGCTGAGCTGGGAGGATTGCTTGAGCTTGGGAGGTCAAGGCTGCAGTGAGCTGTGATTGCACCACTGCACTCCAGCCTGGGTGACAGAGCAAGACCTTGTCTCAAGACAAAAACAAAAACAGACAACCCACCAATTGGTAATAGGATACTGCTGGTTGTTAGGCTGCAATTTGAGTAGCAAGAGTCTAGAGCTGCACTGTTCAATAGAACTTTCTGCAATGATAAAAATGCTCTTAGGTGTTTTCTAATATTGTAGAAACTAATGACATGTAGCTATTGAATACTCGAAATGTAGCTAATGAGACTGAGGAACTGAATTTTAAATTTTACTTAGTTTAAGTTTCAGTAGCTACATGTGAGTAAGTGGCCACCATGTTGAACAATGCAGATGTATAGGAATCCCTTTCATCCTTCAAAACTCATTCAGACTTCTGGTTTTCAGTCCAGCATGTAAGACCTTAGAAGTCACCATTCCATCCTAATAACAAGTAAAAAGCTAAACAAACTTAAAAATACTTAACTCTTTGTATATTTTTTGGAAAAGTGAGGTTATGGGGCAAACTGCATTTCCCAAACTGGAGAGACAGACAGGTAGATACAGAGAATTACAGAATTAAAAGAAAAGAAAAAAAATGACATTTTGAGCTGGACAAATAAAAACAAACAACAAAACAAACAGAAAATACAGAGAATTATAACTTATCAGAGCAGAAAACCATGAGCTGAAATCTCTACAGGAACCAGTGCTGGGGTAGGAAAACCTAAACTGTTAAATGATGAATTGCTAGAAGTTCTGTGTTGGCAAGTCTGAGAGTTAAAAACTTCAGGGGGACCTAGTCATGGTGGGTGGAACCCATACTTTTAGTGTGTTTTAACTCCTGGAGTTCTACCAGGTTCACACAGTGAATATCAGAGAAAAACCCCCCAGTGCTTCCGGCGGAGGGAGGAGAAAAGAAACCATTTTGAAATGTGCCAGAACATTCTGTTCTTAACAAGAGCTGCCCTCAGAAGAAAGTAGCTAAGTGGAACCTAGCCTGCTGGGGTTTTATCAGAGCCTAACTGACCTGGAGGAAGGGAAATACTGAACTCCATTCCCTCTAGACTTCCACATATGAGAAGGGAAATACCCAAATCCAGCCCATTCTAGCTATCCTATCCTACCTAACATGTTAGGGGTGAGTATAGAAGTAAAGAACTGAGAGGCACTTGTGAAGTTCATGATCCAGAGGCACAGGCTCACTAAAAGACTGAGACCTAATCATAGGACTATAGAATGCTCCCCCACCTATACATACACCTTACCATCACATTACTAAAGGAACATCACAGCAATTTCTTTAACCCAGTACATTATGTCCAGTTATCAAGAAAAAATTACGAGGCATACTAAAAGGAAAAACACAGTTTGAAGAGACAGTACAAGCATCAGAACCAAATTCAAGATATGGTAGAGATGTTGGTATTAGACCACTAATTTAAAATAACTATGATTAATTTACTAAGAGCTTTAACACATAAAGTAGATAGCATGAAAAGACCAATAGGTAATGTAAGCAGAGAGATAGATAATTTAATAAGGTACCAAAAAAGATGGTAGAGATCAAAAGCACTGTAGCAGAAATGAAGAATGCCTTTGATGGTCTTAGTAGACTGGACACAGCTGAAGGAAAAAATCTCTGAACATGAAGCCATCTCAATAGAAACTGCCAAAACTGAAAAACAGAAAAAAGACTGAAAAAAAAGAAAACCTACCCAGAACAGAATATACAAGAGCTGTGGCTCAACTACAAAAGGCGCAACATGTGTAATGGGAATAACCAAGAGAAGAAAAAGAGAAAGAAACAAAAGAAATATTTGAAACAATAATGACAAAATTTCCCCTAAATTAATGTCAGACAGCAAACCACAAGTCCAGAAAGCTGAGAGAACACCAAGCAGAATAAATGTAAAAAACACCCACACCTAAGCATAATGTATTCAAACTACAAAAAAATCAAAGATAAAAGAAAATTCTGAAAGAAGTCAGTGAAATAAAACCCACCTTATCTATAGAGGAGCAAGGATAAGAATTACACCTGGTTTTTCCTCGGAAACCATGCAAGCAAAAAAAGAGTAGAGTGAAATATTTAAAGTGTTGAGAGAAGCAAACAAACTGGAATTCTGCAACATGTAAAATTATCCTTCAAAAGTAAAAAAAAAAAAAAAAAAAAAAAAAAAATTGAGGGAATTTGTTTCCAGTGGACTGCTTTGGAAGAAATGTTAAAAAAAAAAAAGTCCTTTAGAGAGAAGGAAAATAATAGAGGTCAGAAATTTGGACCTGTGTAAAGAAAAGAATAGCAATGGAGAAGGAGTAAATGAAGATAAAAATAATAACATTCTGACATGGTTTGAATCTGTGTTCCTACCAAAATCTCATGTTGAAATGTTATCCCCAATGCTGGAGGTGAGGCCTGGTGGGAGACAACTGGATCATGGGAGTGGTTTCTCATAGCTTAACATCATTGCCCCCTTGGTGCTGTCATTGCAATGAGCTCTCATGAAATCTGGTCATTTAATAGTGTGTGGCACCTCACTCCCCAACGCCCCCACACCTGCCAACACTTCCTCCTGCTCTGGCCATGTGAAGAGTTGGCTTCCCGTTCCTCTTCCACCATGATTGTAAGATTCCTGAGGCCTCCCCAGAAACTGAGTAGATGCTGCCTTGCTTCCTGTACAGCCTGTGGAACCATGAGCCAATTAAACCTCTTTGCTTTATATATTACCCAGTTTTAGGTATTTCTTTATGGCAGTGTGATAACCAACTAATATACTTTTTAAAATTCTTAATTGATCTGACAGATAACAGTTTGTTCAAGATAGTAATAACGTATTTGATTATGTATGTTTGTGTATGGCTATATATAACTGAAATGAATGAAAGCAATGAAACAAGGATAGGATGGAGAAATGAGGATTATTTTGTTATTACAAGGTACTCACACTACCCATGAAGTGGTATAGTGTTATTTGAAAGATGACTTGAACTTGTTTTAAATGTATATTGCAAACTCTAGGGCACCCACTAAAAAAAGTTTTAAAAAATAAATATAACTGCCGGGTGCGGTGGCTCACGCCTGTAATCCCAGAACTTTGAGAGGCTGAGGTCACGAGGTCAGGAGTTTGAGAACAGCCTGACCAACATGGTGAAACCCCGTGTCTACTAAAAATATGAAAATTAGCCAGGCATGGTGGCACACGCCTGTAATCTCAGCTACTCAGGAGGCTGAGGCAGGAGAATCACTTGAACCCAGGAGGCAGAGGTTGCAGTGAGCTGAGTTCGCACCACTGCACTCCAGCCTGGGCGACAGCGAGACTCCATCTCAAAAATAAATAAATAAATAAATATAACTGATATGCTAAGAAAGGAAAGAAGATGGAGTCATATAAAATGCTCAATTAAAAATTACAAAGGGCAGAAAATGTGGAGGGCAAAAGGTAGGAACAAAGAACAAGGGTGATGATATAGTTTGGATATTCATTTCCTTCAAATGTCATGTTGAAATTTGATTCCCAGTGTTGGAGGTGGGGCCTTGTGGGAGGTATTTGGGTCATGGAGGCAGATCACTTATAAATGGCTTGGTGCCATTCCTACAATAATAAGTGAATTCTCAGCTCTGTTCATTCATATGAGAGCTGATTGTTTAAGAGAACATGACATCCCTCTCCTCTCTCACTTGCTCCCTCTCTTGCCATATAATGCCAGCTTCCACTTCCCATTGCCATGATTGGCAGCTTCCTGAAGCCCTAGTCGGAAGCAGATATTGGCACGATGCTTCTTGTACAGCCTGCAGAATTGTGAGCCAAATAAACCTATTTTCTTTATAAATTACCCAGCCTCAGGTATTGTTTTATAGCAATACAAATGACTAAGAGGTGACAAGTAGAAAACTGTAACAAAAATGAGCTGGGAGCAGTGGCTTACACCTGTAATCCCAGCACTTTGGAAGGCTGAAGCCAGAGGGTCACTTGAAGACAGGAGTTTGAGACCAGCCTGGCCAACATGGTAAAACCCCATCTCTACTAAAAATATGAAAATTAGGTGTGGTGGTACACACCTGTAATCCTAGCTACTTGGGTGAGGCAGGAGAATCACTTGAACCCAGGAAGCGAAGGCTGCAGTGAGCCAAGACCACACTACTGTGCTCCAGCTTGGATGACAGCAAAACTCCATCTCAAAAAAATGAAAAAGCACTAATGAATATGGAAGATATTAATCCAACTATATGAATAATCACTTTGAATGTCCATGGTCTAAATGCACCAATTAAAAGACAGACATTGTCCAAGTGAATCAAAAGATAAGACCCAATTATTTTTTACAAAAAATCCATTTTAAATATAAATATATAAATTAAAAGTAGGTGGATAGGGAAAGATATACCATGGTAACACTAATTTTTGAAAGGTAGGGTAGCTACAATAACTTCAGATGGAGCAGACTTCAGAGCAAGGAAGGATATCAAGGATAAACAATGACATTACATAATGATATAGGGATAAATTCTCCAACAAGACATAACAATTCTTTTTTTTTTTTTTTTTTTTTGAGACGGAGTCTTGCACTGTTGCCCAGGCTGGAGTGCAGTGGCAGAATCTCGGCTCACTGCAAGCTCCAACTCCCAGATACACGCCATTCTCCTGCCTCAGCCTCCCGAGTATCTGGGACTACAGTTGCCTGCCACCACTCCTGGCTAATTTTTGTATTTTTAGTAGAGACGGGGTTTCACCATGTTAACCAGGCTGGTCTCGAACTCCTGACCTTGTGATCCACCCGCCTTGGCCTCCCAAAGTGCTGGGAATTCAAGCATGAGTCACCACACCCGGCCAAGACATAACAATTCATAATGTGAATACACTTAAAAACAGAGCATCAAAATATGGGAGACAAAAACTGATAGGATGACAACAAGAAATAGATGAATCTACCATTATAGCTGGAGACGTCCACATTTCTTTAACAGATGTGGACACATTCCGCAGGCAAAAAATCAGACTATAGTGGAACTCAACAACACCATCAATCAACTGGATATAATGGGCATCTATAGACTATCTCATCCAGTAACAGCAGAATACACATTTTTCTTAATCTCACATAGAACATTCTGCAAGATAGGTCACATTCTTGGCCATAAAACACACCATAACCCATTTAAAAGAATAAAAAGCATACAGTGTCTGCCCTCAGACTACAGTGGAATTAAACTAGAAATCAATACCAGAAAGACAGCTGGAGAATCCCCAAATACTTGGAGATTAAACAACATGCTTCGAAATGAAACATGGGTCAAAAAGTAACTCTCAAGATAAATTTTAAAATATTTTCAACTAAATGAAAACAAAAACACAAGTTATCAAACTTCATGGGATGCAATGAAAGTGCTTAAAGGGAAATTTATAGCATTGAATACTTAAAGAAAAAAGATCCAAAAATCAATCATATAAGCTTTCATTTTAGGAAACAAGAAAAAGAAGGCCAAATTAAAATCAGAGAAAGATAAATATTATAGCAAAAATTAATGAATTGAAAATATGAAATCAGTAGAAAAACCAATGAAGCTAAAAGCTGGTTCTTTGAAAAGATCAATAAAATTGATAATTATCTAACCCTGCTAACTGTATTAGGCCATTCTTGCATTACTACAAATAATTAGCTGAGACTAGGTAATTTATAAAGAAAAGAGGTTTAATTGGCTCATGGTTCTGCAGGTTGTACAACCATGTCACTGGCATCTGCTTGGCTTCTGCGGAGGCCTTAGTGAGCTTTTAGTCATGGCAGAAGGCAAAACGATAGCTGGCACATCACAAGGCAAAAGCAGGAGCAAGAGAGGGGTGGAGGAGGTGCCACACACTTTTAAATTACCAGATCTCATGAGAACTCACTCACTGCCTTGTGGACAGCACCAAGCTGTGAGGAATCCACCCTCATGACCCACACACCTCCCATCAGGCCCCACCTCCAACACTGGGGATTACATCTCAACACGAAATTTGGATGAGGACAAATATTCAACCTGTGTCACTAAGAAAAAAGAGGAGACAAAATGCTAATATCAAAAATGAAAAAGGGGACACTAAAGAGCCCAGAGACATTGAAAGGGTAATCAAGAAATATTCTGAACAATTCTAGGTCCACAAATTTGATAACCTAGATGAAATGGAAGAACACTTTGAAAGACAATATTTGCCAAAACTCAAACAAGGAGAAATAGACAATCTGAACCAGCCTATATCTATCAAAAATATTGAGTCAATAATTAATGACCTTGCAAAATAGAAAGAAGCAGGCTTAGATGTGTTCACTGGTGAATTCTACCAAAAATTAAAGGAAACTTCAGAAGATAGAAGCAAGAGCTTCTGGCTAGCTGACCACATGAGGGTTCCTGGAGAGGGGGCATACCCAGGGAAGACAGAGAAATGCCATGCACCCTCCCCCATACGTTACCCCATGTATCACTTCTTCTGTATCCTTTGTAATAAACTTGAAAATTTAAAAAAGAAGAAGATGAAAACAGAGAGAATACTTCTTAACTTATTCTATGAGGCCAGCATTACTCTAATACCAAAACCAGGCAAAGGCATTACAAGAAAAGAAAACTACAGAGATATCTTACATAAACATAAATGCAAATGTCCTCAACAAAATATTATCAAATCAAATCCAACAATGTTAAAAACTATTATACACCACAAGTAAGTGAGATTTATTGTAAGTCTGGTTCAGCATTCAAAAAAAGCAGTGAATATAATCTGTCACATCAAAAGACTAAAGAGGAAAAATCACATGATCATATCAATAGATGCAGAAAAAGCATTCGACAAAATCCTGCATCCATTAATGGATAAAATAACAATAAAGGCTCAGTAAACTGAAATAGTGCAACTTCCTCAACTTGATTTTTAAAAACCTATTAACAAAATCCTGTGAAAATACCAATGAAATTCTTCACGGAAATAGAGAAAACAATTCTAAAATTTATATGAAACATAAAAGACTCAAAATAGCCAAAGCTATTGTAAGTAAAAAGAAAAAACTGGAGGAATCACCTTACCTGATGTCAAATTATGCTACAGTAAAACAGTATGGTACTAGCATAAAAACAGACACCTAGGCCAATGGAACAAAACTGAGAACCCAGAAACAAACCCACACGCCTACCATGAACTCGTTTTTAACAAAGTTGCCAAGAACATACGCTGGGGAAAAGACAATGTCTTCAATAAATGGTGCTGGGAAACTGGATATCCATATGCAGAAGAATGAAACTAGACCCCTGTCTCTTGCCATATATTAAAATAAAAATGGATTGAAAACTTAAATATAAGACCTCAAATTATGAAACTACTACAAGAAAACATTGGAGAAGCTCTCCAGGACATTGGTCTGGGCAAAAATTTCTTGAGCAATACCCCACAAGCACAAGCAACCAAAGCAAAAATGGACAAATGGGATCACATCAAGTTAAAAAGCTTCTGCACAGCAAAGGATACAATCAACAAAGTGAAGACAGCCAACAGGATGGGAAAAAATATTTGCAAACTACTCATCAGGCAAGGGATTAATAACCAGGATATATAAGGAGCTTACACAAGTCTATAGGAAAAAAATCTAGTAATCCAGAAAAATATGGGCAGTAGATTTGAATAGACATTTTTCAAAAGAAGACATACAAATGGAAAACAGGTGTATGAAAATGTGCCCAACATCACTGATCATCAGAGAAATGCAAATCAAAACTACAATGAGATATCATCTCACCCCAGTTAAAATAACTTATATCCAAAAGGCAGGCAATAACAAATGCTGACAAGGATGTAGAGAAAAGGAAACCCCCATACACTGTTGGTGGGAATGTAAATTAGTACAACCACTATGGAGAACAGTTGGAGATTCCTAAAAATAAATAAAAATTGAGTCACCGTATGATCCAGCAATCTCACTGCTGGATATATACTCAAAAGGAAAGAGATATCTGCACTCCTATGTTTGTTGCAGCACTGTCTAAAATAGTAAGATTTGGAAGCAACCTAAGTGTCCATCAACGGATGAATGGATAAAGAAAATGTGGTACATATACACGATGGATTACCATTCAGTCCATGAGGGCCAGGCGCGGTGGCTCTTGCCTGTAATCCCAGCACTTTGGGAGGCCGAGGCGGGCAGATCACTAGGTCAAGAGATAGAAACCATCCTGCCTAACATGGTGAAACCCCATCTCTACTAAAAATGCAGAATTATCTGGACCTGGTGTCATGTGCCTGTAGTCTCAGCTACTTGGGAGGCTGAGGCAGGGGAATCGCTTGAACCCAGGAGGTGGAGGTTGCAGTGAGCCAAGATCCTGCCACTGCACTCCAGCCTGGGAGACAGAGCAAGACTCCGTTAAAAACAAAACAAAACAAAACAAAAAAGGTCCTTTCATTTTGTAACAATATGAATGGAACTGGAAGTCAGGAAGTCATTATGTTAAGTGAGATAAGCCAGCCACAGAAAGACAAACATTGGGTGTTCTCACTTGTCGGATTTTAAAAGTGAAAACAATTGAATACATGGACATAGAGGGTAGAAGGATGGTTACCAGAAGCTGGGAAGGGTAGTGGGGGTCTGGGGGGTAGGTGGGGATAGTTAATGGGTACAAAAGAAAATAGAAAGAATAAATAAGGCCTACTATTTGATAGTACAATGGGGTGACTATCATCAATAATACCTTAATTGTATACTTTAGAGTAACTTAGAGAATGTAATTGGATTGTTTGTAACTCAAAGGATAAATGCTTGAGGGGATGGAAAATAATCTATAAAAAAAACCCTCCTCATCAAAATGCCAATGAAATTCTTTGAAGAAATGGAAAAAAAATCCCCAAATTTATATGGAACCACAAAAGACCCTGAATAGGCAAAGCAACTCTGACCAAAATGGACAAACTGGAAGGATCACACTACCAACTTCAAAATATACTACAAAGCTATAGTAACCAAGTCAGCATGGGACTGGCATAAAAATAGACACATAGACCAATGTAACAAAATAGAGAACCCAGATACAAATCCATGGATTTACTGCTATTAATAACATTTTGACAGTTACCAATAACATACAATGGGGAAAGGACAGTCACATCAATGTGAAAATTCTCAACAAAATACTGGCAAACAGAATCCAACAGCACATCAAAAAGCTTAACCGTCACGATCAAGTCAACTTCATCCCTGGGATGCAAGACTGGTTCAACATATGCAAATCAATAAACATAATCCATCACGTAAACAAAACCAATGACAAAAACCACATGATTATCTCAATAGATGCAGAAAAGGCCTTCGATAAAACTCAATACCCTGTCATGCCAAAACCCTCAATAAAGTAGGTATTGATGGTACATGTCTCAAAAAGAGCTATTTATGACAAATCCACAGCCAATATACTGAATGGGTAAAAGCTGGAAGCATTCCCTTTGAAAACTGGCGCAAGACAAGGATGCCCTCTCTCACCACTCCTATTCAACATAGTATTGAAAGTTCTGGCCAGGGCAATCAGGCAAGAGAAAGAAAGAAAGGGTATTCAATTAGGAAAAGAGGAAGTCAAATTGTCTCTGTTTGCAGATGACATGATTGTCAACTCAAGCCATTGCTTCAGTGGGTGCAAGCCCCAAGCTTTGGTGGCTACTATTTGGTGTTGGGCCTGTGGGTGCGCAAAAGACAACAGTTGAGGTTTGGGAACCTCCACCTAGATGTCACAGGATGTACGGAAACTCCTGGATGTCCAGGCAGAAGTCTATTGCAGGGGTGGAGCCCTCATGGAGAACCTCTACTAGGGCAGTACAGAGGGGAAATGTGGGATTGGAGCCTCCACACAGAGTCCCCACCAGGGCACTGCATAGTGGACCTGTGAGAAGAGGGCCATTATCCTCCAGACCCTAGAATGGTAGATCCACCAACATCTTGCACTATGCACTTGGAAAAGCTGTAGACACTCAAGGCCAGCCCATGAAAGCAGCTGGAGGGGCTGTACCCTGCAGAGCCAGAGGGGTGGAGCTGCCTAAGGCCTTGGGAGCCCACCTCTTGCATCAGCATGCCCTGTATATGAGACATGAAATCAAAGGAGATCATTTCGGAGCTTTAAGATTTAATGGCTACCCTGCTGGGTTTTGGACTTGCATGGGGCCTGTAACCCCTTTGTTTTGGCCAATTTCTCCAATTTGGATTGGGAACATTTACTCAATGTCTGTACCACCATTGTATCTTGGAAGTAACTAACTTGGGAACATTTACTCAATGTCTGTACCACCACTGTATCTTAGAAGTAACTAACTTGTTTTTGATTTTACAGGCTTATAGCCAGAAGAAACTTGCCTTGTCTCAGATGAGACTTTGGACTTGGACTTTTGGGTTAATGCTGGAATGAGTTAAGACTTTGGGAGACTGTTGGAAATGCATGAATGTAAAAAGGACATGAGATTTGGGAGGAGCCACAGGCAAAATGATATGATTTGGCCCTGTGTCCCCACCCAAATCTTATCCTGAATGGTAATCCCCATGTGTTGAGGGAGGGACCTGGTGGGAGGTGATTGGATCATGGGTTTGGTTTCCCCTATGCTGTTCTCATGATAGTGAGTAAGTTCTCAAGAGATCTGATGGTTTAAAAGTGTGACACTTCCCCGCCATTCTCTTTCTCTCCTGCCACCCTGTAAGATGTGCCTTGCTTTCCCTTTGCCTTCTGCCATGACTGTAAGTTTCCTGAGGCTTCCCCAGCCATGTGTAACTGTGAGTCAAGTAAACTTCTTTTCTTAATAAATTACACAGTCTCAGGTAGTTCTTTATAGCAGTGTGAAAACAGACTAATACATTCACTATTGGACGTATATCCAGAGGAAAGGAAATATATTGAAGAGATATCTCCACTCCCATGTTTATTGCAGTATTATTCACAAAAGCCAAAATATGGAATCATCCTAAATGCCATGAATGGAGGAATGGAAAAAGAAAATGGTATATATACAATGAAGTAAAAAGAATGAAATTCTGTTATTTGCAGCAACATGGGTGAAACTGAAGGTCATTATGTTAAGTAAAATGAGCCAAGCTGAGAAAGATAAATATCATGTGTTCTTACATATGTGGGAGCTAAAAAAGTGGATTTCATGAAGATGGAGAGAAGATTGGTGATTACCAGAGACCAGGAGAGGTAGGAGGGAGGGAAATGAAGAGAGGTTGATTAATGGGTACAATTAGATAGAAAAAATAACACTTAGCACTCAGTAGATCAGAAGGGGATTATAGTTAATATTAATCTATGGTACATTTCAAAATAGCTAGAACAGAATAACGTAGATGTTCTTAGCATAGAAGTAATGGATGTCTCAATAACCTTGATTTTTACACTTTATATGAATGTATCAAATAATCATATTTACCCTACAAATATGTTCATCTGTTATTTATCAATAAAAGCCAAATCCTATACTATGTTGAATAGGAGTGGTGATAGAGGACATCCTTGTCTTGTGCCAGTTTTCAAAGGGAATGCTTCTAGCTTTTGCCCATTCAGTATGATATTGGCTGTGGGTTTGTCATAAATAGCTCTTATTATTTTCAGATACATTCCATCAACACCTAGTTTACTGAGTGTTTTTAGCATAAAGGTGTATTGAATTTTATCGAAGGCCTTTTCTGCATCTATTGAGATAATCATGTGTTTTTTGTCAGTGGTTCTGTTTACGTGATGGATTATGTTTATTGATTTGTGTATGTTGAACCAGACTTGCATCCCAGGGAAGAAGCTGACTTGATCATGGTCATTTTAATGTGCTGCTGAGTTTGGTTTGCCAGTATTTTATTAAGGATTTTCACATAAATGTTAATCAGGAATATTGGCCTGAAATTTTCTTCTTTTGTTATGTCTCTGCCAGGTTTTGGTATCAAGATGATGCTGACCTCATAAAATGAGTTAGGGAGAGGTCCCTCTTTTTCTATTGTTTGGAATAGTTTCAGAAGGAATGGTACCAGCTCCTCTTTGTACCTCTGGTAGAATTCGGCTGTGAATCTGTCTAGTCCTGGGCTTTTTTGGTTGGTAGGCTATTAATTACTGTCTCAATTTCAGAGGCAGTAATTAACTGGTCTATTCAAGGATTCCACTTCTTCCTGGCTTAGTCTTGGAAGTGTTTATGTGTCCAGGAATTTATCCATTTATTCTTAGATTTTTCAAGTTTATTTGCAGAGAGGTGTTTATAGTATTCTCTAATGGTAGTTTGTATTTCTGTGGGATTAGTGGTGATATCCTCTATCATTTTTATTGTGTCTATTTGATTCTTCTCTCTTTTCTTTTTTATTAGTCTGGCTAGCAATCTATCTATTTTGTTAATCTTTTGAAAAAACTAGCTCCTGGAAGTTCAGGCTAGGGTAATCAGACAAGAGAAAGAAATAAAGGGTATTCGAATAGGAAGAGAGGAAGTAAAATTATCTCTGTTTGCAGATGACATGATTTTATATTTAGAAAACCCCATCATCTCAGGCCAAAAACTCCTTAAGCTGATAAGCAACTTCACAAAGTCTCAGGATACTTAATCAATCTTATAATCATACTTATAAGAATGCTTGTGCAAAAAGCACAAACATTCTTACACACCAATAATAGACAAGCAGCCAAATCATGAGTGAACTCCCATTCACAAGTGCTACAAAGAGAATAAAGTACCTAGGAATACAACTTACAAAGGATGTGAAGGACCTCTTCAAGGAGAACTACAAACCACTGCTCAAGGAAATAAGAGAGAACACAAACAAATGGAAAAACATTCCATGCTCATGGATAGGAAGAATCAATATCATGAAAATGGCCATACTGCCTAAAGCAATTTATAGATTCAATGCTATTCCCATCATGCTACCATTGACTTTCTTTACAGAATTAGAAAAAACTACCTTAAATTTCATGTGGAACCAAAAAAGGGCCCATATAGCCAAGACAATCCTAAGCAAAAAGAACAAAGCTGGAGGTATCACGCTATCTGACTTCAAGCTATACTACAAGGCTACAGTAACCAAAAGAGCATGGTACTGGTACCAAAACAGATATATAGATTAATGGAACAGAACAGAGCCCTCAGAAATAACACCACACATCTACAACCATCTGATCTTTGACAAACCTGACAAAAAAGCAATGGGGAAAGGATTCCCTATTTAATAAATGGGGTTGGGAAAACTAGCTAGCCAGATGCAGAAAACTGAAAGTGGACCCCTTCTTTATGCCTTATAAAAAATGACTCAAGATGGATTAAAGACTTAAACATAAGAACTAAAAGCATAAAAACCCTAGAAGAAAACCTCGGCAATACCATTCAGGACATAGGCATGGGCAAAGACTTCATGACTAAAACACCAAAAGCAATGGCAACAAAAGCCAAAATTGACAATGGGGTCTAATTAAACTAAAGAGCTTCTGCACAGCAAATGAAACTATCATCAGAGTGAACAGGCAGCCTGCAGAATGGGAGAAAATTTTTTGCAATCTATCCATCTGACAAAGGGGCTAATATCCAGATTCTACAAGGAACTTAAAACAAATTTACAAGAAAAAAACAACCCCACCAAAAAGTGGGCGAAGGATATGAACAGACACTTATCAAAAGAAGACATTTATGCAGCCAACAAAGATGAGAAAAATCTCATCATCACTGGTCATTAGAAAAATGCAAATCAAAACCACAATGAGATACCATCTCATGTCAGTTAGAATGGCAGTCATTAAAAAGTCAGGAAACAACAGATGCTGGAGAGGATGTGGAGAAATAGGAATGCTTTTACACTGTTGGTGGGAGTGTAAATTAGTTCAACTGTTGTGGAAGACAGTGTGGTGATTCCTCATTGTGGAAAACAGTGTGGTGATTCTATATCTAGAACTGGAAATACCACTTGACCCAGCAATCCCATTACTGGGTATATATTCAAAGGATTATAAATCATTCTACTATAAAGACAGATTCTACTATAAAGACACATGCACACATATGTTTATTGCAGCACTCTTTACAATAGCAAAGACTTGGAACCAACCCAAATGCCCATGAATGATAGACTGGATAAAGAAAATGTGGCACATATATGCCATGGAATACTATACAGCCATAAAAATGAATGAGTTCATTTCCTTTGCAGGGATGTGGATGAAGCTGGAAACCGTCATTCTCAGCAAACTAACACAGGAACAGAAAACCAAACACTGCATGTTCTCACTCATAAGTGGGAGTTGAACAATGAAAACATATGGACATAGGGAGGCAAACAGCACACACCAGGGCCTGTCAGGGTGGGAGGCAAGGAAAGGGATAGCATTAGGAGAAATACCTAATATAGATGACAGGTTTATGGGTGCAGCAAACCACCATGGCACATATATACCTACGTAACAAACCTGCACATTCTGCACATGTATCTTAGAACTTAAAGTATAATTTAAATAAAAAAACAACAGAAAAACACAAATCCTAGGGCACAAAATTTTAAAAAGGTTGTCCTAATGGGCCGGGTGTGCTGGCTCACGCCTGTAATCCCAACACTTTGGGAGGCCAAGGCAGGCGGATTACCTGAGGTCAGGAGTTCAAGACCAGCTGGCCAACATGATGAAACCCTGTCCCTACTGAAAATACAAAAATTAGCTGGGTGTCATGGCAGACGCCTGTAATCCAGCTACTCGGGAGGCTGAGGCAGGGGAATCAGTTAAACCTAGGAGTTGGTGTTTACAGTGAGCTGATATCGCACCGCTGCACTCCAGCCTGGGAAACATAGTGAGACTCTGTCTCAAAAAAAAAAAAAAATTGACTTGGTGGTGGTTAACTAGAAGCTCTCCTGTAAGATCAAGGAGCAAGGCAAGGATATGCCCTCTCACCACTGCTTTTTAACATCATACTGAAAGTGCTAGATAATGCAATAAGACAAGAAAAGAAAATAAAGGCATACAGATTGAAAAGAAGGAACTAGAACTGACTTTGTTCACAGATAACATGATCGTCTACATAGAAAACCCAGAAGAATTAGCAAAAAAAGGAAAACTCTCCAGGAACTAATAAGTGATTATAAGAATGTCACAGGATTCAAAGTTAATATACAAAAGGCAAATGTTTTTCTATATACCAGCAAAAAGCAGATGGCATTTAAAATTAAAACACAATATTATTTACATCAGCACTCCCAAATGGACACATTAGCAGGATCTATATAAGGAAAACCACAAAAATCTCATAAGAGAAATAAAAGAATTAAATAGGGAAATATTCCATGTTTATAGATAGAAAACTTAATATTGTCAAGATGCCAGTTCTTCCCGTTTATAGATTCAATGCAATGCCAGCCAAAATTACAGCAAGTGATTTTATGTATGTTAACAAAATAATTCTAAAGTTTATGTAGAGTGTCAAAAGACTTAGGGTAGTCAATACAATATTAAAGGAGTTATAAAGTTGAAGGACTGACACTTACATGACTTCAAGACTTATTATAAGACTACAGTAATCAAATTATGTGGTATTAGGGAAAGAAAAGACAAATAAATTAGTGTAATGAAATAGAAAACCTAGAAATAGATCCACAAAAAAATAATCAACTGACCTTTAAAGATTCATATTGCAAAGACAATACAAAAAAAAATCTTTAAACAAATGGTGCTGGAATGACTGGATATCCTCCTGCCAATAAAAAGAAATGAATCTACACACAGACCTTACACCCTTCTTAAAAATCAATTTGAAATGGATCACAGATCTAAATGTAAAATGCTATGAATCTCCTAGAAGATAATGTAGAAAAATATTTATATAAGCTTAGTTTGGTGATGACTCCTTAGAGGCAACACTGAAGGCACAATACATGAGAGAAAGAACTGATAAGCTGGACGTCATGAAAATTTGTTTTCTGTGAAAGACACTGTCAAGTGAATAAAAAGACAAGCCAAAGACTGGGAGAAAATATTTGCAAAACATATATCTCATAAAGATCTGTTATTCAAAATATACACAGAACCCTTAAAACTCAAAAATAAGAAAACAAACAACCTGACTAAATACTGGGCCAAAGACCTTAATAATGCAAGTACTAGAAAGCATGAATGACTTTTTTTTTATAATAGGGGAGAGGGAAAACTTTACAAGCTATCACTCAAAATTAAGCTCTGAGCACTTTGGGAGGTCAGGGAGGGAGGATTGCTTGAGACCAGGAGTTCAAAACCAGCCAGGGCAACATAGCAAGACCCATCTCTACAAGATTTTTTAAAAAAATTATCTGGGCATGATGGCATGCACCTATAGTCCTAGCTACTTGGGAGGCTGAAGTGAGAGGATTGCTTGAACCCAGGAGTTCAAGGCTGCAGTGAGCCATGATCACACCACTGCACTCCAGCCTAGGCAACAGAGTGAGACTCTGTTTAAAAAAGAAAAAAGAATCAATAAAAAACATAAATGATGTGTCTATATATAAACTTTAAAACATTTTTATGAGGAAAAACAACACAGTAAAAAATGACAACTTGGAAGAAATATTTATAATTATTTTTATAGATTTATAATTAGATATAATTTATAATTAGATATAATTAGATATATAATTATAATTATAATTGTTTTATAATTATATTATTAGATGACTAATATTTTTCCCAATATTTCATTATGAACATTTTGAAACATAAAGTTTTATAGGCAACACCCAAAATCCATCACATACATTCTCCCATTAATATTTTACTCTACTTGTTTAATTATATTATATAGAATTTATCCATTTTTTATGCATTTCAAAGTAAATTGCACACATCAATATACTTCTTTCTAAGTATTTCTGCATGTATATCATTAACCATTTCTGCATGTATATCATTAAATACTTCCCTCTAAGTATTTCTGCATGTATATATAACCATGTATAGCTCAGTATTTGTTTACAGGTTTTTCTCCCAATGTAAAATATAAATACAATGAAATTCAAAAATCTTAAGTGTGCATTACTGATTTTTGACAAATGCATACATCTATCAAACCCCTATCCAGAGGGATGATTTTTTTCAGTGGTTTATACAAGATCCAAGTTTATCTCTTTTTTACATAAATTGGGTCATCCAGGTGTGTTTGATTATGTCAGGGGCTTAAGGGCCTTTCTATTTTATTGTTCCTCCATTTTCAGCAACACAGCTAAAACCTTAAACCATCATATCTGTATTCCAGCTACTAGGAAGAAAAAAAGTGCAGAGAAGGACCTACCTCCTCCTTTCAAGGTCATTTCTAGAAGTTGCATGTGCTGCTCTGGTTATATCCCAGAACATAATCATATAGTAAACAAAGTTGCAAAGGAAGCTGGAAAATGTTGACTTTATTCTGGTCGCCAAATTTCCAGCTAAAAATAGGTGATTCTATTAATAAGGAAGTAGGAGTGACTGGCTTTTGGGAAACAAGTAGTAGTCTGTATCATAGGCATTTTTATTTAGTTTTTTCCCTTCATGTTCCCTATATCCAAAGGGCCGATATTAATAAAATATAGAGAGTTCCAAAAATGTTGAGAAGAAAAAATACCAACAGTGCAATAGAAAAATTGGTAAAACAGCTACTCAGGGGGCTGAGGCAGGAGAATTGCTTGAACCTGGGAGGCTGAGGTTGCAGTGAGCCAAGATCATGCCACTGCACTCCAGCCTGGGTGACAGAGCAAGACTCTGTCTCAAAAAAAAAAAAATTTAATTAAAAAAATAAAGAAAAATGAGTAAAAGATATGAATGGACAGTTCCAAAGAAAACGAAATGGACCCTAAACATATAAAAAGATGTCAGACCATGCAGAGTGGCTCATGCCTGTAATCCCAGCACTTTGGGAGGCTGAGCTGGGAGGATTACTTGAACCCAGGAGTTTGAGACTAGTCTGGGCAACATAGAGAGACCTCATCTCTACAAAAAATTTTAAAAAATTAGCTGGGTGTGGTGGTACATGCCTGTAGTCTCAGCTACTTGGGAGGCAGAGGTGGGAGGATCACTTGGGCCCAGAAGGTCGAGGCTACAGCGAGCTATGATTACACCACTGCACTCCAGCCTGGGCAACAGAGTGAGACCCTGTCTTAAAAAAAAAAGAAAGATGCCCAACCTGCTTATAATAAAAAAATAATGCTTAATAGTGACCAACCCAAAAGGAAATTAAGAAAATCCCATTTACAACAGCATCAAGTAGAATAAAATAGTTTGCCTCCATGGAGGCAAAAGACTTGTGCAACTAAAAATGACAAAACATTGCTGAAAAAAATGAAAGAAAACATAAATAAATGGAAAGATATCCCATGTTCATGAATGAAAGACTTAATATTGTTAAGATAAGTTAACTACAGATTCAATGCAATCCCTCTCAGAATCAAACTATAGTTTTTGCATAAATAGAAATATCCATTCTAAAATTTATATGGAATCTCAAGGGACCCTGAAGAGAGCCAAACCAATAAAAATAACAGATTTGGAGGTCTCACACTTATTACAATTCTAAAAGTAATCAAAACAGTGTGGTATTGTCATAAAGACAGACATACGGACCAACGAAACAGTATAGGGAGCCCAGTAAATAATCCCTAACATATATGGTCAAATAATTTTCAAAAAAGTACCAAGATTATTCGTGGGGAGAGTAGAATCTTTTCAACAAATTATACTGGGAAAACTGGATATCCACATGCAAAAGAATGAAGTTGGACACTTAACACCATATACAAAAATTAGCTCAAAATGGATCAAAGGCCTATATATAACCACTAAAACTGTAAAACCCAGAAAAAAAAATATGGGGGAAAATCATGACATAAGTTTGACAATGATTTCTTAGGTATGACCAATGGTACAGGCAACAAAAAAAAAATGGAAAAACTGGACTTCATCAATATTAAAAAATTTTTGGGCGTCAAAGGACACTATGAATGGAGTAAAAAGATAAACCACAGAAAAGGAGAAGATATTTGCAAATCATATATCAGATAAGGAATTAATATCCAGAATATACACACAACTCCTAAAACTAAATATCAACAGCAACAACACAATTCAATTTAAAAAGTAGACAAAGTCTCTGGTTGTCTAGTGTCTAGGAAACAAACAAGTGGACAAAGGACTTTAATTGAGATTTCCTCAAAAAAGATACACAAATGGCCAAACAGGACATGAAAAGTTATTCAACATCACAAATTATTAGAGAAATGCAGATCAAAACCACAATAAAATATCACTTCAGATCCATTAAAATGGTTACTATAAAAAGACCCAAAAACTGTTGGTGCAGATGTGTAGAAACTGAAAGCCTTGTGCAATGCTAGTGGGAATGTAAAATTATGCAGCCACTAAGGAAAACAGTATGGTGGTTCCTCAAAAAATTAAACAGAATTACCATATAATCCAGCAATTTTACTTCTGGGTATACACACAAAATAATTCAAAGCAGGAATTTGAACAAATATTTGTACATTAATGCTCATAACAGCATTATTCACAATAGCCAAAAGGTGGAAACAACTCAAATGTCCATCAACAGATAAATGGAGAAACAAAATGTGGTATATACATACAATGAAATATTAGCCTTAAAAGAAATTACATTCTAATATATGACACAATGTGGATGAACCTTGAAGACGTAATGGCAAGTGAGATAAGCCAAACACAAAAGGATACATATTTTATGATTCCGCTTATATGAGGTACCTAGAATACTCAAATGCATGGAGACAGAAAGTAAAACAGTGGTTACCCAGAACTAAGGGGAGAAGAAATGTGAGTTATTGTTTAATGGGTTTGGACTTTCAGTTTGGAATGATGAAAAAGTTCTGGATGTGAGCTGTAGTGATGGTTACACAACAATGTGAATGTACTTCATGCCACTGAAGTGTACACTTAAAAGTGGTTAAAATGCTAAGTCTCAGGTATATTTTGCCACACCAATTTTTTTTTAAATAAATTTTAAAAAGAAGGCCAGGTGCAGTGGCTTGTGCCTGTAATCCCAACACTTTGGGAGGCCAAGTCAGGAAAACAGGTTGAATCTAGGAATTTGAGACCAGCCTGGGCAACAAAGTGACACCCTGTCTCTACAAAAAAAAAAAAAAAAAAAAGAAAAGAAAAACAAATTAGCTGGGCGCAGTGGCTCATACCTATAGTCCCCTGATGCAGTGACAACTCTTGCACCTATAGTCCCAGCTACTTAGGAGGCTGAGGTGGGAGGATTTCATGAGCCCAGAAGCTCAAGGCTTTGGTAAGCTATGATCATGCCACTGCAGTGCAGCTTGGGTGACAGAGCAAGACACCATCTGTTAAAAAAAGTTTGTTTTTAGACTGGACACAGTGGCTCATGCTTGTAATCCTAGTACTTTGGGAGGCCGAGGCAGGAGGATTCCTTGAGGCCAGGAGTTCAAGACCAGCCTAGGCAACATAATGAGATCTTCATCTCTACAAAAAAAGAGGGAGAAATACTAACTAAAAGTATATTGTGGCTGGGCGCGGTGGCTCACACCTGTAGTCCTAGCACTTTGGGAGGCTGAGGCAGGTGGATCGCCTGAGCTCAGGAGTTCAAGACCAGACTGGCCAACATAGTGAAACCCTGTCTCTACTAAAAATACAAAAATTAGCCAAGCGTGCTGGCAGCCTTCTGTAATCCCAGCTACTCGGGAGGCTGAGGCATGAGAATCGCTTGAACCTGGGAGGCAGTGGTTGCAGTGAGCCGAGATTACACCACTGCATTCCAACCTGGGCGATAAAGCAAGACTTTGTCTCAAAAAAAAAAAAAAAAAAAGTATATTGAGATGTCATTTTTCAGCCATCAGATTGACAAGAATACAAAAGCTTGGCAATGCAAGGCTGTGGGGAAACAGGCCTCTCTCATTGCTTTGGGAAGTTAAAAATGTTATACTCACTATGATGGGGAATTTGGTAATGTCTAAGAACATTAGGTGAGCATTTATCCTTTCATCCAACAATCCCATTTCTAGGACATCTCCCAAAGATACACCTGCAAAAAAATAAAATAAAATTATAGGCACAAAGTTATTTATGGTGACCTTATTTGCTATAGTAGAAAACCAGAAACAACCTAAACGTCCAGCTGTAGGGACTGGTTTAATAAACTGTGGTACATTTAAGCAATAGAGAATTATACAACTGTAAAAACAATGAGGAACACTTCTAGATGCTGGTATGGAACAATTGCCAGGATATATTATTAAGTGAAATAAAGCAAGATGCAGAACAATGTTTATGGTGTGCTACCTTTTGTGTGAAGGAAACAAATATATAAACATATTTGTTTGTTTTCAAAAAAGAAACAATGAAATGACATACTAACAAATGGACAAAAATGGTCTCCTCCATTTGGAGAGAGGGTGCAGGATGAAGAAGCAAGTACAGAAGGAAAGGTTCTATGGGTGCATCTTTTTATGTAGTTTTGGCTTTGGAACCATATAAACGAATTATGTATTTATACAATGGGAAAGACAAACCCCTGAAATCGAAAACAAAAGAAACAGAAACAAATGATTCTAACTATACATCATTTTGGCACTGAAACTGTGTAGAGAAAGTAATTCTTTCATTTTAAATTTCAGTACACCTCTAGTAGGATATATTCTACTAGGAAAAAGTACCACAAAAAAACCTACACTGCATTCAGTTGTCTTATTGTAATACTAATAATAACATGATACAGAAAAAGAAAAGCAAATATTTGTTTTAATTCCATTAGGAACTGAGATTTTCACAGTAAGAAAAAAGAGATCCAAGCATAAAATCAAAGAAGTTATGTACAAATTGTAAAGAATAATGACTGCGATGGATTAAAATATCAACTATATACAAATTTGTGAGCTCATTGTGATACTTCAAAAAATGCATTGGTTTCCATGGGAGGTTGCTAGATCACTAAGTGACTACTCTGCGCATTGATAAAGTCGGGGAGGGATAAAGAATTCTTCCTTTCCTGTATAAATAAAATAATTAATGAAGGAAAGTTTAGTTTTTGTTTTATTTTATTTATTTATTTATTTTGGAGACAGGGTCTTGCTTTGTCTGCTCTGTCACCCAGGCTGGAGTAGCTGGATCATGGCTCACTGCAGCCTTGAACTCCTGGGCTCAAGTGGTCTTCCCACCTCAATCTCCACCTCCTGAACAGCTGGGACTTCAGGCTCACGCCATAACCCCTACATTGACCAGCCTGGTCTTGAGCTCCTGGCCTCAAGCGATCCTCCCACCTTGGCCTTCCAAAGTGCTTGACTTTCAGGTGTGAGCCACTGTGCCAGCCCCATCCTCTTTTTTGTAGATGAATTACAGTCAATCAAAAAAGAAGCAGTAATAAAATAGCCCACTACCATTTGCATATTAAAGTTACCCACCAACGTTTTACCCATGCCATTAGAAGTTGCAAATGACAGATTCTAATGACATGGGTAAAACATTGGTGGGTAACTTTAAAATGGAGGAAACTAGCTGACATCACCAGAACCCAGTGATCAACTTTGCAACAATAAAACTAGGCAACCAGTAACTTGTATCTCCTGGTGTGAGTAATTTGAGGTATGCAACATCATCAGTGAAGTACTCTTGAATGAAAATCTGACCCTGCATCTAATCAGACTTCTAAATCTCACTTCCATTTTACAGGAAATATAGATGATAGAGGAACAAGTAAAGCAGGGATAAGAGGAAAATCAATAGCCTTAACTAATTTTACCAAACTGGAAAAATAAAAATAAATGAACAAAATGTTTGATTCCAAATCTAGAAACATAAACCAAAAGAAGGCAGGAGGGAGAAAATAATAAATATTAAAGGACAGATTAATGATTAGAACAACTACAAGAACTAATAAATCTTTGGAAAAAAATAAATACTTCTTTGGGAAAAACATAGGTAAACCACCAGCTAACCTAATTAAGAACAAAAAAGGAAGAAATACATAAGAAATGATAAGAGAGACATAAGCATTGAAACATTTTTTTTAAGTTTAAGAGACTACTTGCACAACTTTATGCAAATACCTTTGAAAACCTAGTTGAAATAAATAATTCCCTGGGAAAATACATTTAAAAAAAAATTATCCCCAAAAGAGAGGAAAATTTGAACAAATCAATTTTCATATGAGAAATAGAGAACAACCTAAATACTCATCTATTTAAAACTAGTTAAATAAACAATGATGCATGCAAACTATAAAGTATGTACTATGTAGCAAAAATCTCTATGAACTGATATGGAATGTTTCCAAGGATTTTTTTTTTTTTTTTACAGAGTCTTGCTCTGTCCCCCAGGCTGGAGTGCAGTGGCACCATCTTGGCCCATTGCAACCTCTGCCTCTGAGGTTCAAGCAACCCGCCCACCTCAGCCTCCCAAGTAGCTGGGACTACAGGCATGTACTGCTAATCCTGGCTAATTTTTGTATTTTTGTGTGTGTGTGTATATATATATATATAATTTTTTTTTGTTTTTTTTTTTTTGGTAGAGACGGGATTTCACCATATTGCCCAGGCTGGTCTCAAACTTCTGGTCTCAAGCGATCCTCCTACCTTAGCCTCCCAAAGTGCTGGGATTACAGGTGTGAGCCACCACGCCTGGCCTCAAGGAAATTTTGTTAAAAGAAATATGTGAAAGAGTATATATAACATGAACACTTTGTAAGAAAAAGGAGAAAATATGACTCCATATATATTTGCTTGTTCTTAAAAAAGAAATATAGGAAGAATAAGCCAGAAACAAATGAAAAAGCATAAAATGAAGGTGTGCAACTTCTCTGAATTTACCTCTTTAATATAGTTTTTCTTTTGAACCATATAAACGTTTTGCATATTAGATCAACAAAAATTTAAAAGCAAAACCTAATGTAGAACACAAACAGCCACAATTTAAGCTAACTAAAGAAACTCTCAAGTTGGTACCATAACAATTCAGAAATAGAATTAATTCAAGTAACTTTTGAACACAGCACTCCCCTAACAGAACGTATTTTCAGTGCAAAAAGAATTGCAAAAAAATATTGAACTTTCTCTACTAGGTTTTTAAAAAATTATTGTTGTTTTTAATTGATACATAATTGTACATATTTATGGAGTATAGTGTGGTATTTCAATACATGTATACAATGTGTAATGCTCAAATCAGGGTAATTAGCATATCTATCACGACAAACATTTATCATTTCTTTGTGTTGGGAACAATTCAAAATCTGCTCTTCTAGCTTTTTGAAAATATACAATAAATTGTTGTTTATTATAGTCACTCTGTAGGGCTGTGGAACACTGGAACTTATTTCTCCTAACAAGCTGTACTCTTGCATGCGTTAACCAACAGCTGACTATCCCCTTGACCTCTTCCAAACCCTTTCCCAGCCTCTAGTAACCACTATTCTACTATCTACTTCTTTTTTTATTTGTTTGTTTTGAGATGGAGTTTTGCTCTTGTTGCCCAGGCTGGAGTGCAATGGCGTCACCATGGCTCACTGCAACCTCTGCCTCCTGGGTTCAAGCGATTCTCCTCCCTCAGCCTCCTGAGTAGCTGGGATTGCAGGCGCCCGCCAGCATGCCCAGCTAATTTTTGCATTTAGTAGAGGTGGGGTTTCACCATATTGGCAAGGCTGGTCTCGAACTCCTGACTTCATGTGATCCACCCACCTCGGCCTCACAAAGTGCTAGGATAACAGGCGTGAGCCACCACACCTGGTCACGGTATTTATCTTTCTATGCCTAGCTTACTTCACTTATCAGAATGTCCTTCAAGGTCATCCATATTGCCATGAATGACAGAATTTTATTATTTTAAATTGCTAACTAGTATTCCATGATGTATATATACCACATTTCTTTTATCATTCATCTGTTGATGGACATGTAGGTTGATCACATATCTTGGCTATTATGAAAAATGCTTCAATAAACACGAGGGCAGATATCTATTTGACATACTGATTTCCTTTCCTTTGGCTAAATACCCAGTAGTGGGATTGCTGGATCATAGGGTAGTTCTATTTGTAGTTTTTTGAAGAACCTCCATACTTTTCTCCATAATGGTTAAATTTGCCTTCCCACCAACATTGTGTAAAAGCTCCCATTTCTCTCCATCCGTGCCAGCATTTGTTATTTTTTGCCTTTTTGATAGTAGTCATTTTAACTGGAGTGAGGTGATATCTCATTGTGGTTTTGATTTGCATTTCCGTGATGTTTAGTGATTTTTTTTAATAATAATATCAATGAAGAAATTCTGAAGTTATTTTGAATGTATTATAGATAGAGAAAATTGTGGGAAACCAGGGTTCTTTCCTCACTGTAGGAGAAGGGAGTAAGAAAAAAATATATAGCTCAGAGCAGTCTGAGTTATGTGAGGAATACAAAATTTATCAGGCCCAGAGAGACATAAGTATGGCATTTCAGCCATGCTTCCTTCCTACGTTCATGCCTGGGGCAGTTCTTTAAAGGCATTTTGTTTCTAATTTGCTGCTTCACCCACCTGTTATGTTCATATTCCTGGGAGGTGTGATGCAAGGAACAATGATAGTTAATAAATTATGTTATTTTAATGCAAATTCTTGGTTAAAAAAATTAGAAACTGATTCTTCTTTTTTACGTTAAAAACTCATTAGTTACTGCTGCTAATTGGAGTATGTATACAGGGCAACTTAAATCTATGCTCCTGAGTTGCAGTCCTCAAACTTGGCCCAAATAAACTCTCTACTTTGCCTCAGCTTCTTCTTGTAGGTTGACATTGGAATTAGAGGTATCAGTATTAACTCATGATTCTTTAAAATTTTGGATTTCTAGCTTTGTCTCCCAAAAAAAGCATAGAAGCAATAACATTCCAATAGCTAATTTCAAGTCTGGGAAAGGGGAGGTTCACAGTAAGCTGGAAACATCTTACGCACAAAAGTAAGAAAGTGCTCAAAATTGATGGGAACACAAGAGTTGACTTGAAGCTGTTCCCACTGGCTAAATTTGTGACAAGCTGAACATCAAAAAGAATAATAATGGTGATGGATTATATTACCTTGAAATAAGAAAAGAACCCATGAATCCATAGTGACACTCAAAATAAAGGTGGAAGTGGAAGTGAGCTCTCTTCTTTCAAAGACTGCAGCCTACAAAATACAGAAGAAATTATAGAATTAGAAAAATCACCATTTTTCAACCACCATTGGAATAATTCAGGCAAGATCACCTGTAGATGCTAAACTTATTGAGTGAAAGGTTTTTGAGGATTATTGGGCAGTATGATATTCACAGTATTGTATCTCACACACAAATTACTTATTTTTATTTAATTATTTTTTGAGACAGGGTCTCACACTGTCACCCAGGCTAGAGTGCAGTGGCACAATCATGGCTCACCACAGCTGCAACCTCCCAGGCTCAGGTGATCCTCCCACCTCAGCCTCCTGAGTAGCTAGGACTATAGGTGCCTGCCATCATGCCTGGCTAATTTTTGTATTTTTTGTAGAGATGGGGTTTTGCCATATTACTCAGGCTTGTCTTGAACTCCTGTGCTCAAGAAATCCACCCTCCTGGGCCTCCCAAAATGCTGGGATTATAGGTGTGAGCCACCGCGCCTGGCCCACAGATTACTTATTAATTACATAAACCAAATAGTATTATTTGAGGCAGGTCTCAATCAATTTAGAGATTTTGCCAAGGTTAAGGACATGACCAGTGACACAGCCTAAGAAGCTTCTGAGAACATGTGCCCGAGGTGCTTGGGTTACAGTTTGGCTTTACATATTTTAGGGAGACAGAAGTTACAAGCAAAGGCATAAATCAATACATGGAAGGTATATATTTGTTCAGCCTGGAAAGGCAGGACATCTTGAAGCTGAGGGAGGAGTCTTCTAAGTCATAGGTGGATTCAAATATTTTGTTATTGGCAATTGGCTGAAAGAGTTAAGCTCTGCTTGTTGAGTTGAAGTCAGAATAAAGAAATGCTTGAGTTAGATTGGGGAGTTGTGGAAGCCAAGGTTCTTGTATGAAGATGAAGCCTCCAGGCTTCAGAGAAAATAGATTATAAACATCTCTTCTCTGGAGACCTTACTCTCCAGAAAAGACCTAGTAGCAAAGGAAGGAGATTCTCTACAGAATACACATTTTCTTTCTAATGACTTGTGATGTAGAAAAAAGAAAAATGCAAATTTCCCCTACAAGGACCTCTTTGCAAGGCCATGCCACAATATGTCAAAGAAATATATTTAGGGCCAGTTACAGTGACTCTTGCCTGTAATCCTAGCACTTTGGGAGGCTGAGGCAGGAGAATGGCTTGAGGCCAGGAGTTTGAGACCAACCCGAGCAACATAATGAGACCCCTATTTCTACAAAAATTTTTTAAAAATTAATTGAGCATGGTGGCATATGCCGTCCAACTACTCAGGAGGCTGAGGTGGGAGGATCTCTTAAGCCCAGGACTTTGAGGGTTCAGTGTGCTATGATCATGCCACTGCATTTCAGCCTGGGTGACAAGAGCAGGATACTGTCTCTAAAAAATAAATAAATAAATGAAAAATAAAGTAACAAAGGAAGAAAGAAATTAAAACATATATTTAGGGCCTGTTATCTGTCATGTGATGCTATACCAGTATCAAGTTGGAGTTCAGTATCTTATTGCTACAAAGAGTTTGTCTTATTCATCTTATGATCTCTATTTTTGTGTTAATGCTGGTCAGTTGTGCCTAAGCTCCAAGGGGAGCCATGTACTACCCCCCATTCCCATCGTAGGCTGAAATAGTTTTTCAGCTTTCTCTGGGATCCCCTTGGCCAAGAGTGGATCCATTCAGTCAGCTGTCGGGCTTAGAATTTTATTTTCCATGTACAATTACAATATAGTACACACTCACATGCATGTGCATATGCACACATGCACAAAATATGTTGAGATAGTATGCTGATCTTTATGAACATGTAATAGCCCAGAAATGGGAGAAGCGCTTTTTAAAGAGATTTTTCAACCACAAATCTTCACTGAAAGAAGAGACTTCTGTCTATCTTGGATATATGTCTTTTGGGACACTCCTACCTCTAGAGACCAAAAACAATTGTTCCTGAGAGAAAGTGAAGTCACCCGAGTAAAGGTGCTTAGGTTGAGAAGCTAAGCCAAGTGCTTTATTTTGTAATGTAAATCCATGTCTGTCAGCAGCAAAGCCAAGTCCCTGCAGCTTTGTATCTTCCACAGGAGAAAGGATTATTTTCTATATTTGGATTTTTATTGTTTTGGGTTGGTTTTTTATTGCTGGAGATGTGTATATGTTCTTTATGTAGTAAATCACAGAGAATCAGGAGCAGAAGCCCTAAAGCTACTGTAGAGATAGGCATGCCTGATCATCCTATGGGGCTTTAAAAAAGTGACCTGGACTTAGTCCAGTTTAGCACAGCATGGGTTGTGGTTATGCCCACTAAGATTGGATAACTCACAATGTTGTTATTGATTTGGCGGCCGTTATTTGTAATTGTCCTGAGAGGTGGAGCTCAGGGTAACCATAACACTGAGGGTTAGGGTGGTGCATCTTTTAAAAGGAGACATAATTCCACAATCATCCACCTGAGTAGTAGTTATAAATTACTGGTGTGCAAAAATTGAGATGGAGGAAGAGCAGAAACCAGAGGGAAAGGAGACCCTTTTTCTTGTTTAGGTCCTTATTGAGAGTCTGGCAAGAACCTTGAGGCATGAAGATAGATGAGAGTCAAATAGGGAGGCAATCGAGGTTGGTCTCAAATACAGAACTGGGGGTGGTGCATCGGAGCGAAGTCATTTTTTTTTTTTTTTTTTTTTTTTTTGAGACAGAGTTTCGCTCTTGTTGTCCAGGCTGGAGTGCAATGGCGCGATCTCGGCCCCTGGCAACCTCCGCCTCCCGTGTTCAAGCGATTCTCCTGCCTCAGCCTTCCTGAGTAGCTGGGATTACACGCATGCACCACCACGCCCAGCTAATTTTGTATTTTTAGCAGAGGTGGAGTTTCTCCATGTTGGTCAGGCTGGTCTCGAACTCCCGACCTCAGATGATCCGCCTGCCTCGGCCTCCCAAAGTGCTGGGATTACAGGCATGAGCCACCGCACCCGGCCCTGAGCAAAGTCATTTTTAACAGCAATTGGAAGTAACTCATTGTGCTAAGCTTCCTGCCAGCCAGTCTCAGATATGCCTAGGAAATTAAGAAATGGGCCTGCCCGTGCTTGGGGAACAATGGTAAAGGGCAAAACACTGCCTCCCCCTGAGGCCAAAGGGGAGAAAGCAGGTATGTCCCCAGTTATCAAGGATACAAAAATAGTTTCCAAAGGGTAGAGGTCATCAGGCATAAATTCTCTATAAGTCGATTCATTAACAAAGTATGTAGTCAGTCCTCACTTGTCTCCTTATAATTGGTTCACATTATTACCTGTCAATAATTCTGAAATCCCAATGCTTTTGGAAAGTTATTTTTTTCATAAGTTTGCAACTATCTCATTTGGTGGCAAAACTTGACTAGAACTTACTTGATATTTTTTACACTTTTTTTTTTATTATACTTTAAGTTCTGGGGTACATGTGTACAACATGCAGGTTTGTTACATAGGTATACATGTGCCATGTTGGTTAGCTGCACCCATAAACTCATCATTTACATTAGGTATCTCTCCTAATGCTATCCCTCCCCCAGACCCCCACCCCCCAACAGGCCCTGGTGTGTGATGTTCCCCTCCCTGTGTCCATGTGTTCTCATTGTTGAACTCCCACTTGTGAGTGAGAACATGTGGTGTTTGGTTTTCTCTTCTTGTGTTACTTTGCTGAGAATAATGGTTTCCAGTTTCATCCATGTCCCTGCAAAGACATAAACTCATCCTTTTTTATGGCTGCATAGTATTCCATGGTGTATATGTTTTTTATACTCTTATGTCACTTGAATTCTGAATATTTATGTTTTGCTTCAGAAATATCAATGGGTTTGTTAATAAGGTTCTGCCTCAGAGTTCTCTTAGCATGCTACATGGCATGGGCCCCATAGAGCTAAAAAGTTAAAAAAAATCTGAAAACTTCTGAATCCCAAAAGCCTGTCTGGTCCCAAGGGATTTGGACCTGTATTAACCTTTATCCTAGCTGAAGGCCTGCCTAAGGCTCCTTAAGCAAGCCAGGGTCTGTTTTCTTTGATCCTTGGATATAAATGACCCACCCTCATGTTCTAAGATAGAGCTTGCAGACTGGTGTGTACTACTTGGTGGCATACCTTGTCTGGTCCACACTGGTTTAAAAATACATGAATGTGTTAAAAGTCAGGAGATTACATATAAAAGCATAAATTTCTAATGTCTCTTGGAAAATTGGAAAAGCTAGCAATATTGAATCTACATTCTGGCAGAACATATATTTGCTAGAACTGAGCAGCAGCTACTTTTTAAAGATAGGAACATGTCTATAAAATTGTCAGAGGCGTTTGAACCAGAGTGACTTCATCTTGAATAGGGACTGGGTAAAATGAGGCTGAGACCTGCTGGGCTGCTTTTCCAGGGCGTTCATTAGGCATTCTTAGTCACAGGATGTTTACAGTTAAGGGAACAGGTTAATAATGTTTACTGAACAGACCCAGGGCTAAACAGATCCAGGAAATAACAGGCCCAGGAAATGTCCTGATGTCCTGATATCTTAAGAACAAAAGCATTTATAGTTCTAAGAATAAGTTTTGCATTAAAGATAATAATACAGATTTTTACAGAAGACGGTAATTACACAAAGATTAACAATTCTTTGTCACAAGCCCTTGTAGTAGGGCATATTTCTCCCATGATTTTTTGCTTTATTATCTTATATATAAGCAAGCATTGTACCTAAGGTGGACGTGGTTCTTCCTCTCACTTTCAGGAATGCCCTCCTCTGTCTATGGAGTAGCCACACTTTTATTCCTTTACGTTCTTAATAAACTTGCTTTCACTTTACTCTGTGGACTCACCCTGAATTCTTTCTTGCAAGATCCAAGAACTCTCTCTTGGCGTCAGGATCAGGACTTTTCTCTTCCATGGTGAACTGCAAAGGGACCATACTGAAGAGATCCCCGACCCAAGGGAAATAGACTGCAGCACCAATTGGCTGATGTTGGGAAATTGGTGGGGTACATTTTATCTTGGGACAAAGTTGGGTTAAAGGTCCAACTTAGGAGGGTTAAAGCCCCTTGTAAGACAGAGAGGGTTAAAAGGCCCCTCTTGGTAAAGCACAAGGATGCTGGTCTGAACTTGGGTTAGAGGCCTAACTTAGGAAGATTAGAGTCCCTCCTAAGACATGAGGAGTTAGAAGTCCTCCTTGGTAAGGCCCCTCTTGGTTAAGAATGGATTGGCACTATGGGATATTAACTGCCATTCTCTTTGAATTAATCCATCTTGTGTTCTTTGCTGCATGAATCAATTTCCTGATTGCTGTTTGCCTTTACTCCCATTTTCAAGAAAACTCACTTAACTGATCCTGGGGCATTATAACTTTCCCTTCCCCCATGCCTCTGCCCATTTTTGTATGTTTGCTTGTCTGACAGGATTGGGCATTTGCAGGATCACAGGACGTGAGGAGCTTTTTTTACCTCCCCCAAATGGGGAAACTTGAGAGCTGATGGGACTGCTAGAAAAGATCCCATCCATGACTCACAGGTGGCCACCTGAACTTTCGACTCAGTGTCACTAAGATGAGTAGGTCTTTTTCTGGCCTCTCTGAGCTCCATGCTTCCCCCTCCCCACCACAGGCAATGCTTTTCTCCCTTCCCTTTCCTCTGTCTCTTCTTCTTTCCTTTCCCTTTCCTGTCTTCTGCCACTCAGAGCAACTGTCCGATCTTCCATCTTGCTCAGAGACCACGTGTTGAAACTCCTGGTCAGAGGTCATTCCACCCCACTTGGAGTGGATCAAAGGGGACAACAACAGGGGAAAATGGGTCCAAGTTTGAGCCTTATCAGTTTGCTATTGGGCACTGAACAGGGTGGCTAACGCTATGTGTTGTCACATGTATTTTGCTCTGGCTGGAATGGAAAATGTTAATTCGGTTCCCCCATGCAGCCTGTTGGCATCTTGCAAAATTGAGAGGCTTTTGCACATGGTTCCATAAAAAAGATAATTTTTTTTTGTAATACAGTTGGTCTTACAGCTATGACACAGGAAGCAGGGCTATCAAAGCCACTCAGAGAGAGAGAATCCAGAAACCTGGTATACTGGCAAAAGGGTAAGAATTTCTTGCTAGTCAGACTTCTTTTTCTTTTCTTTTCTTTTTTTTTTTTTCTGAGACAGAGTCTCTCTCTGTTACCCAGGCTGGAGTGCAATGGTGGCATCTTGGCTCACTGCAACCTCTGCCTCCCAGATTCAAGCAATTCCCTGCCTCAGCCTCCCGAGTAGCTGGGATTACAGGTGCCCGCCACCACACCTGACTAATTTTTGTATTTTTAGTAGAGATGGGGGTTTCACCGTCTTGGCCAGGCTGGTCTTGAACTCCTGACTTCATGATCCACCCACCTCGGCCTCCCAAAGTGCTGGGATTACAAGCGTGAGTCACTGCACCCAGCAGTCAGACTTCTGACCTCTCTCTCTCTGTGCAAACTGGTTGAATGAATGATAAAAATCACTGTGTGCCTCTCCTGCAAGGTTTTGATTAATGGAAAAAAGGATTTGTGAGGCCCATCTTAGGCTGTAGCAAATCTGGTCTACTTTATATTATGAATTTGTTTCTGTGTTGTTCTGTCATAAAAGGGGGTACCATAGGATAGAATGCAGGCCTAGAACCCCTGTAAGCCCACTGTTCAAACCAGCCTAGCAAACTGGTCCATTGCAAACTTTGTGCAGGTCCCTGAAACAAAAACTAGATGAGGTTTTCCTCTTGTCTTGCTTTATGGTCCTTCAGAACTTGACTTTGTAATCATGTGGGAGGTACTTTCTCTTGGTTTCTGCCATTCAGAGAGTGGAAATTTGGGGGTTCATGTCATAGTCCTAAAAATTATCTTGGGCAGTTATGTCTTTGCAAGCTTGAAACTGGATGCTCTAGACTCTTGAGAAAAGCAGCAGATACTACCCTGATGCTGTAGCTCAGTAGCTAAGGTTTTTGTCTTTTCACAATGGTGGTCCAGGTTTAATTCCCACTTTAGGGAATGAGTCCTTTCTGGTTTGATATTTGTGTGACCTGTGTCATTTATTGACTCCTTCCCCCATCATGAACAATTTCTGACTTCCTGTCTTGAATTTCCCTTTTTCTGAGCTACCTTTGGAGATTCTAGATCTTGTAAAAACTGCTTACCACCTCTCGGAAAATACTTCATACACCCATGATTAAGTCATAACCTTAGTTAAGGCTTGTTGGCTTCATCTGGCAACTTATAAAGTTCAGAAGCCAGAAATATTGGCTGTTTGTCTTGGCTGGAGTCTGGTACTAAGATATTTGGTTAAAAGTCAGCTTAATTAAAAGCAGATATCCAAGCTGCATACATATTCAAATGGCTTTTTTTTTTTCTTCTCTTCTTGGATCTTGTTTTTCTGGAAAAAAGTTTTTTTCTTCTCAGTCAACTGAATTATTTTTCTCCACTTTGTCTTCTTGTCATTCTTGATGCCCATATGAGATAATTCTTATAAAATATCTAATTTTATAAGAATTTATAACAAGAATTTAAAATAAGAATTATTTTATGATAAAATAATTCTTATAATTCTTTTTTGTTTTTTTTTTTTTTGAGATGGAGTGTCACTCTTTTTGCCCAGGCTGGAGTGCAGTGGCACAATCTCGGCTCACTGCAACCTCCACCTCCCACATTCAAGTGATTCTCCTGCCTCAGCCTTCCGAGTAGCTGGGATTACAGGTGCATGCTACCACACCCGGCTAATTTTTGTATTTTTAAAAGAGATGGGGTTTTGCCATGTTGGCCAGGCTGATCTTGAGCTCCTAACCTCAGGTGATCCTCCTGCCTCAGCCTCCCAAAGTACTGGGATTACAGGCATGAGCCACCGCGCCTGGCCTAAAATAATTATTAATACCATGGGACTCTTTGGGAAAAACAGAAGAGTCTCTACAGACCCCATTTTGGGAAAAACCTCTGTTTTCCTCTTGGAATCCCAGACATTGAAAGCATATAGGTCCCTCTCAAAATCTAAGGCTCTCCTCTGTTTTGCATTGCATTACCTGACATTTTTTACTTTTGGGGACATCAGAAATTACTTTGCATTATGAGAGAGTTTTTACCCTTGGTGTGTAATACTTAGGTAGGAAATCAAATTAGTCTGTTTTCATACTGTCATAAAGAACTGCCTGAGACTGGGAATTTGTAAACAAAAGAGGTTTAATTGACTCACAGTTCCACATGGTTGTGGAGGCCTCAGGAAACTTACAATCATGGCAGAAGGGGAAGCAGGCACGACTTACATGGTGGCAGGTAAGAGAGAGATAAGGGGAAACTGCCATTTATAAAACCATCAGATCTCATGAGAATTCACTCACTATCATGAAAACAGCATGGGGGAAATTGCCCTCATGATTCAATCACCTCCCACCAGGTCCATCCCTTGATACCTGAGGATTACAATTTGGATTACAATTCAAGATGAGATTTGGGTGGGGACATAGAGCCAAGCCATATCAGAAATATATTTAGTGATGGCTAATGGCTGTGATGGGGGAATACTCAGCTCTTTACACATGTGGATCAGAGAAGCATACTTTTAGCTATCTGAAAAGAATGAAAACATCTCCCCCCTCTACCCACAGAGGTAAAACTCCCATGGAGGATGGGCTGATTGGCTTTGGGTTGCCCACAAGTTTCAAGCCTTGGGGGTATGTCCTTGCAATGAAATGCATGGTAAAAGTGTTGCACTGTCTTGTGCCATAGAGTTTCCCTCTTTTAAAGGATCCAGGATCCGGCATGCGAATGGGATGCTTAATTTTGGGGGATATATTTTGCTCTCCAGCTCTGCCTGTTTGTTAGGCCCTAGAAACTGCATGCTTTCCTTGCCCTATTTCTCAAAGGGCTCCACCCTGATGCCAGTAATCCAATTAAGAAACTTTAAAACTGGCTAATGGAAAAACCTTACAACTACTGGATCTTCTTCTGTCTATGTGTTAATATGTGTTATGTATGTGAGGTTTATATAAAATAGCTCTGATTAATTTTACTGAAAATAATAAATGCTTAAATCAAATGTTTTTGTCAGAAAAATAGAACTTTAACACTTTTTGGTTCATGTGACTATAGTAATCTTTGGGAAATAAAGACAGTTTTAAAGATTATTGATAAAATAAAAATGTGAAAATTTAGACATCTGGTCTAAATTAAGCAGGTCAGATACTGTGTTCACTAAACTACTTAAACTGCTTTTTTGACTTTTGATAGTTGTGCGACTTACCTGCTTTGGAGCCATTTGGTTCTAGGTAAGGCCTGGAGAAATGTGGAGTTAGCTATGCACCCTGGCTATACTGGAAATAGTTAGACCTTACCTGTACTTCTGTCTGGCATCCTGGACTCCACATCTGGTACATAATTAAAATCACCTACTTACCAGGTTTTTCATCAAAAATAAAAGCTTTTAAGAGTTAACACTATAATACATGTAATTGAGAGTACCGGAGAAACAGTTTTACGTGCAAGGTGTGTAAAGAAAGTAGAATGTGTCTTTGGTAAAAAAAAAATTATAAGAAAGCATAAGAATGTGCATTTTTTTCCTGCCTAGTTTATAGGGTTAAATGATTGTTTTAGGTTAGATAGAATAAAGCTGAAATTTTGAGCAAGTTGTAGAAGGTTCGTGAAAGATTAATCTTGTAAAAGAAATCCCTGGCTGGGCACAGTGGCTCACACCTGTAATCCCAACATTTTGGGAGGCTGAAGTGGGATGATTGCTTGAGCCCTGGAGTTTGAAACCAGCCTGGCAACATAGCAAGACTCTCATCTCTATTAAAAAAAAAAAAAAAAAAAGAGGAAGAAGAAGTAGAAGAAATTCTGTGTGTGAACATATTGCCTAGAGTTTAAGGGATATTCAGTTTTTCTGTAAATTGAATATTGGAATAAAAGCACAACAGGGTTTTCGTTGGAGCATTAATCTGCTCATTAACAAAAAAATTTGAAGGATTATAAAAGGTTTGTGTTTGCTGGGCGCAGTGGCTCACGCCTGTAATCCCAGCACTTTGGGAGGCTGAGGTGGGTGGATCACGAGGTCAGAAGATCGAGACCATCCTGGCTAACACGGTCAAACCCCGTCTCTACTAAAAATACAAAAAATTAGCCAGGTGTGGCGGCACATGCCTGTAGTCCCAGCTACTCGGGAGGCTGAGGCAGGAGAATGGCGTGAACCCAGGAGGTGGAGCTTGCAGTGAGCCGAGGTCGCGCCACTGCACTCCAGCCTGGGTGACAGAGCGAGACTCCGTCTCAAAAAATAAATAAATAAAAATAAAAGGTTTGTGAGAATGTTACCTAATGGTCAAACTATTTAAAATTGAATAGATTTGCCTATAAGGCTTTATTAAGAATTGGGTTTGACATTAATAGTACACTAATGCAAAGGTGAAATTTGGCTTTCTCTCTTGAACAATATTTTCATGTAATGTTGAGAGATAATACAAAATTTGTGTTTGCCTTTTGAATAAACTACAGGAAAATGAAGGGAGAGAAAAGAGACAAATTGTTTGGAAAGCTAAGGCTTCCTTCTATCAATGAGTAAAGGGTTTTGCCTTTGTTTTTGTTTGTTTTTTTTTTTTTTTTTTTTTGAGATGGAGACGCTCTGTCGCCCAGGCTGGAGTGCAGTGGCGCAGTCTCGGCTCACTGCAAGCTCCGCCTCCTGGGTTCACGCCATTCTCCTGCCTCAGCCTCCTGAGTAGCTGGGACTACAGGCTCCTGCCACCACGCCTGGCTGATTTTTTGTATTTTTAGTGGAGACTGGGTTTCACTGTGTTGGCCAAGATGGATTAGATCTCCTGACCTTGTGATCCGCCCGCCTCAGCCTCCCAAACTGCTGGGATTACAGGTGTGAGCCACCGTGCCTGGCCAGGGTTTTGCCTTTAAAAAATCTTTGAGTTATTATTTTGTCTAAATAAATGACTTGAGATTCTATTTTTTAATGTCAAGTGTTTTAAACCTTTGATATTTAACAAACATCCCAAAATCAAATTCTAAATATAGTCATTTTGTGACCTGATTAATCCTTCTAGATATTAGTTCCCAAAAGTCCAAAAATGATGTATTTTGCTTATTTGATATATTAAGGTCACACAGAAAGCATAGTCAAATATAAAATAATATTTGTCTTTCTTTGGGCTGTATTTGTATAAATGTATTATTGGTATGTGTTCCAAAATTATGCAAAACTCCTATAATTCTAATATGATTTAGTGTACATTATCAGTAATAAAATAATAATTGTTATGCTAAATTATTGTGTGCCACAGAAGTAACCAAATTTTTTCATCAATTGTGTCTTTGACTGTGGCTGCCCTAAGACTCTTAGTCATCCGTAGACAATTGTCTTGTTTTAATCCTTTTCAAAAGGCAGTTTATCATCAGCTGTAGGACTCTGATGAGTACTCTTAAATGCAGGTCTCTGATAAGTATGAAAAATGTGCCATTAAAATATAGAGAAAAAAACCTTCCAAGACTCTCTTGGAAAATGAATGTATTCATAAATATCAAGCAAAACAGGAATTAATTGCATAGACTGAACTAATAAAAGACAAAATTATCTTTTTATGACTTTTTGTTTAAAACATTGCTGATTCTGTTTTGTTTTTTAGAGTCAAGAAAATTTTTCTTTTGATCTATTTATAGCTTTTGACAATTGAGTAAAGTATAATCCAATTAAGAGCATATTTCTTTCTCTCTACCCAATTCCTCCAAAATTTATGAGTATTCATTTGTAAACCAAAAAGTATCTGAGGCAAGTCTCAATCAACTTAGAAGTTCATTTTGCCAAGGTTAAGGACATGCCCATGTACGGCCTTTGGTGCTCAAGGTGGTCAGGCTACAACTTGGTTTTATGCATTTTAGGGAAACGTAAGACATCAATCAATACAAGTAAGATGTACATTGGTTTGCTTCAGAAGGGCAGGACAACCAGAAGCAGGAGTTTCCAGGTAATAGGCAGATTTAAATATTTCCGAATTGGCAGTTGGTTGAGTTACTGTCTAAAGACCTGGAATCAATAGAAAGGAATGTCTGAGTTACAATAAGGGGTTGTGGAGACAAAGGTTTTATCATGTGGACGAAACCTCCAGGTAGCATGCTTCAGAGAGAATAGATTGTAAATGTTTCCTATTAGACTTAATTAGTCTCTTCTACGAGTCTTAAGGTCTATGTTGATATTAATGATAATGAGGCAAGTCTGACTCCCACTTCCCATCATGGCGTGAACTAGTTTTTCAGGTTAACATTGGAATGCCCTTGGCTGAGAGGAGGGGTCAGTTCAGATGGTTGAGGGACTTATCATTTTATTTTTGGTTTACACTTAACTTATCAAGTGCAATAAGAATCTGTTTTCTTTTATAAGAGGACACAATTGGAGACACTGGTTAGTTTACCAAGGCTTTGACTAGAAGGCCATGCCTTCAAATATGAACAGACTGCTATAAGGATTCAAAGTTGACTTATAGGGCCAATAAAAGACTCTGGGGAAAAACTGGCCTCATATCTTGTCTATACAGTCCCTGTACAGGGTTCCTGACCTGTGGTAAGTAAAGAATGTCACTTTCTTACTGGCCCAGGAGCCCCAAGTTATCTTGGGACCTCAAGAAGAGAGAAATTGACCTAACCCATACGGGTATTTTCAAGCACAAATCCATGGCTAGACTCAAGGTTTTGAAAGGTCTATCTGAGATTTTGTATGAAACAAAGTTTCATCAAAGGCAATTTAAAAAGGAGCCTATATGGCAAATAATTATTCTTGTTGCACTTTATGAAAATAATCAGGTCAAGTATAATATGACTAAAGGTTATTTTGCAAACAAATCAGTCCTACCTTGATTTGTTTTTAATAAAAATGATGACTGGAAAGAGATAAATTATGTTTCAAAAACTGTGGTACACCTGTTGTTAAATTCTAGTCTTGTCCATTGTTTTTGTGTATTTTTCTGAAATGTAGACTGACCCTGCTTATTCCTTTGATCTCTGCCAGCTGCGTAGAAGAAACGAGGGATGGGTAATGTAAAAATCTGTATCAGTATTCTAACTCTGAGCATATATTGAAATTGGCTAGCAACCCCATATCAGCTTGGTGCCCAATTCATGGAAAGCCTTCTCATTTAGTTTACTTGGGATACTTATTTTATTTACTGTTGTTGAGTATATTGCTGTCGTACTCTTTAAGTAAGAATGCAAGATAAGCTTACTCAACATTTTCTATAATTGAACACTTATTGTCTTCCAGATATTTCCTTTTGTCAGGACCCAGAGTTATGAATGGCCATCACTATACTGATGCTTCCTGACTGAGCTCCTTTCTACCCTAAATACAAGAGAACCTAAGAGTTAGGCAGGAATATTATCACCTCTACACAGCCCAAAGAAGCTATAGAAAAATGAATTTTTGTCCTTCTGCAACTCTTAGGATTAAGTATCCCCTTGGAAAAGGGAGGGGAGAATATGTCAGTGGTGTTTAATCCAGAGCAACCCCTTCTTGAATAGGGGATGGGTAAAATACGGCTGAGACCTGCTGGACTGCCTTTCTATGAGGTTAGGCATTCTTAGTCAAAGGATATTTGTGGTTAAGGGAACAGATTAATAATGTTTACTGAACAGACCCAGGACTTAACAGACCCAGGAAATGTCCTGATGTTACAATATCTTAAGAACAAAAGCATTCTTAGTTTAAGAATAAGTTTTGCTTTAAAATAATAATATACATTCTTGTGGAAGACAGTAGTTACACAAAGATTAACCATTCTTTGTCACAAGCCCTTGTAGTAGAGTATATCTCATCATTTTTTGTTTTATTATCTTGTAAACAAGCATTGTACCTAAAGTGGACATGTTCTTCCTCTTGCTTTCAGGACTGCCCCGCTCTATCTATGGAGTAGCTATACTTCTATTCCTTTACTTTCTTAATAAACTTGCTTATACTTTACTCTGTGGACTCACCCTGAATTCTTTCTTGCGTGAGAGCCAAGAACCTTCTTTCGGGGTCTGGATCAGGACCCCTTTCTGGAAACAAAATGAGTAGTACTTTTTTTTTTTTTACAGCTTTATTGAAGTATAATTGATATAAAATAAAAAACTGTGCATGTTTAGTATGTACAATTTGGTGAGTCTGACATTTGCATGTGCATGTGGTTTTGGAGAGGGATGAAAATGGGTGGTAGGGCAAAGGTTTCTATTCACCCAGCTCACTTTATTTATTTTTCTTACCCTCCTAGATACTGTAGATATTTCAGTTTGTGGTCCCTGCTGTTGAGCAATCTGAGCTCTGTGAGATATGCAGATAATGTCTCCAGAGAGCCATTAGCATGGGTCTTCAGCCATGCCTCCCCATCCATGCCACGAGGGAATTGTTTAAAGTCATTTTGTTCCTGATTAGCTGCCTCACTCATTATCTTCCTGTTCCTGGAATTTGTGGCACAAAGAACAATGTATAGCCAATCAGTAGCTAATACTATTTTAATGTAAATTCTTAATAAACAACTTAGGAACTGCCTCTTCTTTTTCTTTAAAAACCTACTTTTTATCTGTTGCTACTCTGAGTGTATATTCAGGGCAACTTGAATCTATGTTGCTAGTTGCAATCCTCAAGCTTGTCCAAAATAAACTCTCTATATTAGTTTGGTCTCAGCTTCTTCCTCTTAGATGGACACTGTACACCCAAGTCAAATCCATTTTCCTCAAAGTCCCTTGGAACCCTACTTGGGTTACCATCCTAGCTGTAGCTCTGACCCAGCAATTCCCTTAAATTAACCTTGGCACTGGCACAGTGCTCAGGACCTTTTCCATAAGGGGCTTGCTCCTCTGACTCACCCCTCCTCATCAATTCTTTTCTCCAGGGAAATCTTCCTAAGAACTGGCTGCATTATAGAACCAGACTGGAATCCACTCATCTGGCACAGTAAAACCAGATATCTACACCAAGGTTTTTGCAGCAGTAGAAAGGCATTTATTTGCAGGGTGCCAAGCAAGGAGGACCAGGAAGCTAAATGCTCAAATCCTGACCTCCTTGATGACTTGCAAGCAAGAGTTTTTAAAGGTAGGAGTAAATCTCAGGATATCAGAAGCTACATGCAAAATTATACATCAATACAAGAAGGTTTTAGCTTTATAAGGGTAGAATATCTTGGAGTGGGGGCCTGGAGGGTGACTTATAGGTCATAGGTAGATTCAAAGATTTTCTGATTTGTAATTGGTTAAGGAAGTGAAGCTTTGTTTAAAAATCTGGAGTCAGGGCCGGGCACAGTGGCTCACACCTGTAATCCCAGCAATTTGGGAGGCTGAGGCAGGCAGATCATGAGGTCATAAAATCGAGACCATCCTGGCCAACATGGTGAAACCCCATCTCTACTAAAATACATTAAAAAATTTAGCTGGGTGTGATGGCGCACACCTGTAGTCCCAGCTACTTGGGAGGCTGAGGCAGGGGAATAGCTTGAAACTGGGAGGCCGAGGTTGCAGTGAGTGATATCATGCCACTGCACTACAGCCTGGCAACAGAGCGAGACTCTGTCTCAAAAAAAAAAAGAAAATTGGAGTCAGTAGGAAAAAGTGTTAATTTTCTGGGAGAGGGGGGTGACTTTCCCAAAGCCCCTTGAGAAGAAATTTAGAACAAAAAATTATGGTCAAAGTTCAGTCTTCAATTCTCCCTTATCTGAAGTCTGCGTGCCAGAGGATCCATTCAGTGGGGGTCCTCAGTGGGTATCTGACTTTCTAAAAGACAACTCAGACACAAATGTTAAGATGTTATCCTTAGTTTCTATAGGGAAAGGGAACATCTCAGGAACTCTAACTTTCTTGGCTATTGTTTTAAGCTACTATGACCTTCTTGTTTAACAAGTTATGTATTTACTTCTGAGGCTAGCTGCATGCCTGGAATTTCTCTCGAAGGAACTCAGAATATTCCTTTATTTCCATGCTTGGAAGTCTGCAGGCTCCTAAAAGGGGACCCCTGCTCCACCTCAGCTTCTCTTTGCAATAAGTCCCTTTCTTTTTACCTGCCCCGTAGCTTTTCAGCCTATGCCAGCTGGTGCTGTTCATTCTGTTGCTCCACGCCCCTGAATGACGTCTTCTTCTTTGCATTTCCAAAGTCTGCCTGGTCACCTGTAGTTTATTTTACTAAAGAACTGGTACTTGTTGGTCTTGGTTGGGGGCCCTTACTAGAAGAAAGCATTCAACTACTTATTTGATGCCTGAGGAATCTTTCTGACTATGTAACTACATAAAATATGTACTCTAGAGCCAGCCTCTCCTGGGTACTGGCATAGTAGGAGTACCCAACTTTACACCTTGAGATCAAACTCTGGGGAGGCAAGTGCTCTGGAGAGCAACATATGGAAATAGAAATAATTTATTCCATCAATGCTTTCTACCCTCTCTGCCAGGCAGTCTATTCCTGTTCTTGAGGTTAGAGAGTGGCATCCCATGGGACAGGCCTCATTTCTTATGGCTAAGAGCAAGAACATGGAGCCTGGATTAGAACTCTCATTGAATGGAGAATTAACCACGTACTAGTGTGTAACCTTGAGCCATCATACCTTTCTTTGTCTCTACATCTTCATCTGAAAAACGGGGCAATTCACCTGAAAAATGGAGTAATCATAGTGCCTGTATTAGTCTATTCTCGCATTGCTATAAAGACTAGGTAATTTAGAAAGAAAAGAAGTTTAATCAGCCCACAATTCTGCAGCCTGTACAGGCTTCTGCTTCTGGGAAGGCCTCAGGAAACTTATAATCATGGCAGAGGGTGAAAGGGAGGCAGGCATAGTCTTCACATGGACAGAGCAGGGGGAAGAGAGAGAAAATGTGGAGATGCTACACACTTTCAAACAACCAGATCTCGTGAGAACTCAATCATGAGAACAGCATGGGAGAAGTCCACCTCCATGATTCAGTCACCTCACACTAGGACCCTCCTCCAACACTGGGAATTACAATTTGACATCAGATTTGGGTGTGGACACAGAGCCAAACCATATCAGTGCCTTTTTCATAGATATGTCAGGATTAAATATAAAGCTCTTAGCACAGAGGCTGACACATATTAAGTATCAAAAAGTGTGAAAAATAGCACTTGTTTTTTCCCCAAGAGCCTCTAAGCCTATCACTGAAAAATTATATTCTATCTCAGGAGTCTGTGAAAAACAAAATATCGTTCTCAAAAAATTGCTTGTGAAGAAGACTCTCCACTTAAAACTGTGGCCCTATGCTGTCCTGCTTTCCACTAACAACCTGAGTACATACTTCCAGCTATATCTAGCCAAAAATCAATTAGAACTAGTGCTAGAGCTCCATTAAACCTACAATATGCAATTCCAATCTAAAGGCCACTGCTTTGTTTTACTTCCACATGTAAGGTACAGATATTCTTAAGAACCTTCTTTCAATGAAAGAATAAGATTTCAGTGACCATGACATTTTCATTCCTTTAAAAAAAAGCTTGGCACAACAAATAAGAATATTTTATTGAACCTAATGATAATTTTTCTGAATTTGTATTTATTTATTTGCAATTACACATGTAATACTTCTTTTTTTTCCCTTTTTTAGAGACAGGGGCTTGCTATGTTACTCAGGTTGGTCTTGAACTCCTGACCTCAAGCAATCCTCCTGCCTTGGCCTCCCAAAGTGCTGGCAGTAGAGGCATGAGCAACCATGCCCAGCCCACATATAATACTTTAATACATTCTGCTAAAACAATTCAAACAATGTAAATAAAATGAAAATGGTGTTAACCAAAAAAGTGACTGAGGAAGAAGTCTCAATCAATAGAGGTTTATTGACCCCAAAGTTTGAGGATGTGCCCAGGAAAAACACAGTCACAGAGGCATCTGTGACCTATGCTTTCCAAAGAGGGTTTTGGGAACTCAGTATTTAAAGGAGAAAGAGAAAGAAGGAAGAAAATGTTGGGGGTAAACAGTGAGGCAGATGGTTACATTCCTGGAGGCTCTAATTACTGCTCTATAAGTCTACATCTTACACAAGGCAAGGTAAACATGTGAAAAGAGGAGAGGAAAAAGTCAATTATCTCATCTCAGGGCAAGAGAGGAATACTTTCTTGTCTTGTCCTTGTGCTGTATCTGTGAAGATAAGCCTGTAATCGACATTGTCAGTGAGAAATTTAACACAACTTGGCTGGGCACGGTGGCTTCAAGCTACTCTTTCTCAAGTGGAGCTAATAGTTACCTCAAATGGCTAATCTTTCTCAAGTGAAGCTTGAGAAAGTATTTGCTTTCCAAATTACATACTTCACCTAGTCTGTTTTGCTTACATTAAATTTAGTAGCTAACCTCTTTGTGTTCACTCACAAAATACTTTGAACTTCACGTGACATATGACTATCATATCTTCAGTCTACTGGAGAGTCTAAATTTGCATCTGAAAAAGTAGCAAAATAGCTCTAAGCAAACATTTCTTCCTTAAAACTCAAGATTCCGTTTTATTTTGTTTTTGTTACATCTCACCTTCTAGACAGCAATTTTATGCCTCACAGTCTTGATTTCATCAAGACATATTGTTGGAGATGGAGTGGAAAGTACTCCTATTTGTTACTCATTCTTCTAGTCTTGAACTAGTTTTTCTTACTTCTGACTCTTTATAGGCAGATATCATGTGTACAATATAGTAATGAAAATAGAAATCTGGATTTCAACCTGCTTTGTCTCTTTGACTCCCTCTTTTCTAGGAACTGATCCTTTTCTCCACTTGTCCTCTTTCCTGTGTCTTACTCTACAATGGACTGAGTGTTCATGTCCCCCAACCCTTTAAATTCATATGTTGAAATCCTAACCCCTAATGTGATGGTGTTAGGAGGTGGGCCCTTTGAAAGGTAATAAGGTCATGAGAGTCGAGTCCTCATAAGTGAGATTAGTGCCCTTATAAAAAAAAAACCCAGAGAGCTCTCTTACCCTCTTTCCACCATGAAGTAACCAGTCTACAAACTGGAAGAGGACCCTCACCAGGATCTGACCATGGTGGCACCCTGATATCAAACTTCCAGCCTCCACAACTGTGAAAATAAATTTTTGTTGTTTATAATCCACTCAGTCTATGGTGCTTTGTTATGGTAGCCCAAACTAAGGTATTCCCTTATGCTTGACCTCATGACATGACTTTATCACAGTGGAAATACCCCTGATTTAACCAGTTTACCCTACTTCTTGGCCACAGTGATACGCTCAGGGAACCTGAATCAAAGGCAGGACAACTAGCATCCCTCTGCAGACAGTTGGAATTTAGACCAAGAAATTCTAGGCTTATTCTTTCTGGTTTTGAAACAGAGGAGATAGAAACTCAGAAGATACAGTAAATATTTTCCAGCTTGTGAAAAGTAGGCCAACACTACTTTTGGGTTGACAGGAGAAAAAAGTCAATTCAGAGAGAGGAACAGAATTGAAAGCTGGGGCAGAAAGACTTCCTTGCCTAGCTGTACCCTGCTCTTGGACCATTTGAATCACCTCTGTTTCCTTATGATTACTTATCTTTTTTGTTTGTTTGCTTGTTTTAGCTAGTTAGAGATAGTTTCTATTACTCATAACACCATAAAAATGTTAACTAATATGATATTTTCAGCAATAAATTTTGGGGTGAATTTCTCCTTCTTTAATTGTTTTGTTAGGCATTTGTTATAATGGTCAAGAAAGGAATTTCCTCAGGGAATTTTTCTTCTGTTTTTTTTTTCACCCCATGTATAAATTTTAAGTACATGTCTCTTTATTTCTCACTAGAGTCAGTATTATGTATCTTTTTGTAAATGAAATACAAGGGATTTGCAGCAAAATATGAAAAGCCTGGAATGATCTAGTATAGTATCTAAATAAAAGTTTCTTTCAAGACAAAACTCCTCAAAGAGGACAAACTTGTGGGGATAGAATTCAAATTTAAGAGGGCACAGATCATAAAGCCAATGAAAAAGAATACCTAGATTAAATGTGGGGTGGAGGTAGGAAGGGACAGTCAGAATATTTCAGAATGTAAGCTACCATAATCTTGAAAGCTTTGAAAAACATCCAAAAAAGAGAGCTCTAAAATGATAAGGTTTGAATAGAAAGTTATCCAAGTTTGGGTAGAAAGTTATCCAAGTTTGGGTAGAAAGTTAAATGATAAAATATTATCCAAAACTACATCTCCTTTCTAAAAGCTCAGGAAAACTGTGACATAAACATTGAGCTACAGAAAAGATAGAGATCAAATTCCATTAAAGTATAAGGAAAGAGAGAATAATATTCCTACAGATAATAAAACATGCCAAAAACATTCTCATACAGCAGATGAAAACTATAGTCTAATATTTCAAAACTAGCTAGGAGACACAAAAAATGAGATAAGAAATAAAAGAACAAATCAGAATTTGAGATGATAGAACTAAGAAGATAATTTTAAAAATTATTAAGAAACAGAACAAATAAAAGTAAAACTAGAAAAAATACAAGATAATATCTCAAGAGAAATATAAGTAAAAAAAATTTTAAGAATTTAAAAGAAAAAAGAGAGAGATAAAAAGGATTAAAGAAAAGACACACAAGGAAGATCCCACATACATACAATAGGCATATCTAGGGAAAATTTTAGCAATAAAATACTGAAATCTATCATTTGAGAAGCCAAAATAAAATGAGAATTGAAACTAAATATTGAGAGGACACTCAGTTTATCTGATAAAATTGGCTTGGAATGATCATCACTGAGATTTAGTCTAGCGAAATTATTGTACTTTAAAGGAAATAAAATAAAAATTATTTAGAAAATCCAGGGAAAAAATATGAAATTATTCATACAGGAAAGAAAGTCATATTATCTTCAAACTTCAATCTCAAAATTTTATGCTTGAAGAAAATTCAGTAACATAGTGCAAAGAAAGAAAATATGAAGCAATGATTTTATATCTATATAAGCTGTTAGGCAAGAACTGAGGGAATATTATTCTTTATGAATCTACTGGAGAAGGGGATTCAAACAATCAAAATACATGGGGAGGCATTGACAAAATGATTCATGGTGAGCATTGATAATAATTTCTAGCAAAACTAAGACACTAAATGAGAGATATAAAGAAGATAATGTGGTACATAATGGCTGAATACTCTGACAGTGTGGATACGGTACAATTGTAAATATGTGGGGTGAGAATGGAAAGAGCATATGCAAAAGAATTTTTAACTCTTTTCAGTAATTGTATTGATGATAATGTTATTTCAGGGTGTGTCTTTGAGGAGGGTTTTGTAAGAGAGTAGTATTTGAATCAGTAGAATGAGTAAAACAGATCTGCCCTCACCAATGTGGGCTAGCATTATCCAATTAGGCATAGGAAGAGTGAATTTGCTCTCTATTCTTGAGCTAGGATATTTACCTTCTCTTGCCCTCAGACAGTGGAGCTCCTGGCACTGGGGTCTTTGGACTCCAGGAGTTACATCAGCACCTCCTGACCCCCGAGTCTTTGGGCCTTTGGCCTTGGACTGAGAGTATGCCATTGACGCCCCTGCTTCTTATGTCTTCAGATGCGGACTGAATTACACCGCTGGCTTTCCTTGTTCTCCAGCTTGCAGGCAGCATACTGTGGGACTTCTGGGCCTCCATAATTGTGTGAGTCAATTCCCATAATAAATCTTCCTTATCTATCTGTGCATATTCTTTTGCCTGTTTTCCTAGAGAACCTTAATATAGTCATCACGGAAGAAGCCAGAAACCAACTTTTTATTTGAGAACTGTCAAATGAAAGAAAACAATCAAGCATTTGTCCTGCCGTTTCTATGTAAACTGTGCCACCAAGATACCAAATAGTAGGTGAGGTAAAGTTTCTCTTGATGTAAGTAGTCCATCAAATTACTGAAGAAGAAAATTTGAATATCAACATCTTTTGCAATCCTAGTGAATTACTGGATCTAAACATTGAGAATCAATGGCAGATAGCATTACAAAAGGGCAAAAGAAACCAGGCTGGGCTTGGTGGCTCACGACTATAATCCCAGCACTTTAGGAGGCAGAAGTGGGAGCAGAGGATGACTTGAGCCCAGGAGTTCAAGATCAGCCTGGGCAACTAAGCAAGACACTGTCTCTTTAAAAAAAAATTTACCTGGAAAAACATAAACCCACCTATGAAGTAGTATTGGCAAAAATCATCATCATCATCATCATTATTATCATCCCTAAATGTGATTCAGCCTGGAGATCCAGAAGAGTGCTTTATGTTGCAGCATGCAATCCAAATTACTGAGCACTCTCTTTTGGTGTTGAAAAAGCCAACTGCTTCTATATCTCAGAGTGAAGCAATTTTAAGTATTTGGTGACTGTGAAGCAGTAGCCTTGTTGAAGAATGTGCCCCAACTCTTTTTTTTAGTATATTCTCTTAAGAGTATTTAACTAGAAAATGGGAACAAACTCACCAGCAAAGATTAGATTAAGGGTGTTATCTTCTAAATGGTCTGAAGGTAGCTATAGGCAAGAGGGATGTAGAATGGAGAGACCAGTATGTAAATGATAAGCATATATGTTAAAAATTGTGTCCTCTGGCCAGGCTCAGTGGCTCATGCCTTTAACCCTAGCACTTTGGGAGGATCGCTTGAGGCCAGGAGTGCAAGACCAGCCTGGTCAACATAGTGAGACCCCATCTCTATTTTTAAAAAAATGAAAAAGAATCTCTCTATACATAAAATTGTGTCCTCTACTCTTCAGCCCCAGAATCTTAACAAAAAATTATGTATGGATTGAGTGAGCTCTGTGTTCAGAGGTGCTAGAGGATGCAGCCCCTCCCCTAACTTCCAAGCATCTCCCCCTACCTGCCCTGCATGTTTCTGCCCTAGTGATTCATTCTGGAAACTGCATCCTCTCCAAAGCCATGGAAGGTGTGCCTTCCTCACACTGTGTCCCTAAATAATTTTTTCTTTTAAATAAAGGAAAGAAACATTTTTTAAAAATGTCTAGATAAAGACTTTGGTTATGGTTTTTACAGTAGACCAGAAATTTTTGGACAGATACCATACCAAACATTTCTACATTCTGTAAAGCAGCAGTTTATGAACTTCAACCCTTAAAATAATCCCAGGCTCCAAATCTGCACCAGCAAGAAGTCAGTTGCAAGAGTTGTGCACCCTAAGGAAGGGCATACTCCCAAATTACACCTCAAATGTAATATTGGAAGACAACAGACCCGGCAAATCCTTTTGGCCTGATTTATGAATTTTTAAAATTCAGATATTTGATTTATCTTAAATTTGTTTTGGCAAAGGGAATGAGGTTGTTTCAACTCCATCTATTGATTATTTTCTCCCTAATTTTTGAAATACAAGCTTTATAATATATTAAAATCTCATATGATTTGGGTCTATTTCTGGACTTCATTCTTTCATTGATCTATTTATTAATATAAAACTACATTTTAAAAAATGATACTATGAGGCCACTGCATTATTGCATGATATAGAAGGAACTACTGAAAACCTTTGTCTCTGGAATTTCAAAAATCAGGGAGCTTCAAGGAATAGGAGACCTTCCTTCTGGTATTCAGCCATTAAGGTGACTAAGCTTTACCAACTCATGTTCTGGCAGATGTTTATTCCAAGATTTCAAATTCCTTGGAAGATGGTTGGCTCAGCTTAGGCCAGGTATCAATTTCAGAATCATTTATCTATTTTTTTTGGGGGGGGACAAGTGAATATGACTTCCAGGTGCTGAACCCTATATTTCAAAGAAACATAGTGTTGTGAGCTGAATGGTACTCCAAAAACTGTCTGCTTCACTATGCTCACCCACCCTTCTCATACACCTGAAGCTTCCCTATCTCTGCATGGTGCACCTTTCCCATACACAATTGCAGCTACCCCTTCCAATAGGAGAGGTTGCAAACTCCTGCTTCTGTATTGATCTAGAAGCAATGTCATAAGACTATACAGCTCTAAGCCAAGGATTTCCTACAGCATGCTTACTCTTCTAGTTCTGTCAAAATTTCTTTATATATTCTTCAATCCATGAACTAACTGGAAAATTTAATCATCATTAACACGTCCTAAATAACAGTGATTTTCTTTTTTTTTTTTTTTTTTTTTTTTTGAGACGGAGTCTTGCTCTGTCGCCCAGGCTGGAGTGCAGTGGCGCGATCTCGGCTCACTGCAAGCTCCGCCTCCCGGGTTCACGCCATTCTCCTGCCTCAGCCTCCCGCGTAGCTGGGACTACAGGCGCCCGCCACCACGCCCGGCTAATTTTTTGTATTTTTTTTTTAGTAGAGATGGGGTTTCACCGCGTTAGCCAGGATGGTCTCGATCTCCTGACCTCGTGATCCGCCCGCCTCGGCCTCCCAAAGTGCTGGGATTACAGACGTGAGCCACCGCGCCCGGCCAACAGTGATTTTCAAACTGGGATATGAGTACATTTACGGATGCATAAAAATGTTCCAAGGGCTACACTAGCCTGGGAACTTTTAAAGGAATCAATGTCCAGACCCCCAGCTTCAATATGGAGCCTTTCTTTCTTAAAATTGATCTGCCTGCTCTGGGTTTGAGTTAGAGGACTCTTGCCTTTCTCTGCGTTCTCATCTCCTCTTTCAAAACAGACTTTCCAAGTATACCTCTCCCCCATCCTGGATCTTACTGTGGTGCTTTACCAGAGTGTAAAACCTCAGGAGAACCAAACAACAAACTATCTTAGGTTATTGGTGTTGGGGAAGATTTCTTTAATCAAGATGCCATAAACACATGGGAAAACTTGGTGTCTTTCACTGTCTTATATATATTTCAGTTGAGGGTAAAGCATAGTATTAAAAATAATCTATTCTGAATTCAGATGTATTAGGAACTGGAGCAGCAAGATAAATGACAACTTTCATTCAACAATTTAGTCTCTTCCATTCCCTGACTCTTGTCAAAGAAGTATTTCTTCTGTGGGAAGTTCTCTTGAATGCACAGCAAAGATTATAGGCAGAATATGGAGACTCTGGTACGTTATCTTACCTAGGTGACAAACCCATAACAAAGTTCTGGGCCTAGTCTAACTTGAATACTCAAAGATTTGAAGAGACCAAGTTGGGAAATAACCATTTGCTAAGAAGAAATCTTTCTCTAATTGTACACCACTCTTGGTTAGCTTGGTGGCTACTTCCACTCCTTTGTGTCTTTGTGTGTTTCTTTTGCACGTTTTTCAAAATTTCAAGAGAAAGGAAGCAAAAAAGTTTCATGTTTACTTTTAAGAGATCCATGTTATATCGTCAAAGAAAAGGAACATATATTGAGGGTGAGTTAGTGTTTTCTCTTAACCATTTATTTAGACTGGTAGTAGAATCCTTTTTTGAGGTCTTTTAACAAAAAGCTATTGCTTATTCCAAATCCGTATTTATTTTTACTTGGAGCTAAGTCTACTGCTGACTGTGACTCATTAACCACTTCTCTGCTTATTTGTTTATTTATCATAAAATGTACTAATTAGATATATATTAACTAACTGGGCTATATTTTGAATTTTATAGCAGTAATGCACTTAGCAGTCACTGAAACACTCTTTAGATCTGCTTTGCTGGGGCCCAACACTTTCTTTTATTTTGTTGTTAATTTGCACAAAATAGAATGTTAATTTGTATAAAATTAAACTGTAGTCTTAGAAGCCATAGTTATGATAAATGTTCCCCAAATGCAATCAGGACGTAATGACCCAAATTAAATGTTTTTTATTCGATTAAGTTTAGCTCTTCTTTTGCAGATGATGACTTGCCTTTCTAATTCTGTCAAATGCATAATTACAATCTTGTTTTCAGCTGTTAAATGAAATTGCATATAGATAAATAGAATGAATATACACCTATACACATATATTTTTTCAGTATCCGTCTTCTTGTCCATCTGTTATCTTTTTAAGACACTGAGTCTATCAAATATTGAAATTTAGTATGAATATTTCTGCAGTCAATAGTTTAAAAATTATAATGTGAAATTTCCAATTTTATGGGGTTATTTTAAAATCATTTATGTACAATTTTAGCTTGAAACATAAGATACTTCTAAATAAAATAAGTGTAATTGGTAGTTATTTGATAAATATTGGTTAAGCTTTTTAGGTGTATCTTCCAGAAATTGTCTATCTAATAATTGGGTTTAAACATTTCTTTCCAAGTCAGAAAAATATCGCAAGTAAAATATTTATTGCAAAAATATCTTACTTGCAATAAAATTGAAGGAGGACCTAATAGTGTTGTCAACGATCAGATTCTTAAAAATATTTTTGGTGAAGGATTACCACTGTAATTTTTCCTAACTTCGACCGGCACTGGTCCCAGCGCCCAGGCCATCTCCCAGCGGTGGCAACATGAAGCCAGGCGGCTAGGGCGGAGGTGGCGGCCCTGATGGCGGCGAGCTGGTGGCCAACATGCTCCCAGTCGCTGGCGGCGGTGCCTGCTCCTGACCTGGGCTCCACTCCCACCCCGTGCGCCAAGCGCAGCCACCGCCGCCCACAAAAGGATTTTTCAAATGTTTTTTTCGCGGGGAAAGAAGTTTGAAGACTACTGCAATAAACAACAACAGAGAAAAAGGAAGAGGAAAGAGTATAAAGATTTTTGCTTATATCATGTGAATTATTAAAAAGAATGAAGGGAAGGGGAAATTATTCAATCTTCTGGCCCTCCGCGTACATACGAGGCAGAAGTCTGACATCTGAAGAAGATAAAGTGAGGCTAAGTACCTTCTCTTTAAAGACACACCTAGAAGTGGAATCCATCATTTTCCTTCTACTCCATCTGCTAAACGTAGCTCATAGCCAGAGATGGCTGTAAGGGAAGCTGGAAAATATAAATCTTATTCTGATGGCCAGCTGCCCAACTAAGAAAATAGAGTGGAGACCTCATTCTCATTTCTACAACTGCTCGCACAACTTTAGTTTGGCATTAATGATTTTCCTTTCCTTTTTTCCAGGCAACTGCTCTGTTCCTTAAGGCAGGTCAGGCTGGGTGTGGTGGTTTACATCTATAATCCCAGCATTTCAGGAAGCCGAGGTAGGAGGATTGATTGAGGCCAGTAGGTCAAGACCAGCCTGGGCAACAAAATGAGACCCTAACTCTACAAAAAATTAAAAATTAGGCAGGCATGGTGTCACGTCCCTGTAGTCCCAGCTACCTGGGCGACTGAGGCAGCAGGATCGCTGGAGCCCGGGAGTTTGAGATTACAGTGAACTATAATCTAGCCACTGCGTTCCAGCCTGGGTGATAAAGCAACACCCTGTCTCAAAAAACAAACAAACAAAAAACAAAAGTGGCAGGACATTATATCACTGCTTCACATTTTTTGCCATTAAATAAGTTCTTGTTTGGAGGCCATATTGACTAAGAAAGCATGATGTTGTACAGGATTTTCAATAAGGACACGGATGTTGGTGTAGGCAGAAGCATGATGGGTAGGGGAAGCCTATCCAAATGCAGAATTAAGTGTCTCTTCTTGTTATGGTCTTCTACATGATGAAGGGAGCCTAATAAAGTCAGCCTGGCAACAGATACCTAGTGTTGTGTTACCATCCTGGTGCTAGGGTTTGCTACCCTGCTGAAAAATTAGGTACTCGACAATAGCAGGATTGGCCTTTGTAAGGGAAAATTTCTTGTTCAGCTCATACATATGCCATTCCTGCAAGCAATTATTGGCATTCTTTTAGACAATTGAAGTCACACTCAGCAGGTTAAGGAAGAAGTGTGACGAACTTCCACAGAAACAGTTCTTTTATGTATGTAGTTATGAAGATCCTTTCTCCCCCTACGTAGGCCTGTATGATGAGTTAAATACAATATATAGGATATGTTTTAGTTAGTGGAACTGTTTGCTTTGTAATAAGATCCAAACAAATAGTGGCTTAAGTAAAACAGAAGTTTAGCTATCCCATAATAGCCTAATCATAAGCTGTCTGGGGTTGATATGGTGTTGGGGATCCAAGTTCATTCTATCTTATTGCTCTGTCATTCCTAGAATATTGCCTGCATGCTTGTGGTAGAAAAGACTCACCACTATAGTAACATGCCAGGCTACTGAAGAAGGGAGAGAGTGAAGGCAAATTCCTTTCTGTTTAGAAGCACAACCCAGACGTTGACCCAGCATGACTCATCACTTCCTCCTACTTTCTATCCACAAACCTTAGTTCACAGCTCTAATAGCTGCAAGAGAAGCTGGAAAGTGTAAATCTCATTCCCATGACCAGGTGTCCAACTAAGATTTGAGAGTTTTATTATCAAAGAAAGAAGAAAAATGAATATTTATGAGTAACAAGTAGTCTTTCTCTGGTCAAGAAATGAATATTTACAAGCTTGGAGATCATTCTGAGCCTATTGAAACTTCATACAGATTTTACTCTATTTCTCAATTTATTTTTTGAATTGAAAATTTAAAGTTTAGTTCTCAAATTTATTAAATTTTAAATATTTCAGGTGATACTTTAACTTATAAAACAAAAAACTAAGCAAAATTAATATTTATGTCACTATGAATTTGGGGTGGTGGTGGGAGTAGTGATAGAAATATCAAGACTTAAAGATATTTCTAGTTGATACTATTTCTTACTGTTTTTGGTACAGTTACTATAGTTCCCAATTTCTAAATGGGAAAAACATAGCATAGAGAAATTTAGTGGTTTATTTCAGTTACAATTTGTGGCAGGACAAAACTTAAATTATGATGGATCACACCACAGGCCTCTTCCCAGGGTTTGCAAACTGAAATGCCTGCAAGACTCAAGTAGGCAACATAAATAAATAAAGTACATCTCATATAGCACAGTAGGGGTGTCAGGGACCTTGGTCAACTTGAATAATTACACTCTAATTAAAGAGGTCTGCCAAGACAGTAGTCTCTAATTGCCATTTCCCGCTTACAAAAGGTGGTAGAGATCTTTAGGGAAATAGTGGATTCCACATCTAGGGCAGAAAATGCCTGTGATAGCTTATGAAGCTAGAAAACCAGGAAACACTCAAAAGAATAACTTGAAGAAGAAGTGATTTTTTAAAAGTACAAAGGAACTAATTAGAATGAATTTGTGAAGATTGAAATGCATCAAATATATAAAAATTCATTTGTTTGAACTAAAACAAAAAGAACATCTCAATGGTTAGCCATTAGAGATTGTTAGGGCATCATCTGATTACCGTGAAAATTAAGGGAAAGAATCAAGCATATATTCTTTTTTTTTTTTTTTTTCTGAGCTGAGTATTGGTCTGTTACCCAGGCTGGAATGCAATGGTGCAATCATAGCTCACTGCAACCTCGAACCCTAGCTCAGATTATTGTCCCACCTCAGCCTCCTGAGTAGCTGGGACTACAGGCGTGCATCACCATGCCCAGCTTTGCCCACTTTCTTGGTCCCGTCTTCTCACTTCTCCATGTGTACGTATTACCAGGCTCAATTACTGGGAGTTCGTCGAACAAGCCATTGTTCCACATGTCCTTTGTATATCCATTCTCTGTATCATTTTTCTTCCCTGTTCACCTGCTGAACTGCACGTTGGTGATGATTCTGCACAGATATCACTGCTTTACAGAACCTTCTTCACTTCTGCCTTCTCAGACCCAGATGGCACAGGCAGCAAACAAATGCCTGTAAACAGTCCTGCTTAACTGTGCTCTAAAGCCCCTCAAAGGCACCCCTGGCGGGGTGTTGCTTCTACCAAGATGGCTGGTTATACACCTTTGCCAGAAGAACTAGGAAGCCAATGCTCTAGCTTTGTGGCAACACCAACAGGCATGTCATCCTGCTGATTTAAAACTTTTAACATGGCCTGTGAGTACTTTTGGTGGCTCTCCAAAAGACAGTACATAACTACATTCATGCACCTGTGACCAGGTCACTGGGATAGCATCTTGAGACTGTCCAGTCCCTGATGCCATCCTATTGCTAGTGAGCATCACCACTAGAGTGAGCCTGCCTGTCCTGCCCTTCCCATTTCTACGTCCACAGTGTGTACACTGGAACAGACATTGTGACTGATCATCTAGGAAACTGCCTGGTCCTCAGATATCAGAGCTATCTGCTCCTTGACCACGATCTCTTGTTTGTTGCTCTAGCTCGGGGAGACACCCTCCATGGTCACTGTCATTTGTTTATACCACTACTCCCAGACATACCAGCAAAGGATTTGAGAGCAGAGCATCTCTAGCATCTCTGAAACAGATGAATCACTGGAGAAGTTTCAAAATACTGGCATTGATCTGGTATTAATCAATGCCAGTATTTTGGTTCTTTATGAAAGATGTGAGGGGAATCTGTTGTCTCTTTTGGGACGAGGAGGAGAGAAGAAAAAAGTGTTTGGAAGCAAGATCTCATTATTTGATGCCTTTTTGGTTTCCTGCATAATTATTTCCTTTTTGTTCTATTAAAAGAATTTGCAAAACATTTTTAAACATGCTGGCTTGTTGCAGCAATGCTAAGTGAACAAAACATAGCAATTGAAATCAAGTCCAAGTCTTTATGTTTCAAGACATGTAAACCCAAACTCAGTTAAACAATAAAGGGAAGTTAATGGTTTCTTACCTGAAAAATCTAGAGGCAGGGCTAGCTTTAGGTAAGGCTTTACCTGACTGCGTGGCTATGTCACTAAAAGCTGAGTCTGTGAGGGAGATCCCTGCCCTGGCTGAGCTGTGGAGAAGAGACCACAGTACCACCAGACACAGACTTTGGTGGCCCATAGTAGCAGCATGCCCCATTGTGCCTCACTGGGAGTTGGTTCAGGGAGCAGCAGTGGCTAGCCACTTTCTGTTAGACCATGAGAATACAGAGGATGCCATGCGCTTCCCAGGACCTTAGCTTCACCTCCTGGCTATGACGTCATGGCGGCATAACATCTCACTGGTGGACCCACGGCCCATCTGGGAATAGATGTGGAGCCCTGAAAAATACCATTTATGTGGGCCATTCAGGCAGAGACTGAGTTAAATTTTGAAAGGCAGTCTAATTAGTTTGGTTTGGACTATGTTTACAAGATTAAAATAAAATGTGGCTTTTTCTTCTTACCTATTGGGTCAGGAGCTTATTAATAAGATCAAATCAATCACAAAGAAATTTTTAAAGCCTTCTTTTCATTGCACACCTGACCATAAAATGAGTACATTTGTGACTACACTGTTTAAGCTTATTTTGCCATTAATAAATAATGTGTGTTCATTAAGGAGAATGTGCAAAGTTTAAAAATAAAAGGAAAATATCACTTGTTAATGACACCTAAACACAATTGGTGTATTTTTATATATTTCCTTCCAGTGTTTTTTCTGTGAGTACATTTTCATTACATAATCAAAATCATATTATAAATGTGGGATTTTATTTCTTTTTTATTTAATATTATATCAAAGCACTTTTTGACCTCTAGACATATAATGTAAATGAGTGTATATTATTCTATGAATATTTCATTGCATAATGTCCCAGAACTTACTTAACTGATCTTTTGTGTTTTTGTTTTTGTTTTTGTTTTTGTTTTTGAGACACAGTCTCACTCTGTTGTCCATGCTGGAGTACAGTGGCCCAGTCTTGGCTCACTGCAACCTCCTCCTCCCAGGTTCAAGTGATACTCGTGCCTCAGCCTCTAGAGGAGCTGGGACTACAGGCATGTGCCACCACGCCAAGCTAATTTTTTTTTTTTAAATGGTAGAGACAGGGTTTCACCATGTTGGCCAGGCTGGTCTCCAACTCCTGGCCTCAAGTGATCCACCTGCCTCGGCCTCCCAAAGTGGTAGAATTACAGGCGTGAGCCACTGCGCCCACTACTTAACTGATCTTTTAATACTGTATCATATTCATTAAAGAAGAGGAAAAAGTAAAAAATATGTTTAGGGTGAAACATATACTGTATCTAAAAAGGACAGAATAATTTTGGTTACTTTTTATCCCATACAGATCCTTTCCCTAAATTATACCAAATTTATAATGAATCAAGTTGCAATATTGGCCCAAAGCACCTAATGAGCTCTAGAAGTAAAAAGTATTACATGCTTCAGCAACCCAGACCTTATCCATCTGACCAGTTTTGACAAAGTCAGATCAAATGGGTAAGGGGAGAGTTAGCTAAATGAGGGAAATATCATTATCCAGCTTACACAACCATGGATGTTCCACTCATTCTTATATCCAGCTTCCTGGGCATCAGTGGACTGAATGTCAGCTCAGCTTTGGTTGTGTAAAACTGGCCAGGTCAGTACTATAACCTTTCAGACTAACAAACCCAGTAAGGGTTTGGAAAGACTGAAGAATGCTGGAACATTCTCTCTTTATTTTTTATTTTTCATCTTAAAGTACATACAGTCTACCCAGATTGCTTCCATAAGGGAATTCCATAAGGAGATTATACACATACACACACACACACAAACACACACACTCAGTTACAAAATGAATAACATTTCTTAATTTCTTATATAACATCAACTCTTTCAATCTGTACTAGCATCAAATTTCTTGGCTAATTTTCCCCACCAGACATGAAACTGAGTGGAGAAAAGAGAACATTTTCTATTTTTTTGGTCTTAAATGACCTAGACTCTGCATCTCACTCTGCTCTGCATAATTAGCCACACAAATGGGCATATGAAAAATAAAATTGCAAAAGCAAAGAATAGGAATATATTATTTAATTTCTGGTCATGTGTGTACATTTAATTGCGCATACAAGAAGATAATCATTATAAAGTACAACTTGTACAGTATGTCCTTAAAACTTTTTTCTAGTAACATAGCCTATATGTTGTATACAAGCTAAATTAAAGTATTTCTTGTTTCAGTACTGACTACTATAAAATTTATTTATTCCAATTCAGGAAAGGATTTCAAAATGGAAGTGTCGAAAAAATGCCCACATTTTCCTATAGGTCAATTCTGATCCAGTATGCTGTGTTCAGTTATAACTGGAGCTGTACTTTGGTCTTAATAAGGTCAGCAAAGACAGAATTCTATACATCTTAATGAAATCTCCTGCGAGTGGATTCAGTATATAGGATGGTGCTTCTAAATATTTTACATGTAGCTTTCCAGTAATGGTGTTCATTCTGTCAATCAATATCAAGTTAACCTCAAAATTACTGAAAATCTGGAATAAGATATAAAATATTGAATTACTCATTTTTAATAGCATAGGTAATAAATGTATGTTGCTCTGGAGAAGTAACTGTTGATTTTTTTCATGTAAAATTTATGAGACATTTTGAAATAGTGGGGAAAGTTCAGTCCTCTCCTCCGTACTGGAGGATAAGTTCAGTGGGAACAACCAGAAGCCCTCATGCATGAGACATTGGTGTGTTGTATTCTGGAGGCATGGTCCACCCATTTCTTGTATTGCAGAGGCTACTCAGTCCCAATTCAACTTGAGGAAATTCTATTCAATGTAATGTTGTTTAACACTTCAATTTAATAAACATTTAATGAGCAAAGCACAATGCTAGGTGTATTAAGAAGAGATTCCTTAGTTGCAAGGAATGACAGTTCTAGCATCAGTTTGCTTATGTGAAGGGCAATGGTACAGAGAAGTCTCATTGAACCTATGGCAGGAAGACAGGCAGGCCTCATGGGAACTGGAGAGCTGTCAAACATTCTCTTCCTTCCTGTCCCCTGACCTACACAGCCTCTTCTTCTGCTTCTGTTATTCTCTTTGACTACATGGCATTTGATCTGCCATATTTCTGCTTCATTCTGCTTTCTGTAAGCCTCCTCCTCTGCTCTTTTACCAAATCTGGCTCCTAGGTTTCAGTCTTATAGAAGGAACCTGTGAGTGTGTGTGTGTGTGTGTGTGTGTATACACATATATAATTTTTTACTTGCTGATGTTTTCTTGTGAAAAACATAATTTTAGCACAAGACAGATTGTGACAACAGGTACAAAAAATAAGTGCTACTGGAGTATGGAGGAGGGATAGATTGAGGTAAGGGTCTAGGAAAACTTCTGTGGTTGGAAGATACTCAAAATGTCAGAAATACTTTGAATGGTGGCCTACAGATGAGTGTAGAATGAAGTCCAATGTTTATGGCGACTAGGGATCATACGTGTTACAAAGATAGGTATGACTTGAGAGGCAGCTTCTTCAACAATGGAAAATCATCAGAGGTTTTTAATGAGGTGAGTCACATGATCAAATCTGTGCTTCATGAAGATGCTTAGGGCATTCTAGTTGGATGAATTGGATGTGGTGAAGGGGCTGGAGCTCCTATCCTCCTTCAGAAGCAAGGCAGATCAGTGAATCCGCATAAGGGTATTAATGGTCTGAATTAGGAGAAAAGCCATGAAAATGAGTGGACACAAATAACCATTATATTTAACAAAGATAGTATAGCTTTGCTGTGGAATGTGTGAATAATAATCAGAGTTTAAAATGTTGGCAAAATGTTAAATACTTCTAGTAAAATGCAGCATGGTTTTTAAATAGTTAATTTTAAATAGTTAATTTTTAAGTGGAGGAAGGAAGAAGAATATGAAGATGGGGAAGTGTTAAGTTTGTTATTTTTAAAAATTTTTATTTTACTTTAAGTTCCGGGATACATGTGGCAGAACATGCAGGTTTGTTACATAGGTGAGCATGTACTATGGTGGTTTGCTGCACCTATCAACCTGTCACCTAGGTATTAAGCCCTACATGCATTCTGACGCTCTCCCTCCCCTCACCCCACCAACAAGCCCTGGTATGTGTTGTTCCCCTCCCTGTGTCCATGTGATCTCATTGTTCAGCTCCCACTTATGAGTGAGAACATGCAGTATTTGGTTTTCTGTTCCTGTGTTAGTTTGCTGAGGATGATGGCTTCCAGCTTCATGTCTCTGCAAAGGATATGATCCCATTCCTTTTTACGGCTCCATAGTATTCTATGGTGTATATGTACCACATTTTATTTATCCAGTCTATCATTGATAGGCATTTGGGTTGGTTCCATGTCTTTGCCTTTGCTATTGTGAATAGTGCTGCAATAAACATACATGTGCATGTATCTTTATAATAGAATGATTTATATTCCTTTGGGTGTATACCCAGTAATGGGATTGCTGGGTCAAGTTGGTTATTTTTAGTTTTTAAAAAAATGCTTTCTGTCAGCTCTGGAGGGCTGCTAGCCCACAGTCCAATAGTTAGGATGGATTCCTCTGCTAGGTCCAAGCTGTGTGTGATGGGGTGACACGGCTGGTCCCTCAGAGCAGGATGAGGAACAGTCCACTTAGGGATAGAGTTGGTGTGCAAAAAGAGGTGCTGTGTGGGTCCAGTGTAAGAGAAACAAATCTGAAATCTAGCATTGAAATGCTATTAAAAGAAGAGGCCCCATGGACTACTGTTTGGAAAATTCCATAAAACAATAGGGTCCCAGTTCTCTAGAAGATGGTGAAGACAGAAATTGGACTCAAGGGATGCTGAAAGGGGATTATGATATAGAGAAAGACAGTCCTATAAATCTGGAAATTGTTTTGTACAATTGTCATCTCCTGGATGATCTGGTCATGACCATCAGCCCCATTCACAGTCATGGAATATGTTCTTAGTGAGCCGTTACCAATTGCAAAGCACTGTTACAAACACCAAGGGGCCTACCATGCCACTGAAGGAGAAGGAGCTAACATTTTTTGAGGATCTCCTATATTCAAGGTACATTACTAGAGACCATGCAAATGTTATTTGATTTAATTTTTTTTAACATCTACAACTTTTTAAGCTTGGTCACAATTAGTAGGACTTTTTCTCTGTCCAAGCACAGTATTGGCCACTTCCTTACTTTGTGACTCTTGAATAAATTGTTTTTCCCCAGACACACAAAGGGGGCAACTACTTTCCTCCAGAGGTCAATAGTTGAGATGAGGGACTTGCTCTGTTGGCAAATCTGAAATCTCACCCAGCCAAGCTTCTGACTCATCTTTCCTGTCCTCAGTGCCTCCTGATCTGTGAGCTCTTGGTTCTGGCCCATCCCCAGGCCAGTGAGCTCACTCTAAACTGTTGCTGCTGCTTCTCCTCAGATAGCTACGTCCTTCTAACCGGAGCCTACAATCTATTTGGGGAGCTTTGGCTTCTAAAACTTCCCCTTCCAATGCATGGGAAGCACTTTTCATCACAAAAGACAATAATTTTGAAAAAACTAATAAATAAATAAATAAATAAATCCTCTGAAACACAGAATTTAAAAATGAAAAAATTTGTCTACTTTGGGTAAATGCTTCTTTACCATTAAGAGAGATTGTGTCTTAGATCTCCTAAGGTTAACACAAAAGATTATAAAAACTATTAAGGATTTGGAGTCATTATGTTCATTACTGTTTTTTAAAATTACATTTTAATTTTAGCATTGAATGCTTTGCTGCTATGAAAGATAATAGGATTAATACTGGGAGGTAGGGTGACCAACAATCCCAGTTTGCCTAGGAGTGAGGAGTACCTTGGGATTTGGGAATTTTTGCACTAAAACCAGTACAGTTGGTCCCCCTAGTGGAAAGCATCTTGGTATAGTTGCTAAGACTGTAGATTCTAACACCTTCATTTAAGGCTTTGCTCTTCAATGTACTACCTATTTATCATAAGCAATGTACTACCTATTTATTACAAGCAAATTACCTATTTTTATGTCTCTATTTTCTCTTCTGTAAAATGAGGATAAAACAGTAACTACCCCCAAAGAGTTGTTGTGAAATTGAATGAGTTACTATATGGAAATGTAGTGTGGCAGGACCCCACCAGGTTAGTTAAAGGTTTATGTCTACTGCTTGAATCCTGAAGGCTAGGCAATGAGCCAAGGTCTTGGTGCTCAGCAGAAGGGCAGGTGTCCTTGAGAACCCAAACATCCTGGAGCATAGCTGGAAACATAATAGTGGACAAAGAGCCAGAAAATTAACTTAAAAGCAGTTTAGAGAAGAGCAGTGGGGTAGATCTTGTAGTTGTCCTGCTGCTGCCCAGGAATGCCCTGTGTGTAAGTCCTGATTAACTCATCTGCTTACCAAGCCGGACTTGTCCAAGTCATTCTTTGGTCTCTCAACTATTTCCCACCACCCCACCCCACCCCACCCCACCCCTCCCACCCCAGGTTTTTCTTGTAACACAACAGTACCGACAATGTAATGAACACCAAATAAATGCCAGCTGTCATTGCTAAGTCCTACCCCTTTTCCCTGATTGTATTTGTTTATATATTTTTTTACTACCCCAGCTTTTGATCCTTCATTTTACATTTACATAGATTCATTGTTTACTACTTGCCCTTCAACTATGTCTTTTCCAATACTGAGTTTTCCAATCTTTAAAAAAAAGTTTAAAAGTTGCTACATAATATTTTGCATATTTATAGGGTAATAAGATAATATGTGATATTTTGTTATATATATAGAATGTGTAATGATCAAGTCAGGGTATTTATTTGACATGTCTATCACTTTGAGTATTTATCATTTCTATGTGTTGGGAACAATTCAAGTCCTCTCTTCCAGCTACTTTGAAATACAGAATATATTGTTGTTAACTGTAGTCACTCTACTCTACTGTTGACAATGGAACTTAAACTTTTTATTGGTGTGTTTGTAACCATTAACCCACCTCTCTTCATTCCCCTTCCCACCCACCCACTTTTCCCAGCCTCTAGCATCTATCATATGAGATCAACTTTTTTTATGAGATCAACTTTTTTTTATGAGATCAACTTTTTTTAGCTCCCATATATGAGTGAGAACATGCAATATTTGTCTTTCTGTGTCTGGCTTATTTCACTTATAATAATCTCCAGTTCCATCCATGTTGCCACAAATGAGTTTTAAAATCTTGATTCATTTCTTGGCTGGCTGAGTTTTATAATCAATTAAACTTTTCACAGAGAGCTCATAGGTGCTTCTATTAGTGTGCTGTAGCTGCTATTTTAAAAATGCCATCAGGCGCGGTGGCTCACACCAGTAATCCCAGCACTCTGGGAAGCCATAGGTGGGCGGATCACCTGAGGTTAGGAGTTCAAGACCAGGCTGACCAACATGGTGAAACCCTTTCTCTACAAAAAATACAAAAATTGCCTGGGCTTGATGGCGGGTGCCTCTAATTCCAGCTACTCGGGAGGCTGAGGCAGGAGAGTTGCTTGAACGTGGGAGAATCGCTTGAATGCAGGAGGCAGAGGTTGCAGTGAGCCGAGGTCGCGCCATTGCAGTGACAGTGCGAGACTCCATCTAAGAAACAAAAACAAAAAAAGATTGGGTGGTTTAACAAAATTACTTTTCTGTTTTGGAGGCCAGAACTCGAGACCAACATGCCATAGAGTTGGGTTTCTGGAGAGGGCTCTCCTTCCGGCTTGAAGATGGCCACCTTCCTGTTATGTCCTCATATGGCCTTTCCTCTATGCCTCTGTGGAGAGAACACGTTCTGGTGTCTCTTCCTTTTCTTATAAGAACATTTATTCTATTGTATTAATCTCTCCTTTTGACCTCATTTAACCTTAATTACCTCCATAAAGGCCCTACCTCCAAATATAGTCACATTTCGGGTTAGGAGTTCAACATACAAATTTTGGGGAGACATAATCCAATTAATAATATTGCTGTATTTTATGAGTTCTCTAGTTTTTGAAAATGCCTGCTGCTTGACTTTATGACTGAATAATATCTTGCAGGCATATAATATTCTTGGATCCCTCTTTTTTTCAGCATTTGATGGATAGTGCTCCATTCATTTCTGTCATTGATGTTTTTCATGTCAAAGTCTGAGGCCATCCTGACTTTTTCTCTTATAAATGACTTGTTTTGCTTGAATTCCTGAATTCTTTTTAAATTTTTTCTTAGAATTTTTCTTTTTTTTCAGAGACAAGGTCTCACCTGGTTACTCAGGTGCAGTGGCATGATCATAGCTCACTGCAGCCTTAACCTCCTGGTCCCAAGTGATCCTCCTGCCTCAGTCTCCTGAGTAGCTAGGACTGCAGGCAAGCAACACCACACCTGGCAATTTTTTTAATTTTTGTAGTTCAATAACTTCACCACATTGTATCTTGACCTATGTCTTTGTTTTCTTATATAGAATGTATTCTATCAAACTACAGATTCAGGTTTTATGTTTTAGTAACATTTTACTTTCTTTTATTTCAAAATACTTTTCCTGTTCTGTTTGTTGACTTTTACCTCAGGGACATCAATTATTCTTATGTTGGGTCACCTTTGTTCTTCATTTTATCATGTTCTCTAAAATTGCTTTCATCCCTTTTCTTTTCTTTTCTTTCTTTTCTGCATCCAGCATTATATCCTTATAATTTTATTATTATATTTTTATATATCCTTATAATTTTATAATTATTATAATAATCTTTCTTTCACCTCACCTAGCAGAGAGTAGTAGTTGCATACCTGATAATAATTTCTCTCTTCTTCCTTACTAGTAGAACTCCATTTTTTTAGAGAGACAGGTTCTCTCTCTGTTATCCAGGCTGCGGCGCAGTGGCATAATCATAGCTCACTGTAGCTTCAAACTCCTAGTTAGTCTCAAGCAATCCTCCCACTTCAGCCTCCCAAGTAGCTAGGACTACAAGGTGCACACCATCATAGCCAGCTAATTTCAAAATTTCTTTTGTAGAGACAGGGTCTCGCTATGTTGCCTGGGCTGGTCTTGAACTCTTGGTCACAAGCAGTCCTACTGCTTCAGCCTCCCAAAGTGTTGTGATCACAAGCAGGAACCACCATGCCCAGCCTCATTTTGTTTTTTTATGGCAATGTATATCTTAAAAAGTTGATTTCTTGGTCTCTCTTGCAGCTGAAGTTGGGCATATGACCCAACTCTGGACAATGAGATTAGGTCTAATGTGTGAGATATTTAGGAGAGCTTTCTAAAAGAGATTCAACTCAGTTGGCACATGCCTTTTACATTTCTTCTTTCTCATTATGCCTTCTTGAAATATAGACACAAAGTGAAAGAAGGAGCAGCCCTCTTGGTATCATGAAGTGTTCATAAGGATAAAGACTACACACTAGAGATGTTAGAGCAGAAAGCTAACTGGATCTTTGATAGCTCCTTTAAAGAATTGAGAAAAATAACTCACAATTGGTTTAAATAATTTAGTTTGGTTTCCTGTTACAATTGAAAATAATTCCTATTAATACAGATTATTCACTTGATTTTTAGCAATTTAAAAATATGATGTACTTTAGTAATTTTTTGTCATATTTGGGTTGGGGTCATGCTAATTCAGCTTTTGAGATTTGCTCCAATTTTGATATATGTGCTACTGAAGGGAGCAGGATATTGTTTTTTCTTTAATGGGGAAAGAAAAGGGAGGAAGCCAGGTCACAAAGAGCAAGCAAATATTGTCATTCTCAGTGATAATTAAGTGAGTCAACGGGGGAACCACAGGAAAGCAGAGGGAGGCTGGTAGTGGGCTGTACTCCTTAGAAGTAACAAGAAATGGACATTATATTTTGTCTTTTTCTGCCAGGCTTTCAAATTTTTGATGGTGAGATGATTTTTAAAATTATTTTCTGTTTTCCACTGTTTTATAGGGAGTAATACAGAGTTTAGAATCCAGAATTCAAAAATGAGTTTGAAATTACGTTGATAATGTGCTTATTGAGATAGTAAATTTGATAATAAGGTAATTAAAGCAAGCAAGCATAAAATAGTGCAACTAAGAAAAAGGACCAATATTGGCTTGGGATTTAAAGTAAATCTATACCTTTTGTTACTACTAAATTAGAGATGCCTGGTGGCTCTGCCCAGCTGTTAATTAAGCAGTGAGGAGGCCAGTCATTAACTCCTTCAGGTCCCCAAGATACTATTTAGTTATTGCTTCAATTTATTGCACTAAGCTCACTAATTGGCAATGTCTTAAAAACACTGGGAATATCTAGTTCATAATATGTTTAGTCTTCTATATGATTAGATGGAAAAAGCAATTCTAATTTAGTTTCTCATTCATTTTAATTTAGATTAGCAGATGTTCTATGTGTACTGCAGTAACTATTTTATTTGCATTATGGAAGAGCCTATAATAGCAATTTATCAATTTTTTGTTATACTGTGGTTTTAATTTCCTCCAAAATGCTACTATAAAAATAGGATGCATTTTATTTTCTAATTCATGTAGAATATCCCAAGAGCAATATTGGGCTCATAAAATTCAAGCCATATTTTAAAATGAGTTTTGTTTGAAGAGGGGATAAGGGAAACAGAAAAAAAAAAGTAAAATAAGAGAAAGAAGAGAAGTAAACTGAACAATGAAGTGCTCAGCTTTCCAAAGATATAAATTCACTGTGAGAACAGTGATGGTGGATGGTGGAAGTAGTTCACATAGAAAAGATTCTTATTTTCGGTATAATATTGCTATTTGAAACTGATCTAACATATATCACATTCCTTTCATGGATATGTATATAATGAGTAGAAATTTTCCACAAGGCACCATTTGGATAAACAGTAGGGAATTTAAATTTTGTAATCTCATAGGTTTCCTAAGTCTTACTTGCAGTTAATCAGACAACAAATGTTTGATATTTTAAGCTGCTAAATCTAGGGGTAGTTTTTTTATGCGCCAATAGATGACTAAAATACAATATACATTATAGGATTTTTTTGCTGATTAAATGAGAGCAAGTGATATATAAATGTTATCACTATTAATTGTCCTACCAGAACTTTGGTCAGAAAGTTACTTCTTTTATATAGATTATACTTATTCTGTTGTTGAGTTCAATTTTTAATGTTTTGTTTAGTTTCTCTAAACTTTCCCATCACTTTTAAGTTGAGGGTTACAGACATTTACATTTTTACCTCATGTTGGAAATGTGTGATTGGCAAAAATAGTCAATTCCTAGATGTTATAATAAAAATGAATAAGCTATGTTGAAAAAGTATACCACTACTCTCTACAGGCATGTGTATATAGGTGAATACAGAAAAGTTTTCAGCTGGTATGCTAAAGAGTTATTTTAGCAAAGCACACATATTCTTTGTAAGGGTTTGATTAAAGAGAAGTTATTCTTATAACCTCCTATATTTAAGCCCGATTTTCAAAGAATATTGGGCCACACCAATAACAACTTTATCTTTACATTTATAGTATTGGTGAATAAAGCTCACAAGACGGTGTTTTCATCATATAGGACCTGGACCTCAAACTCAATGCCTTTAGTGCTGAGCAGGTTAGGGAAAGAATGAAGTGAGCTGGGTGGGTGGGAGCACAAGTCCTGTAGAAGTTGAAGTTACTCAGCTCAACCCAACGTTCTCATTCAGGAATTTGAGTCCTTGCTTGCGAGTCTCCAAATTTCCAAGACAAGATGAAAACTTGGGCTTTTGTCTGTGATCTTTAAAATTTATTTGAGGGAAAACTCCCCATATTTAAAAATATTGTTTCAGTTTTTTAAAAACATTTGCAGATCAAATAAAACACATGTATGAACTAGAGACATATCCTAAAAAGATGAGAGAGAAGCTAAGTGTATGACCTGAAGCTATTTATTTTGTGGACAAATCCTGTAGCTATTGGAAGAAAGTTTTAGAAGCTTATGTTTTGTGCATTTCCAGGTGTTGGATAACCAATGCAGTTTCTATAAAGAGGCCAGCACTAACACTGCATCCATCAACAGAAAAATGTCGTGTCGAAAATCTTCTCATCAAGGTTTCTCATTCGCACAGACAAAACTAGTTAAAATTTCTAAAAAAGACATTTCCCTGTGTCTATAATCACTTTCCTGTGGATGCACGGTGGCCTACTTTATGACTTACTGTTTAACCAGCTGCAAAAACAATAAATGGAACCCCATGTAGAAAGGGCCATCTGCCAGTGGGCTTCACTGATTCATTATAATAAGGGTCAGCAAAGCTGGGGATCTGTCCCATCACGTCAGCTAGGTCTGCAATTGGAGGGTCTAAAATAAATGTGCTCTACTTCTAACCTTTACTCCTTTTGCTTTCACAATGTTTATTACTTTATTCAGCATGACTGCTCATGTGAAATGTGTCTATTGTCTTTTAACCACAATCTCAGGAATATCATAAATACAGAATTACATAGCAGGAGATATTTTTTGAATGTTGGAAAATGAGAGAAGACATTTTTAGCCTCTTCCAGGTCAATTCACTTTCTGTTATTCTACCATATATATTGTTCTTATAGCTACTATTTTGGATCCCATTAATTTCTGGCGATTGAAAAGCCTGAAATAGGGTACCTTGTTTTTCTGATAAAATCTGTTGGGTAAGATTTATTTCATCCTAAATTTTGACTCATAAAATATACTTTTGCAATTAAAATAGCAAAGAGGATGATTGCATTAATTGTATACATTAGTCATTGTATAAGATTTAATTTAAAAACTTATTAAGTGACCATATTTTCTGGGACTGCTATTGGTGATAAATGTTGAGCAAGACCCTAAATTAGTTAAGTCAATCCAAGTGAAGACAATGGAACATTAATAATATTTCATTTTTTACAGTATAATAAAAATTAATGTTTTTTGTCTCTTTTAGGTATATTAAAATAATGAATATTTTTCATTAGCCTATTAATAAAAATTAACACATTAATTAATATTAGCCATTCTTCAAAGAAAGTAATTGGGATATTTTATAAAAAAAGCAATATTCAGCAATTTCTGTACAGATTTTGACCCTCTGCATATTATGTATTCAGTAAGGTTGAATACCTGAAAATGATGAGTCCATTGTCATATTCCTTTTGTCTTCTGAGAGTTGTGAGGTAATTGTGAAGTACCTTCTATTAATCCAATCCTTTTGCGTATGTCAACTATAAACTCTGGGCAAAAGTGAACAATTACCTGAAAGCACTGGAGACTAGAAGCAGGAAGAATCTGGGTCTACAATTGGGAGAAGAACATTTCACTGAAGAAGTTTCCCATTTTTAAAGCCTTGTAGCTTGAGGACAAGGCCCAGGAAGGGTAGCCAAGAACCCTGTGCACAGAAACCCACACTTTTACTGGCTTTAAGAACCAGAGGATGGGCCAGGCACCATGGCTCATGCCTGTAATCCTAGCACTTTGGGAGGCCAAGGTGTGAGGATCACCTGAGGTCAGGAGTTCAAGACCAGCCTGGCCAACATGGTGAAACCCCATCTCTACTAAAAATACAAAAAAAAAAAAAAATAGCTGTACATTGTGGTGTGTGCTTGTAATCCCAGCTACCTAAGAGGCTGAGGCAGGAGAATCACTGGAACCTGGGAGGCAGAGTCTACAGTGAGCCAAGATTGTGCCACTGCGCTCCAGCCTAGGTGACAGAGCAAAACTCTGTCTCAAAAAAAAAAAAAAAAAAAAAAAAACAGGATGGAGTTGGGAGTGGCTAAAACAGCTGGAAAGTAAAGATGGAAATTCTGGAAATGAGAGAGCTAGAGAGGGGGAGGTCCAAATCCTCTATATAAACTCTGCCCAAATTGCTAGATGAATCCTAAGCCATAAATATATATAAGGAAAGGCTCTAAGCAGCCAAGGTAAGGCTAAAATCACTAAGTAATGATTTCAGGTGTCCACCTGCTGCAGAGGAGACAAAATTGGAAGTTTTCTTCCATCCAAGTAAACTGCCTTCTAAAACAACAAGAAAGATCAACACTTTTCAGAGGAATAGGACCAGAACTGGGTTATATGGCTATGCTGTAAGTGCAATTGAGCTAGGAAGGTGATAATTTGCCATTTTCCATCTCTGTAATGGGGAAGAGCCTCTGCCAGAAAGAAAGCAGAGAGTCAGAAAGCAAGTAGATTATCTAAAGAGTTTGCAACATTAGGCAAATTGATAGTCTGTTTGGGGCAAGAGGTACTTGTCTGCTGAGTTGGACTAGGAACCAAAGTTTTAACTTGCAATCTGGTATTTATCCCTGCTGTATATTTTAATAAATTTTATTGTAAAATATGTCAGACAAAAATTGATATTATGAGTCCCCATTACTTGCCTTTGTGAACCCTGAAAATCGGAGACAGGTCTCAATTTAGAAAGTTTATTTGAGGACGCATGCCCATGACACAGCCTCAGGAGGTCCTGATGACATGTGCCCAAGGGGGTCAGAACACGGTTTGGTTTTATACTTGTAGGGAGACATGAGACATCAATGAACATATGCAAGATGAGCAATGTCTCAGTCTAGAAAGGTGGGACAACTCAAAGCAAAGGTGGGAAGACTCAAAGTGGGGAGGGGGCTTCCAGGTAATAGGTAGATAAGAGACAAATGGTTGCATTCTTTTGAGTTCCTAGTCTCTCCAAAGAAGGCAATTAGATATGCATTTATCTCAGTGAGCAGAGGAGTGACTTTGACTAGAATGGGAATCAGGTTTTCCCTAAGCAGTTCCCAGCTTGACTTTTCCCTTTAGCTAAGTGATTTTGGGGATCCAAGGTATTTTCCTTTCACAATTTCCCCATTTTATTTTTAAAAATCTTTTGGAGAAAGCATTTTAGAAGAAAATGAGTCTCTCTGATCTCAGGTTTTGTCTGATCTCTCATGGTTAGGATGGTTTATTCCTAGATGCATAGGTCTCAAGTTATTAGGAAAGCTCATTTTTAGAAGGTTGTGAAGTCTCAAGTCCTATGAAGAGAAAGTAGGGGGAGAAAAGGAGAAAAACAACAACAAACAAAAGAAGAATCCTGGAAAACTGATACAGACCACATTACTCTGAAATTCATACATCAGTAGGCAGGTATGAAAGTGCCTTATGTATGTAAACAGGTTGCTGTTATTCTGAAGTTTAAGTTGTCTAGCTTTAGTTTGCAGGGCTTTATGAAAGCACAGCTTAGTTTCTGGTGACTCCAAATTAGGAAAAATAGGGAAACGAAGAAAAAAATTGAAAACATTATTTTGAAGACTTATAGCCAAGAAAAATTAGAATTCCATCCAAACTGTAGAAATTAATAAAAATGGAAAAACACTAGGGAAGACTAGAATTTAACAACAGGTGTACTATACTTTTTGAGCCATAAATTTTCTCTCTCTAGTTTCCATTTTTACTAAAGACAAATCATGATAGCACTGGTTTGCTTTATTATACCTGGCCTGACTATTTGCAGGAGGAATAATACTTTTTAACACAGGCTTTTAAATTGGCTTTGATGGAACTTTGTTCCATAGAAGGAATCTCAGATAAGACTTTTTTAAAGCCGAGCCCAGCCATGGATTTGTGCCATCAAAGGCCTATGAGTTGGCCAAATCCCTCTCCTCTTGAGCTTCCAAGATAAACTTAGGCCTGTCAGAAAGTGACATTCTTTACTTACCACAGGTCAGGAACTCTGTAGACAAAGGTATGAGGCCAGTTTTTCCAAGGGGCTTTGATTGGCTCCATAAGTCAGTTTGATTCCTTAAAGGAAAGCACACCATTCTAGTCAAAGCCTTGGTAAAATAACCAGTTTCTCCAACTGGGTCCTGTTACAAATGAAAACAGATTCTTATTGCACTTATGCAAATAACTGTATTGTCATAAGTTAAAAATACTCACAAATAGTTTCCAAATTCTGTGGAAATCAGAGAGAAACAAATATGATCCAAATGTTGTTCATAGGAGTATACTCATTCATTAAAAGCTGTAAATAGGTTAAAATAAAAGTTTTCTCGGCTCTGAAAAACAAAACAAAGTATCACCAATGTTTTAAGTAAAAAGTTAAAAAGATTACTTTGGACTTCTGTTAGTTTAGTCCATGCAGTTAATTCCTGTTCTATTTGACATTCATGAACATTTCAGCTCTCCATGAGTCCTGAAAGTTTTCTTTTATCCTGATGTCACAATCTCCAAAGTTATCAGAAACCTGCATTAAAAAGCACCTGTTAGCATTTTATAGCTGATTATAAAACCGATCAAACCAAGATAACAATTGTCCATGGATGGCAAAAAGTTTTAGGGCAGCTATAGTCAAAGGCACTTTGACAAGGAAATTTGTTACCTCTGTGGCATACAATAATGTAACATAACAATTATAATTATTACTGATAACATATATTAAGTCATATCAGAATTATAGGAGTTTCCCATAATTTTGGAACACATACCAATAACATATTTATACAAATACAGCCCAAAGAAAACCAAACACCATTTCATATTTGACAATGCTTCCTGTATAATTTTTATACCAAATAAGGCAAATATGTCATTTTTGGACTTTAGGGAACCTGTTACTAATATCTTAAAGGATTAATTAGGTCAGAAAAAGACATGATTTATAATTTGATTTTGGAAGGTTTGTCAAATATCAAAGGTTTAAAACGTGTGATATTACAAAATCAGATCACAGGTCATTGTAAAATAAGTCATTCATTTAAGCAAAGTGATCTCAGCTATAGACTAGCTGAAATTCAAGAAATGAACCTGTTTTTGCTACAGAATACCTGAAGGGCTCAAGTATGAATGACACCATGGATTAAAACATGGCACTGAAACCAGAGGGATCTGCTAGTATACAAAGAGGTTAGACCCCTGTTTCCTCTCCTGTGCATCGGTGACTATCCCTAGTCAGGCAATCGTGGCTTATTTCTGGAGAGACTGAACCAGAGGAGTAGGTCTTAAACACACTGTAAGTGATAGAGAGTGAAGGTGAAATAAAGGGTTGCACGCAGGGGGATTAATGAAATTCTAAATACTGGACTAATACTGGACTTTGGGACCCCCAGATTCCTTTCTCTATCCCTTCCAGAGCACCAGTAGTTTGGTATGTTCTTCCTAGGTAAAAAGTTGAAAAACAAAAAATAATACTGAAAGGTTTTAGAGAAAATACCTCCATAGACTGACTTAAAAGGCTGATATATTACCAGATCATCCACTATTTGGCAAGTCCTGTCCACAGGCCAGAACTTATAAAATTTTAGAGCCTTTAACATGGAAAGATGGCCAAAGATCAACATATTCTTTAGGAATCATTTAACATATGAGAGATCAAAATAAACAAACAGAAAATAGGAACCCAGAGGAAGCAAAGACAACTTTAAAAAAATGCTATACTAAATATCCTCAGAGAATTAAAATATATAAGTATATTGTAGCCATTAAGCAAAAACAGGATAACTATGGGAAAGAAATAAAGAAATTTCTTGATCCAGCAATTCCATTTCTAGATATTTATCCAAAATATTTGAAATCAATATGTGGAAGAGATGTCTGCACTCCCATGCTTATTGCTGCACTTTTCACAGTAGCCAAAATATGAAATCAACCTAGGTGTCATCAATGGATGAATGGATTTTTTAAAATGTGATACATACATATATATATACATACATACATATATATATATGCACAATGGAATAATATTCAGCCATAAAAAATAATGAAATCTTGTCATTTGCAACAACATGAATAAACCTAGAGACACTATGTTAAGTGAAATAAACCGAGCATAGGACAAATACCACATTATCTCATTCATATGAGGAATTTTAAAAAATTGATGTCATAGAAGTAGGGAGTAGAATACTGGTTGCCAGAGGTTGGAGAAAGCAGAGCGGCAGGGGAGATAGAGATAAACGGTTGGTCAACAGGTACAAAGTAAGCTACACTTAGATAGGAGGAACAAGTTCTGTTGTTCTATTGCACAGTAGGACGACTATAGTTAGTGATAATGTATATTTCAAAATAGCTAGAAGAGAGGATTTTTAATGTTTTCACCACAATGAAATGATAATGTTTGAGGTGAGGAATTTGCTAATTACCCTGATTTGATCATTACACAATGTATACATGCATTGAAACAGTATACTCCTTAAGTACATATGATTGTTATGTCAATTAAAAACAAAATAAAACTAAAGAAGAAATTGCTAAGGGAGTAAATTCCAAATGTTCTCACCACAAAAATAAGTATTTGAGGTGATGGATATGACAATTAGCTGGATTCCATTATTCCACATTGTATTCATAAATCATAACATCCTGTACCCCATAAATATATACAATTATAATTTGTCAATTTACAATTTAAAATAAAAATTAAAAAAGAATTGATGTTTCTGTAAATAAATTAGTTAATTCAAAACATTTTTAAAATTTTTTCTAGTCATTTAAATATGTTAAATGTTACTGAAATTAAAAATTTAAATAGAGTTGGAAGTTGAGGAAGTTTAGGAAATAAAAAACATAAAGAGATAAAAGACAGGAGAAACTATTAACAAAAAGAAGAGGAGATTAAGTCTAAGAGGCTCACTTTGTAACTAATAGAAGATTTAGAGAAGGCCACAGAGAGAACTGAGGGGAGGAAACTACCAAAAATTAATTGAAGAAAATCTCCCAGAATGGAAGAATATTAGTCTTCAGATTGAAAGTACCAACAGAGTCCATGCGAAAAGTTGAGAAAATGCCCACACCAAGTTACCTTGTTGTGAAATCTTGGAACGCTAGAGATAAAGAGAATCTTTTTTTAAGTTTGTGGAGAAAAAGGAGAGAGAGGCATGGAAGTGGGTGAAGGGAGATGAAGAAAACAGTACACATTGAAAGAAGAGGAAAAGAAGACGATCACAGTGACGTCAGGCTTTTTAACATTATCATTGCAAGCTAGAAGAAATGAGAAAATGCCTTCAAAATTCTGGAAAGTAATATTCAATCCAAACCAACATGCAGTGAATGACATCCCCTAGAGCTTTTCGGTTTTGGTTCGCATTTTTAAAACACTTTGAATAAAAATGACCCCCTAGGGTTTTGCAGTGCATAATCTTTACAACCATATGCGGCAACTCTACTCAATTCAGTCAAATTTGCAGTCACATTTGAAGACAGAATACAGACATAGAAGGACTCAAAATGTACACATCCATTCTTTTCTCAGGAAGGATATGCTCTAGAAAAGTGAACAGATAATCCAAAAACCAAAAAAAAAAAAAAAGGGAAAAACCTGGAATATAAGAAATGGGTAATTCTGCCACCAAAGGTATGTGGGTTTCCTATAACAATTCTCTATTCAATTCTTCAACACCAATTAAGTGTCCCCAAATTTAATTCAATTCTGACACTAAGTCCTGGAGTTAGTATCAGAGCCCACAGGTTAAGGGCCCGGTCCCACAAGACTGCCACTCAGAAACAGCCAAATAGAAGAGGTGTACAGGGCTAGCTGTAGGGGTGGTATAAAGCCTCCATGCCCTCTCCAGGTGCCCACTCTCCCAGCACATCAATATGTTCACCAATCTGGAAACTCATGGAATCTTGTTGTTCAAGAGTTTTTATAAAGCTCAATCTCCACCCCACCCCCACACCCCAGAGGTCAGTGAGTGGGGCTGAAAATTCCAACCTTCTAATCACTTGATCTTTCTGGTGATCAGTTCCATCCTGAAGCTATCTAGGGGTCCTACCCTTAGTCATCTGATTAGCGTAAATTCAGGTGTGATCAAAAGGGTCTTTCATGCCTGTAATCTCAGCACTTTGGGAGGATTGATTGAGGCCAGGAGTTTGAGACCAACCTGGGCAACAGAGCACAACCCTGTCTGCAACAAAATTTTTTTTTTAAGTAGCTGAGCATGATGGTATGTGCTTGCAGTTTCATCTACTCAGGAAGCTGAGGTAGGAGGATGGCTTGAACCCAGCAGTTTAAGACTGTAGTGAGCTATGATTTATGCCACTGCACTCTCCAGCCTGGGCGATACAGTGAAATCCCATCTCTTAAAATTAAAAAAAAAAAAAAGCCAAGCATGGTGGCTCACGCCTGTAATCCCAGCACTTTGGGAGGCCGAGGTGGGAGGATCACAAGATCAGGAGATTGAGACCATCCCGGCTAACATGGTGAAACCCTGTCTCTACTGAAAATACAAAAAAATTAGCCAAGCGTGGTGGCAGGTGCCTGTAATCCCAGCTACTCGGGAAGCTGAGGCAGGAGAATCTCTTGAACCCGGGAGGTGGAGGTTGCAGTGAGCTGAGATCACGCCATTGCACTCCAGCCTGGGTGACAGAGTGAGACTCCATCTCAAAAAAATAAATAAAAAATAAAAATAAATACAAACAAAAATTAAAAAATGGAAAGCTTGCTATGAATAATAAGAAAAGACATGCCCACTGATTTTGTATCCTGAGACTTTGCTGAAGCTGCTCATTGGCTTTAAAAGATTTTAGGCTGAGATGATGGGGTTTTCTAAATATAGAATATGTCCTCTGCAAACAGACAATTTGACTTCCTCTCTTCCTATTTGAATACACTTTACTTCTTTCTCTTGTCTGATTGTGCTGGCCAGAACTTCCAATACTATGTTGAATAGGAGTAGTGAGAGTGGTGGGCATCTTTTTCTTGTACTGGTTTTCAAAGGGAATATTTCCACCTATAAAGACATATGCACACATATGTTTATTGCAGCACTATTTACAATAGCAAAGTCATGGAACCAACCCAAATGTCCATCAATGACAGACTGGATAAAGAAAATGTGGTACATGTACACCATGGAATACTAGTCGGCCATAAAAAGAAATGAGATCATGTCCTTTGCAGGAACATGGATGAAGCTGGAAGCCATCATCCTCAGCGAACTAACACAGGAACAGAAAACCAAACACCACATGTTCTCACTCATAAGTGGGAGTTGAACAATGAGAATACATGGACACAGGGAGGGGAACAACACACACCAGGGCCTGTTGGGGGCTGGGGGGCGAGGAGAAGGAACTTAGAGGACTGGTCAATAGGTGCAGCAACCCATCATGGCACACGCATACCTATGTAACAAACCTGCATGTTCTGCACATGTATCCCGGAACTTGAAGTAAAATTAAAAAAAAAAAAAAAAAAGACATGCCTATCACTCAGGAAATTACAAGGGGTTTAGAAGTTCTGTGCCAGGAACCAGGGACAAAGACTAACTATTTATTTTTTATGATGCTGCTGTAATCTAACACAAAACATGGTTTTAGAAAGTCTGAGGATGATGACAAAGGGATCCCAGAGTGACAGTTATGCAGCAGGCTGGAAAGCAGCCAGCCCAGATCAGAATAAGGATATGTAGGCCTCGGGGATGAGGAGAGGGGTGAAGGGAGATGGAATTGGTAAATTATCTGCTTTGTATGACCATTTGGAAAATAATAGCAATAGGTATTTGACACATATGATGGAGCATTTAGAAAACATTAACAATAGATTCATAAAAAACAAAAAATAAAAGGAAAACGAAACAGTTATTCACTACAGGAGAAAAAAGGCTATTCAAAAAAAGAAACATAATCATAGAAACGTACTTGGCCCTGTAGTGAACAGTATTTACACTATCATAGTAGTAACCGAATTTTCATTTAATTAGAAATTGTGCTATCATAACTATATTAAAGGGAGGGGTGAGAAAAAGTATGCAGGAGGGAGATGTAAGAGAGTGATAATCTTATCCTCCATTGACAGATAATGTCTAGTTAAAAATAGTATTTGGCAATACAGCTTATTAGCAACATGACATATTATTTGATTTTTTAAATGGTATCCACATCTTACATTGATTAAACTAATTTTTTTATTTTTAAATTTTATTTTTATTTTTTTTCCCACTGTGAGAAATAAATTTTGTTTTTAGAGACAGGGTCTGGCTCTGTGGTCCAGGCTGGCGTGCAGTGGCGCAATAACTGCTCACTCCAGCCTCCAAACTCCTGGGCTTGAGCAATCCTCCCACCTAGGACTAGGATTAGGACTACAGGTGTGAATTATCATGCCCAGCTAATTAAAATTTTTTTTTAGAGGTGGTGTCTCATGTTGCCCAGGCTGGTTTTGAACTCCTGGCCTCAAGTGATCCTCCTTCCTAGTCCTCCCAGAGCATTGGGATTACAGGTATGAGCCACTACACCTGGTCGCTAAAATAAAATTTGTTTACAAAAATAAAAAATAATCCAACAAAAGATGATAAAGCTCAGGTGTAAGCCACTGTCAAGTACGGATAGAAAGAAAGTTGAAATTTGCTGGAGACTTTCCGGGTAGAATGGGTACAAATTAATATTTGTAAATTATCAAATTACTTACATCATAAGATCATGAGCTCTGCAGATCTGCATAATTTGACTGGAATTTCTATTATCCCTGCTAATCTTTGGTCAATGGTTTTCCCATGTAAGAACAAAATGGAAACAATAATATATACCATAATCCAAGTAATATATCTGCTTGGTATTTTCCAAACATTTCCAAATACCATGCATACACACCTTTCCTCTATATACTGATTACTTAATAATGTCTTATTAAGACATTATTTTTTTTACTTCTCCCTCCTTGAACTTATTAAAATTTTAAGTAGTTTTCATTCATAACTAGAACCTCAGAAAGATTTTTAACCTTATTTTCAACTGGATTATTGACAAAAACTTTTGACAAATGTGTCTAATTTCTATATCAAAGAGATAATCAGCAATGCTATGTTTCTCCTTGTTAGTGTGTCAGAAATTTGTATTTTTTGTTATTAGTAGGATTGGGGGAGCTATTTATCTTATTTTTCTTCTCTTTCTTCACATTCTAGTTTTATTATTTTTTTGAATTGATGTCAGTGAAAATGTGTTTTCACTAATTCAAAGTGAGTTAAGAAAGAATGTAACAAAAAATTCAGAAATTCAGTGAAAATAACCTTAAAGATTTGAAAGTAAAGTTAAACATATTTTGTAAAACATATTTCGTATTTCTTATCTAAATGTTTATTTTCAGATTCCAAAGATTTGTTTTTATTTAGGAATTTCCAAACATTCTACATAGAGAATATATTAATCATAAGCCAAAAAAATCACAATTTTTTTACAAAGAGGTAGTAAATAAGAAATAAAACATAGAAAAAGAAAATAGTTTGAAAGATGAACATAAAATTGTCAATCATGGTTTTCTTAGTTTCCTGGTAGGAGGGACACTCAAACCTGAAATGTACCATCCATCCTTTCACTCACTTGAATGATATTTATTATCACCATATTATTACCTTCTGTGAAACACCTGGACTACTCCAAAGATGTCACTGCCTAAAGAACAATGTCTTGGAAGACAGTGAAATCCCAGGCCCTAGAAGTATTCAGGTAGAAACCAGAATATCACTTGCTAGGGTAATGTATGAGGGACTCAAGCATCTGACTGATAATAGAACTGGGCAACTTCTTAGGACTCTTCTAAATGTTGAGCGCTGGCTTCTGGAAAATACAACCAAAATAACCTGTTGATAAAATGAAACTGAGTTTATTGCTTTAAATGATAAAGGGTAATACTACATTGAAAAGTCTTAAGCAGTGTTTCAGAGTGGGGAGGGAAAAGGCAGGATATTTTATGAGATTTTCTTTAGGGTATTGTGAGCCTTTCACTGCAGGGTGTGGTGACTGAAGGAGAGGGTTGGGGACTTTTGGGGATAGGGTGAAGACTTCATTAAGTTTGGCAAGGTCAGGACATAATAATTTGCAATTGGTAGATACAGTGAGGTTAGGGTTTAATTATAGCTTTTTGGGGTGAAGAAGATAGTTTATTACATGTATGCAGTTCTTTCCAATTAACTTCCAATTCATGCAGGTTATGGGCTGAACTGTTTCCCTTCACTCCCAAGTTCAAATGTTGAAGCCCTAATTTCTAGTACCTCAGAATGCGACTGTATTTAGAGACAGAACATTTAGAGAGGTTACTAAGTTAACATGAAGTCGTTAGGGTGAGTCCTAATCGAATATGACTGATGTCCTTAGAAGAAGGAAAGACTATGTGAAGAACAGCAAGAAGGTGGTCATCTGAAAGTGACAGAAGAGTGGTGTCAGGAAAAACTACATTTGTTGAAACCTTGATCTTGGACCTCTAGACTCCAGAATTCTGGAAAAATAAATTTTAGTTGTTTAAGCCATCCAGTCTATGGTATCATGTTATGGCAGCCCTAGCAAACTAATATAGTGCAAGCTACATAATTAACTCTTCTCTTCAGTATTGCAATTGAAATCTAAGTCCAGAACTTCTTCACATTCTGAATATGAAGATTTCCCTTGAAGATTGTCATGGAGACATGGTGATGTACAGACATGGCTCCTGATCATGATATCTTTTTTTTAATATACATTTTTTAAAATTATACTTTAAGTTCTAGGGTACATGTGCACAACGTGCAGGTTTGTTACATAGGTATACATGTGCCATGTTGGTGTGCTGCACCCATTAACTCATTATTTACATTAGGTATATCTCCCAGTGCTATCCCTCCCCCCTCCCCCCATCCCACAATAGGCCCTGGTGTGTGATGTTCCCCTTCCTGTGTCCAAGTGTTCTCATTGTTCAATTCCCACCTATGAGTGAGAACGTGCAGTGTTTGGTTTTTTTGTCCTTGCGATAGTTTGCTGACAATGATGGTTTCTAGCTTCATCCATGTCCCTACAAAGGACATGAACTCATCATTTTTTATGGCTGCATAGTATTCCATGGTGTATATGTGCCACATTTGCTTAATCCAGTCTATCATTGTTGGACATTTGGCTTGGTTCCAAGTCTTTGCTATTGTGAATAGTGCTGCAATAAACATACGTGTGCATGTGTCTTTATAGCAGCATGATTTATATTCCTTTGAGTATATACCCAGTAATGGGATGGCTGGGTCAAATGGTATTTCTAGTTCTAGATCCTTGAGGAATCGCCACACTGACTTCCACAATGGTTGTACTAGTTTACAGTCCCACCAACAGTGTAAAAGTGTTCCTATTTCTCCACATCCTCTCCAGTACCTGTTGTTTCCTGACTTTTTAAAGATCACCATTCTAACTGGTGTGAGATGATACCTCATTTTGGTTTTCATTTGCATTTCTCTGATGGCCAGTGATGATGAGCATTTTTTCATCTGTCTGTTGGCTGCGTAAATGTCTTCTTTTGAGAAGTGTCTGTTCATATCCTTCGCCCGCTTTCAGATGGGATTGTTTCTTTTTTTCTTGTAAATTTGTTTGAGTTCTTTGTAGATTCTGGATATTAGCCCTTTGTCAGATAAGTAGATTGCAAAAATTTTTTCCCATTCTGTAGGTTGCCTTTTCACTCTGATGGTAGTTTCTTTTGCTGTGCAGAAGCTCTTTAGTTTAATTAGATCTCATTTGTCAATTTTAGTCTTTGTTGCCACTGCTTTTGGTGTTTTAGACATGAAGTCCTTGCCCATGCCTATGTCCTGAATGGTATTGCCTAGGTTTTCTTCTAGGGTTTTTATGGTTTTAGGTCTAACATGTAAGTCTTTAATCCCTCTTGAATTAATTTTTGTATAAGGTATAAGGGATCCAGTTTCAGCTTTCTACATATGGCTAGCCAGTTTTCCCAGCAACATTTGTTAAATAGGGAATCCTTTCCCCATTTCTTCTTTTTGTCAGGTTTGTCAAAGATCAGATGGTTGTAGATGTGTGGTATTATTTCTGAGGGCTCTGTTCTGTTCCATTGGTCTATATCTCTGTTTTGGTACCAGTACCATGCTGTTTTGGTTACTGTAGCCTTGTAGTATAGCTTGAAGTCAGGTAGCGTGATGCCTCCAGCTTTGTTCTTTTGGCTTAGGATTGACTTGGCAATGCAGGCCCTTTTTTGGTTCCATATGAACTTTAAAATAGTTTTTTCCAATTCTGTGAAGAAAGTCACTGGTAGCTTGATGGGGATGGCATTGAATCTATAAATTACCTTGGGCAGTATGGCCAGTTTCACGATATTGATTCTTCCTATTCATGAGCATGCAATGTTCTTCCATTTGTTTGTGTCCTCTTTTATTTCATTGAGCAGTGGTTTGTAGTTCTTCTTGAAGAGGTCCTTCACATCCCTTGTAAGTTGGATTCCTAGGTATTTTATTCTCTTTGAAGCAATTGTGAATGGGAGTTTACTCACGATTTGGCTCTCTGTTTGTCTGTTATTGGTGTATAAGAATGCTTGTGATTTTTGCACATTGATTTTGTATACTGAGACTTTTCTGAAGTTGCTTATGAGCTTAAGGAGATTTTGGGCTGAGACAATGGGGTTTTCTAGATATACAATCATGTCATCTGCAAGCAAGGACAATTTGACTTCCTCTTTTCATAATTGAATACCCTTTATTTCTTTCTCCTGCCTGATTGTCCTGGCCAGAACTTCCAACACTATGTTGAATAGGAGTGGTGAGAGAGGGCATCCCTGTCTTGTGCCAGTTTTCAAAGGGAATGCTTCCAGTTTTTGCCTATTCAGTATGATATTGGCTGTGGGTTTGTCATAAGTAGCTCTTATTATTTTGAGATACGTCCCATCAATACTTAATTTATTGAGAGTTTTTAGCATGAAGGGCCGTTGAATTTTGTCGAAAGCCTTTTCTGCATCTATTGAGATAATCATGTGGTTTTTGTGTTTGGTTCTGTTTACATGCTGGACTACATTTATTGATTTTCGTATGTTGAACCAGCCTTGCATCCCAGGGATGAAGCCCCCTTGATCATGGTGGATAAGCTTTTTGATGTGCTGCTGGATTTGGTTTGCCAGTATTTTATTGAGGATTTTTGCATCGATGTTCATCAGGGATATTGGTTTAAAATTCTCTTTTTTTGTTGTGTCTCTGCCAGGCTTTGGTATCAGGATGATGCCGGCCTCATAAAATGAGTTAGGAAGGATTCCCTCTTTTTGTATTGATTGGAATAGTTTCAGAAGGAATGGTACCAGCTCCTCGTTGTACCTCTGGTAGAATTCGGCTGTGAATCCATCTGGTCCTGGACTTTTTTTGTTGGTAAGGTATTAATTATTGCCTCAATTTCAGAGCCTGTTATTGGTCTATTCAGAGATTCAACTTCTTCCTGGTTTAGTCTTGGGAGGGTGTATGTGTCCAGGAATTTATCCATTTCTTCTAGATTTTCTAGTTTATTTGCGTAGAGGTGTTTATAGTATTCTCTGATGATAGTTTGTATTTCTGTGGGATCGGTGGTGATATCCCCTTTATCATTTTTTATTGCGTCAATTTGATTCTTCTCTCTTTTCTTCCTTATTAGTCTTGCTAGCAGTCTATCAATTTTGTTGATCTTTTCAAAAAACCAGCTCCTGGATTCATTGATTTTTTTGAAGGGTTTTTTGTGTCTCTATCTCCTTCAGTTCTGCTCTGATCTTAGTTATTTCTTGCCTTCTGCTAGCTTTTGAATGTGTTTGCTCTTGCTTCTCTAGTTCTTTTACTTGTGATGTTAGGGTGTCAATTTTAGATCTTTCTTGCTTTCTCTTGTGGGCATTTAGTGCATAAATTTCCCTCTACACACTGCTTTAAATGTGTCCCAGAGATTCTGGTATGTTGTGTCTTTGTTCTCATTGGTTTCAAAGAACATCTTTATTTCTGCCTTCATTTCGTTATGTACCCAGTAGTCATTCAGGAGCAGGTTGTTCAGTTTCCATATAGTTGAGTGGTTTTGAGTGAGTTTCTTAATCCTGAGTTCTAGTTTGATTGCACTGTGGTCTGAGAGACAGTTTGTTATAATTTCTGTTCTTTTACATTTGCTGAGGAGTGCTTTACTTCCAACTATGTGGTCAATTTTGGAATAGGTGCGGTGTGGTGCTGAGAAGAATGTATATTCTGTTGATTTGGGGTGGAGAATTCTGTAGATGTCTGTTAGGTGTGCTTGGTGCAGAGCTGATTTCAATTCCTGGATATCCTTTTTAACTTTCTGTCTCATTGATCTGTCTAATGTTGACAGTGGGGTGTTAAAGTCTCCCATTATTATTGTGTGGGAGTCTAAGTCTCTTTGTAGGTCTCTAAGGACTTGCTTTACGAATCTGGATGCTCCTGTATTGGGTGCATATATATTTAGGATAGTTAGGTCTTCTTGTTGAATTGATCCCTTTACCATTATGTAATGGCCTTCTTTGTCTCTTTTGATCTTTGTTGGTTTAACGCCTGTTTTATCAGAGACTAGGATTGCAACCCCTGCCTTTTTTTTGTTTTCCGTTTGCTTGGTAGATCTTCCTCCATCCCTTTATTTTGAGCCTATGTGTATCTCTGCATGTGAGATGGGTTTCCTGAATACAGCACACTGATGGGTCTTGACTCTTTATCCAATTTGCCAGTCTGTGTCTTTTAATTGCAGCATTTAGCCCATTTACATTTAAGGTTAATATTGTTATGTGTGGATTTGATCCTGTCATTATGATGTTAGCTGGTTATTTTGCTTGTTAGTTGATGCAGTTTCTTCCTAGCATTGATGGTCTTTACAATTTGGTATGTTTTTGCAGTGGCTGGTACCAGTTGTTCCTTTCCATGTTTAGTGCTTCCTTCAGGAGCTCTTTTAGGGCAGGCCTGGTGATGACAAAGTCTCTCAGCATTTGCTTGTCTGTAAAGGATTTTATTTCTCCTTCATTTATGAAGCTTAGTTTGGTTGGATATGAAATTCTGGGTTGAAAATTCTTCTCTGTAAGAATGTTGAATATTGGCCTCCCCTCTCTTCTGGCTTGTAGAGTTTCTGCCGAGAGATCAGCTGTTAGTCTGATGGGCTTCCCTTTGTGGGTAGCCCGACCTTTCTCTCTGGCTACCCTTAACATTTTTTCCTTCATTTCAACTTTGGTGAATCTAACAATTATGTGTCTTGGAGTTGCTCTTCTTGAGTAATATCTTTGTGGCATTCTCTGTATTTCCTGCATTTGAATGTTGGTCTGCCTTGCTAGGTTGGGGAAGTTCTCCTGGATAATATCCTGCAGAGTGTTTTCCAACTTGGTTGCATTCTCCCCATCACTTTCAGGTACACCAATCAGATGTAGATTTGGTCTTTTCACATAGTCCCATATTTCTTGGAGGCTTTGTTCATTTCTTTTTATTCTTTTTTCCCTAAACTTCTCTTCTTGCTTCATTTCATTCAATTGATCTTCATTCACTGATGCCCTTTCTTCCAGTTGATCGAATCGGCTACTGAAGCTTGTGCATTTGTCACGTATTTCTCGTGCCATGGTTTTCAGCTCCATCAGGTCCTTTAAGGACTTCTCTGCATTGGTTATTCTAGTTAGCAATTAGTCTAATCTTTTTTCAAGGTTTTTAACTTCTTTGCAATGGGTTCGAACTTTCTCCTTTAGCTCGGAGAAGTTTGATCGTCTGAAGCCTTCTCTCAACTCGTCAAAGTCATTCTCTGTCCAGCTTTGTTCCATTGCTGGTGAGGAGCTGTGTTCCTTTGGAGGAGGAGAGGTGCTCTGATTTTTATAATTTTCAGTTTTTCTGTTCTGTTTTTTCCCCACGTTTGTGGTTTTATCTACCTTTGGTCTTTAATGATACTGACATACAGATGGGGTTTTGGTGTGGATGTCCTTTCTGTTTGTTAGTTTTCCTTTTAACAGTCAGGACCCTCAGCTGCAGGTCTGTTGGAGTTTGCTGGAGGTCTGCTCCAGACCCTGTTTGCCTGGGTATCAGCAGCAGAGGCTGCAGAACAGGGAATATTGCTGAACAGCAAATGTTGCTGTCTGATCGTTCCTCTGGAGGTTTCATCTCAGAGGGGTACCTGGCTGTGTGAGGTGTCAGTCTGACCCTACTGGGGGGTGCCTCCCAGCTAGGCTACTTGGGGGTCAGGGACCCACTTGAGGAGGCAGTCTGTCTGTTCTCAGATCTCAAACTCCATGCTGGGAGAACCACTACTCTCTTCAAAGCTGTCAGACAGGGACATTTAAGTCTGCAGAGGTTTCTGCTGCCTTTTGCTCGGCTATGCCCTGCCCCCAGAGGTGGAGTCTACAGAGGCAGGCAGGCCTCCTTGAGCTGCGGTTGGCTCCACCCAGTTCGAGCTTCCCGGCCGCTTTGCTTTGTTTACCTACTCAAGCCTCAGCAGTGGCGGGCGCCCCTCCCCCAGCCTTGCTGCCACCTTGCAGTTCGATCTCAGACTGCTGTGCTAGCAATGAGCAAGGCTCCGTGGGCGTGGGACCCTCCAAGCCAGGTGCAGGATATAATCTCCTGGTGTGCCATTTGCTAAGACCATTGGAAAAGCGCAGTATGAGGGTGGGAGTGACCTGATTTTCCAGGTACCATCTGTCACAGCTTTGCTTGGCTGTGAAAGGGAATTCCCTGACCCCTTGCGCTTCCCGGGTGATGCAATGTGGTTATCAATGACAACTTGCTACTCAGCTAGCTACTATTAATAACAACATATTTTTCACTCATCTGGTCATTCAAAACCAAAAGCCTTTGCTAATTTCTTCTGTAAAAGTGGTATTTCTTCATTTGATGGTAAATGTAAGATGCATTTCAATTTTCACTATGCTTGATCTTAGCCAAAAGGCCGAGCAATGATTGTAGTTCAATTTTTAGATAAAATGTGAATAAAAATAGATATCTTAGGAAAAAGAAATTTCAAAACATCAGAGAAAAATAATAAGTTAAGCCCCAAGCTGAGTGTAGTCATTCGTTTTCTAAGGAGGGTGTGGAGGGGAAGGATGTCATAATTCATATTAGCAATATGTCTCCACTTCTCTCTTCCTTCCCCTCAAAGACTGATGGGGAAAAAAACTGAAATTTCAAAGCCTCTGCCCATTTTTATCTGCAGATAGTCTGGACTCTGGAGCCAAAGCCTATCATTGTAGAAGGCCAGCATTTAAGCTTCTGGGGAGTGGAAATGTCTCTGATGCTCCAGAGCCTTGTAGTGGATGGAAAACTTACTTGTTCTGCATCATAAGATGAGGAAAATTTAGTTTGTTGGCGGTCTAGGGGAGAAAAGTGTCCAAAGGGGAGAAGCACGGAGCGTGAAGTCATGAAGGGAGTAAGAAACCATGGCAGGAGGCCAGAGCCTCCTGGGAGAGAGGTGCCCAGTGGGAAATTCCAGTCATTAGGGTGGCCAAAGGACTTTATCTTTTTTTTTTTTTTTTTTTTTTTGAGACAGAGTCTCGCTCTGTCGCCCAGGCTGGAGTGCAGTGGCGCAATCTGGGCTCACTGCAAGCTCCGCCTCCTGAGTTCATGCCATTCTTCTGCCTCAGCCTCCCCCGTAGCTGGGACTACAGGTACCCGCCACCAGGCCTGGCTAATTTTTTTTGTATTTTTTTTAGTAGAGACAGGGTTTCTCCATGTTAGCCAGGATGGTCTTGATCTCCTGACCTTGTGATCCTCCTGCCTTGGCCTCCCAAAGTGCCAGGATTACAGGCATGAGCCTCCGCGCCTGGCCGAAAGGACTTTAATAACAAGGATATTTGAAGTTCAACTTTCAGTTGTTTGCCATGTGATGCCACCATGTATCCTGGCCTTCATACACATCATCCCAAAAGTCAGAAAAACTGCTGCTGCACCTGAGGCTTATAAAGGGTAAGAGGTCTGTCACCCCCTTCTCTTCTCAAAGGGTCTCCTGGAAATAGAATGGACCCGAGTTTTTACTGTAACTCTTTGAACATGGATAAATCTCCCCAGTGGCTAGAGAACCCGCATTTCTTGTTTCACTATGCAGAGAAGTCTCCAAAGTCTAGGCCTCACCACCCCTTGAAATGTCAACACACACCCCTGGACTTAACCTAAAAGCCTATCTTGAGATATAACTAGTTGTCTCCCAAGAAGGTAAGAGACATTGTATTATTTTTTCTTCTGCTTTACAGAATTAATTGTGTGAAATTTCATCATGAGTGCTTTGGGAGGCCGAGCATGACTTTTGAGGTCAGGAGTTCAAGAGCTGGGCAACATAGAGAGACCTCGTCTCTAAAAAAAAAAAAAAAAAAAAAAAAAAGTTAGGCACGGTGGAGTGCACCTGTAGTCCTAGACACTTGGGTGGCTGAGGCAGGAATATCACTTGAGTCCAGGAGTTTGAGGTTACAATGAGCTATGATCATGCCACTACACTCCTGCCTGGGAAATAGAGCAAGACCCTCTCTCTAAAAAAAAAAAAAATTCAACCTGACTTCATAGTGACTCACAGGCAGCTAGTACACATGTACTCTATTGTGCTCATTCAGTAATAAATCTGTTTCCTTCTTTCTACATTAATGTGAAGAAGTCTCTCTTTGTTGGTAGGAATTTTATTTTCCCAAAACATGCAAATTACTTATTTTATACTTTAGGAGGAAGTCAAGAAGGAGATGTGACCTATGTGAGACCATGCTCTGGAGAAGAGAGACCGCATCAACAGCCAGACATCTTTACATGTAAATGATTCATCAGAAGCAAAAATTTGGAGTCAGAGAAGACAAGGAGAAATGTAGTCATCTCCCCACCCCAACACACTTAGGGCTTAACTTGGAGTGGTTGGGGGCATGCGAATCAACTGACTAAGATAAAAGACAAGGTTTGTTCACATGGATGGAAGTACACAGTAGGGAGCACCTTGGTGAACAGCTAGGAGTAAGAGCCTATGTATCTGTTTACTTAAGGAAAAGTGGGGATGTAGGGCTTCAGTAGGAAAGTATCGAAAGTTCTATTAGGTTTTTTTCATCCTGATACGAATGGACAGTCTCCTTCCTGGTTGGAAACTCCCCTAGAGGGAGATTTATGGCAGCTGAATTTGCACCTCCCCAAAGAGTCAGTCATCTTCCAAAGAGCAAGCCCTCACAGGAAGTTAAATGGAAGTTGTATTTTTGGGAGGCTCTGCTTTAGTGAGCTAAGGGAAGTTCAGAGAAGCTTTTTTTCTGCATCTACTGCAACTCATATGTTTTCCATTTAAAGTAATTTTTATACTGGCGAGTTTTAATCCCTTCATCTCTTTATGTATGTAGAGATAGAGATAGATATAGTTAGATATACAAAGAGAGAATATACATATTTTTCTGAACCATTTTTTCCTACCACATTTACCCCTAAAACTTGTCTATTTTCTAAGAATAGGGGTGTATCACTTATATGCCCATAGTTCAGTTATCAACTTTAGTAGACTTAACATTAATATAATACTTTTTCTTAATCTACCATCCATATTCCAATTTTGTCAATTGACCCCATAATGTATTTTATAGCATTTTTCCCGTGTCTAGCACAGGATCCAGTCTAGGATTAGGTATTATATTTTGTTGCCAGGTCTCTTTATTCTCCTTTAATATGGAACATTTCCTTGTCTTTTTTTGTATTTAAAAAAATTTTTTTTTCTATATAGGATGAACGGATGGATGTGTGAAAGGAAAATAAATCTTGGAGCCCCCAAATCACTAAGCTAAAGGGAAAAGTCAAGCTGGGAACTGCTTAGGGCCAACCTGCCTCCCATTCTACTCAAAGTCACCCCTCTGCTCACTGACACAGATGCATATCTGATTGCCTCCTTCGGAAAGGCGAATCAGAAACTCAAAAGAATGCAACCATTTGTGCCTCACCTATTTGTGACCTGTAAGCCTCCTCTCTGCTTCAAGTCTTCCTAGCTTTGCTTCAAGTTGTCCCGCCTTTCCAGACCGAAACAGTGTACTTCTTACATATGTTGTTTGATGTCTCGTGTCTCCTTAAAATGTATAAAACTAAGCTGTGACTGAGCACCTTGGGCACATGTTGTCAGGACTTCCTGAGGCTGTGTCACGGGCACATCCTCAACTTTGGCAAAATAAACTTTCTAAATTAACTGAGATCTGTCTCAGAATTTCTGGGTTCATAGATTGACAGGGAATTTTTTTTTTTTTTTTTTTTTTTTTGAGACAGGGTCTGGCTTTGTCACCCAGGCCAGAGTGCAGTGGTGCAAACTCAGCTCACTGCAACCCCTGTCTCCTTGGCTCAAGTCATCCTCAGACCTCAGCCTCCTGAGTAGCTGGGACAGCAGACATGTGCCACCACTCCCAGCTAATTTTTTTTTGTATTTTTTGTAGAGATGGGGCTTCACCATGTCACCCAGGCTGGTCTCCAACTCCTGAGCTCAAGCGATCCGCCCACCTTGGCCTCTCAAAGTGCTGGGATTACAGGTGTGAGTCACTGTGCCCGGCCAGCATTTCATTGTCTTTTATGACATTGCCATTTTTGAAAAAACAATCCCTTTTTTAAAAAAAAAACTAGAATGTTCCTTATTTTGAGTTTGTCTGATACTTCCTCATGATTAGTTTCAGAGTATGCATTCTGGCCAGAATAGCACATTAGTGATGTTGTCCTCAGGGAGTCACACCTAGAAGCATATAATCTGTGTGTCAAATGCCCCTTATTTGTGATGTCAATTTTGATCTGCTGGTCAAGGTATTGTCTGAGTTGTTCAAATGATAGTAGTTTTTTTCTCTTATTCCTAATAAGCAATCTATGGGAAGATATCATAAGGTCATCCAAATATCCTGCTCCTCATCAAAAATTTATCTCTAGATTTAGCATCTATTGATAATTTTTGCCCAAATGAATCAATATTTACTGTGTTGGCAGAAAAAAAATGAAGATTTTCCAGTTCAATTACTCTTTTCACATTTACAATTCAGCACTTGGCATTCTTGCATAAGCAAGACCTCTTCTTTCTTTACATATTTATCTACATGTTATTAGCATGGACTAATGAAATTACTAGGTTTTTTTGTTTGTTTGTTTGTTTTTTCCCAATGGTTGGTGCTCAAATTGTCCTATATTTGATGAATGGGAGCCCCTTCAAGCTGGCTCCTGTGTTCTCGTGTCATGCCCTATCATTTTGAGCAGTTCCTTACTCTTTGACCTAATAAGTTGCTTCAGGCTCACCTTGTACCTTTTCTGGCCCACCCATTTCGTCCAAGAGCCTTTGAAGAAAGGCTCTTTACTAGGGAATGGTGTCAGAATCCAACATCTGAGTTCTAAGTCCTAATAATGTTTTAAGGATAGATTCTTAGGATTATAATTTTTTTTTTTTTTTGGTCACAGTATAGTTTTGGAGATTCTTTATATGTATCACCAAACTGCTTCCTGGAAATGTACTGATTTATTCTCCTACCTGCAGTGCATAAGAACGCACTTCTCTTTCCATGCTCACTAACATTACCTTTTTCCTAACTTTTCAGGTAGAAAAGTATATAATAATTTTTGTTTCCTAGATGATGATGATGATTATTATTATTATTATTATTTGAGACAGAGTCTCCCTCTGTCGCCCAGGCTGGAGTGCAGTAGCTCAATCTCGGCTCACTGCAACTTCCGCCTCCCAGGCTCAAGTGACTTCCCCAGCTGAGCCTCCCAAGCTGGAAACGTAGGTGCCATAACACCTTGTCTAATTTTTGTATTTTTTTGCAGAGACAAAATTTCGCCATGTTGCCCAGGCCAGTCTTGAGCTCCTGGACTCAGCTATCTACCTGCCTTGGCCTCCCGAATGTTTCCTAGATTACTAATAAGGTTTGTTCATTTATTACCTGTTTTCATTAAATTATCTGTTCAGGCTGGGCGCAATGGCTCACGCCTGTAATGCCAGCACTTTGGGAGGCCAAGGCGGGTGGATCTCCTGAGGTCGGGAGTTTGAGACCAGCCTGGCCAACATGGTGAAACCCTGTCTCTAATAAAAATACAAAAATTAGCCAGGCGTGGTAGCCTGCACCTGTAATCCCAGCTACTCAGGTGGCTGAGACAGGAGAATCACTTGAACTCGGGAGGTGGAGGTTGCAGTGAGCTGAGATTACGCCACTGCAACTCCAGCCTGGGCACCACAGATTGGGACTCAGTCTCAAACAAAAATAAATAAATAAATAAATAAGTTATCTGTTCATATTGTGCCTACTTTTATCAGAGCTTACAGTTTTATATCTGTATGAAGTGTTCTTATATTTGGGACAATGATTTTGCTAGCTTATTTACATTTAAATTTTCTTTGTACTTTTACTTTACATTCAAGTATTTGATGTTTATATTGAGTCAAATCTGTCCATCCTTTCCTTTGTGATTTTTTTCCCATTGCTGTAATGCTTAGGGTATATTTTTATAGAGCAATAATAAATATTTTAGTGTTAATTATATTCTTGCTGCCCAAATTAAAAAAGACTCTCTTTTTTTGTGGAAAAGAGTGGAGAAGGAAGAGTGTTGATTCGTTCCAAAGAGAATTTAATAGTAGTAACAGTTATTACTACTGTAACTGTTAATGAAAAAGATTGTGTGTGTGTGTGTGTGTGTGTGTGTGTGTGTGTGTGTTTCTTAAGAGTTCTGTTAACATCAAGACTGTTCCTTGACTTTCTCCTTAGGGTCAGGTATAGTTAAAAGGTAAAATAATATTAAGCAAAACATTGTTATTTTTACAAAAGACTAAATGGGCTAAAGATACCCTCTAGTGGAAGGTTAGTAGGTCCTTCTCTACAATCAAACTGACAGCACAGAAAATCTAGTATCCCTCAATTTTATAAAATGCTCTACATATTCAATTGTTATATGGGACTTTTGCTTTTTTATGAATAATAGGATCAATAACAGAGTTAAGAAATTAATTTCCTCATAGTTCATATGTTCTTTTTGAAGGGATTTTGTTTACTTTGATTGCTTCCAAGATGCATTATCCTATAAACAACAACAACCAAATTATCATGGTAACCAAATTCTATTTTCTCTGTTCAAAAAAGATATTAGTTATTCAATCTACTCTTTCTGGTAAGCTTATACAAGTAAATATTGGCATGTTCAATATATAATCTGAATGTGTTATCAGAATCTGCTTTAATGTTACGAAAAATTGCTTTAATATTATGAAAGAAAATATTTTGCAAAGTCATCAACATAACTAATGTCAAAATAAATACCTAAAAAAGGATGAGCGAAATGCTTATTTTATGACTTTCAGGGTTAATGTTCTTGAAAAAGAGATTTCTCTGTAGAGTTCTTGAAAAAGAGATTACTCTGTAGCCTTAGAGGCTACCCCAGCATCTTGTTCATAGTGGAAATCAATAAACATTACTGGTAGGAGAGGAGACAAGTTATTTCCTAATCATCTGATGTAAAATCTCTTTTGGATAAATTATTAAGATGATTGGAGTGGCAAGATATCTGTAAAATGCTAAAGTTCATTGCTTCACTTATTTAAAATATCCTATAAGATTCACACATAGACAGCCCCTTTGTTATGACAAAAGTACAAATAGTACTGAAGTACAATAGTAAAAGCATGGCCTTTTCAATAAATTGTTCTGGGGCAATTGGATACCTATATGGACAAGAAAGGAATCTTAGCTTCTGCATCACACCATATACAAAAATCAACTCCAGGTTGATCGTAGATCTAACTGTGAAAGGTGAAACAGCAAAGCTTCTGGAAGAAAACATGAACAGCTAGGGGATGGCAACTATTTCTCAAACAGGGCACAAAAAGCACTAACCATAAAGGAAAAGATTGCCACATTGGACTAAATGAAAATTGATAGCTGCTTTACATAGAAAACACTGTTAAGACAGTGAAAAGGCAACTCATTCACTAGGGGAAGATATTAGCAATACATATATTCAATTAAGGACTCTTATGACGAGTATGTGAAGAATTCCTACAAATCAGTAAGAATAAAACAGTAGATAAATGGGCAAAAGACTTAATAGGGACTTCACAAAAAAAGACATTCTAGTGACCAATACACTGATGAAAATGTGTTCAGCTTCTTTGACTAAGAAAAGTAAATTCATATCACAATGTGACCACTACAAATAGAGGTGTGCTGGTAAATGTTTAACAATGGGGCTTTCCAGAGGGGAAAGAAAGGTGTGTATGCATGTAGCACAAATTTACAAATAATAATAAAACATACAATACCCTTTATGGTAAATTCCATATAGCCAGTAGCCAGTTAATTCTTCTTCTTCTTTTTTTGTTTTGTTTTGTTTTGTTTTGTTTTGTTTTGAGACAGAGTCTTGCTCTGTCGCATAGGCTGGAGTGCAGTGGCACCACCATGGCTCAATGCAGCCTCAACCTCCTGGACTCAAGCAGTCCTCCCGCCTCAGCCTTCCCAGAAACTGGGACCACAAGTACGAAGCACTGTGCCCAGCACTGGGGGTCTCACCATGTTGCCCAGGCTGATCTTGAACTCCTGGACTCAAGTGATCTTCCTGCCTTGACATCCCAAACTGTTGGGATTATAGGCATGAGCCACAGTACCCGGACTGCCAGTTGATTCTTAAAGATGTTTTTGTTGATTTTTGCTGAACCCTTGTGTCTGTATCTAAAGTTGCAATTCAACCATGCTTTTACAAATTTTTATTTATGCTAGCCACAACATATCAACTACAAACATGGCACTTTAGAGTTTAATCTGCATTATTAACATTTTCTGTATCACTTTCTTAAGTCTGCATAAATCAACAAAATAATAAATTAAGCCTTGAAATTAGTAGCATTTCATAGTTTCTGTGGTGTAAATACTCCATTGCGGCCATTGTCAAGTTAGCCACGTGACATTGCTGGAGGGATGCAGAACAGCACACCGTGGTGTGGCATTTCCACAACACAGACATGGTTGATGTAAGTAACCTTAAGAGCACAGATAATAGACAAATATAGCGTGGAGGCGATGAATTTCAGATACTTATTACCTTTGTAATATATAATATATAATATAAATAAGTTGTATTATATATTATTTAACAAATATATTGTATATATATTTTGTGTATCTCTATATTATATATAGTAACATATAATATATAATATAACTTATTTAAATTTATATAATTTAATTTTTAATAATGTGTTTAACAACCAGCTCACAGAATTCCTGAAAATGTAAGCATTGGTTCCTTAGGGCCAGTATGAGCCAACTCTCACACACCATTCAACCTACCAAAATGAAAAGATAGCCCATACTAAGTGAGGCCATATGACCTGACAATTCAATTCCTAGATATATATCCAACAGAAACATACAAATATATTCACCAACAATGTGTACAAGAATGTTCATAGCAGCACTATTTGTAATAGCCTTGAAATGCAAGCAACCCAGAAGTTCATCAATAATAGAATAAAGTATGATCTACCCAAAACAAGAATGAACAAACTATTGTTACATGTACCAATATGGATGAGTATCATAAACATAATGTTGAGTGAAATAAGTCAGACCCAAAGATATACATGATGTATGTTTGTATTTATATAAAGTTCAAAATAGGCAAAAGTAATCTATAGTATGAAAGTCAGGATAGCAGCTCCTCTTGGGGTCAGAGTCCAAGGGGGCATCCAGTGTCCTGGTTATGTTCATTTTCTTATTTTGGTAGTTACAAGTATTTCTAGTTTGTGAAAATTTATTAAACTGTAAAATTTAAGATCCGTGCACTTTTCTGTGGTTGTTACATTTCAATGGTTCACTTTAAAACACTTAAAGCACCACTGCTTAAATTTAAAAAAATAAAACTGACCTAGGCCGGGCACGGTGGCTCATGCCTGTAATCCCAGCACTTTGGGAGGCCGAGGCAGGCGAATCACGAGGTCAGGAGATCGAGACCATCCTGGCTAACACGGTGAAACCCCGTCTCTACTAAAAATACAAAAAATTAGCCGGGCATGATGGTGGGTGCCTGTAGTCCCAGGTACTCGGGAGGCTGAGGCAGGAGAATGGCGTGAACCCGGGAGGCGGAGCTTGCAGTGAGGCAAGATCGCGTCGCTGCACTCCAGCCTGGGTGACAGAGCGAGACTCCATCTCAACAAATAATAATAAAATAAAATAAAACTGACCTAAATGACAATTCCAAGCTTTTAGCTTGGAATGTTACTTTTTAAGCAAGTAAGCTAATTTAATTACATCTGAAGGAGTAGAAGAGTAAAAACCAGTAGGTTAAGTAACGGGGTACCATTATTTCACCGTGAGACCCAGTACAAAAAATTTTATTCCTTTCGTGACTCAGTCTTTTCTAACACAAAACAGCAGTATTGGTGGGCTATACAAACCAGAAAATGGTTGAAAGAAAAATCTTACCAAATATCTTCATTAATCTTAAAAATTTCAGTACAGAATTAATGACAGATAAAAAGAAAATAAAAGAAAAAATGAATCCAAAAATAGCTAAACTTTTCATGCATCTAAATTACATCAGAAAATAATGTATCTAATACAATTCTACATTTTCCACATACGAAATTAATGATAAGAATGAAATAGCTTTTTAAAAAGTTTTCAAAGACATAATGTCTTCATTTTTTTTTCTTTCGGCCTGAAGCCACAGAGAGAAAACAGCTGCAAGCTAATAAAATGGCGAGGAAAGGAGTGCTTCTTAGTAAAAGTTATGGTTAAATGGTTAAACGAACGGTAGAAATGGAGTGAGGAACCCATCACCCATAAACTCAGTAGAAGGGAAGGAGTAGGTTTCTGCTGAGTAGGAGTGAATTTAACATTATATATTGCAGATAAAAATATTTTCCCGAGATTATTAATTCCCCTAGATCTAGACCTAGGTTTTCAAGTTAGTAACAATTTACTTCTGAAGGATTTCTCCCTTCATATAGAGCACACCAAAATATTACATACAAAAGGACATTAGCCACTGTTACCACACAAAGATCTCCTCTTCTAGAAGCTTTCTGCTACAGCATATTTCACATTTCATATATTTTATGCCTGTTTTGCCCTAGACATTCCATCCTATGTGAGTTACTTGGCAGAATTTAGTTTAAGGATATGTGGAAATGTCTAAAACAGTAATCATGTTAGATGGATGTGTAAGAAAGAAAGCCTTTCTTCAGGGTTAGCCTTACATTTTGGTCAAGGATGAGAACCATTGCTGGACATCAGCTTGTCAATAAATCTACCTATCTCCTTTGAAAGGAGTCTTTAATCAGCAATCAAAGGTCATAGAATTATGGTAGATATTTGACTCAGCACATATAACATTTTGACAAATATAAAAAATTGGTTCAAATTGACTGAACAGCCAAAGACATTACTTGGGTAAATCAAACAAGGTTTACATATCTGAATGTGCAGCACGAAGTCAGAGCAGTTAGGATATGTAGCAAAGAGATCAGCTCTTAATCTTTATTAACAGACAGAAGTGCTTACACTCGAGAATCCCTCCGATGGGCCACATCAGCAGATACACAACTGAGGATAGTAAGTTTGAGCAAGTGATGCTCACATTAGACCTTTTGAAGGTCAACTGCCCCTTCAGACCTAGTCTTACATGCATGATGCTAAAGACTGCGCCCTAGCCAGGTGTATCTAATTCATTGCAGAGTATACATGATATACAGTACACGTGCAGGAATAGGTAACAGAGTACTTGTATGCCTAAATAAACTTCTTAGTCTTTACTCTCAACCTCTCCAAGCTAAAGCAGCTTGGGCCAGATATGACCCTCAATACCATGCTGTGAAGTTAAAGCAAGCATCTATTCCCCAGATGGCCCTGGGAGTCATGGTAATGCACCCTTGGACCAGCTCTAAGACCTAATCTGCAGGCCTAGATTTACTCATTTTGGCAACAAATATGTATGAGAATCATGAGTTAGAAGAAGAACAAAAAAAGGTTGTGCAAAATATCTTCCCCAGTCATTGACTGTCCAATTACATAGTCATTTAGCATAAAAAGACAATTCTATATCATTATTTTGTATGCTGTTTTGTTGTGTTTGTTTTTACCTTCTAAATCTATGCATTGAGATATGAAGAGATTTATATCTAGCCATCTTTCATCACTTTAAGGCATCCTTTCATCAGGTGAAATGCTTATTTGCTTTGGACATGTCCTGCCTTTCAACCCAGTTTTGAATGATTGGATGCCAAGTTGTAGTGTCTCAGTGGAATCTCAACACTTCGGGCCTAACAATGGATTAATTCATAATATCTGAGCCTGCATAATAATGCTAGAAGTTACACATTTCTGCCTAAAGCTTAGCCTACCTTAACTACTCTTTCATGATGAAACTCTTCTGCATCCGGGGTCACTCTGCTGAGGCAGAGAGCTGATTTGGATCAGGACACAGGCTCAAACCCTGGCTTTACCACCTGCTAGCTTTGTAATCTCTTTTAAGTCCCATAGACTTTGAGCTTTGCTTCTTTCATCAGTAAAATGGGATTGAATCTACCTCATAAGTTTATAGGACAGTTGAGATGTTTGTAAACTTGTAAAGAACAGTGCCTGACACATAGTCTATGTTCAATAACTATCAATTGAGTCTAAATCTGACAGATGTAGTCTGTTGGAATTTACCATGTGTAAACATTTATTGTCTATAATCTTTACTGCCAATGATGGCTTTCATTTAAAAAATCTCTAAATTTCAGCAATAAATTAATTGCTAGAATTTTAGAGGATGGGTTTGTTGTATCCTGAGTAGAAATAAAAATTCTTGCAGCTAAAAGCATTTCCTTGTATGTGAAATTAAGGCTTGTGACTACATGCCAAGCAATTCACAAATAAGTATCTTATTCTGGGCTGCCACTTACCCTCTTGGAAGCTTTCTGAGAAAATTAATGAGTTTACCCCAAAATTTGTGGAATTCAAGTAAATTTTCACTGGGCTGTTTGATTGCTCACTCTGTTGGGTGGATTATAGTTTATTGGAGGGGGGCCATAGTTGACAGTGCAGCTGATGTACCAAGAAATAGGGAAAGAAAATCACCCCAAATAGGTATTAAGATTTTAATTGGTTTCACAAGGCACTCGGCAGACTCTATTCAGGAGCTAATGATGAATTTTAAAGAAATACCAGAAGAATGCCATCATAACCATTTAGGGATTTCTATTTTACATTCATAAATATTAATTGGACCCATTACCACTGTCTAAAAATGGTCTGATAAATATTTACGAAGAACAGCCGGCTATTAGATGTCTTAACCTAGTGCTTCCAACTGTGTTAATTTTGGCAATGAATGTGCAAATTACTAAGATTGTTTGGGGATTCTAAACTTCGAAAAGCAACGGTGGGGGAGTAGGAGGACATTATTTAAAAATTAGCAAGAAAGGGAGAGGCCAGCAGAAAGCACTGGCTCAACTCTTTCTTCATCTCTAGTTATTGCCCATTCTCCTTCAACTGCTCATATGATCTAGGCCCTGCTGACTAGATCTGCATGCCTTGAACTTCTGAGCTAATATGCAAAGAAGCAAGGACGGGGCGCCATACAGTGGCCATATAGTGGCCCCAGTGGAGCAAGGGATGTTGTGCTAGCAGCAGTAGATGGTGCCCGTGGTGCATGCAGTCTGTAGCATGTATCCTGCAAGGGTGATGTCTGCGTGGCCTTGACTGGATGACTTGGCTCTGCTGTGTGATTTTGGGTGCTATTCCTGGCTGCAAGCCCCTGAGTCTTGTTGTTCAACCCTTCTTAGGATTATGGGGGCTACCAAAAGCATATTTATGAATTCCTTCAGCTAAATAAGCCAGAATCAGTTTCTCTTGCTTTAACTAAGAACATTATGTGATAGAATGATTAACTAAACTTTTAAAAAGCGAACTGTTAGGCTTAAAAAATTCCCATGGATTGGATTTGATGCATGGTGCACCAAATTTGAAACCTCCCTGATAAATTATAAGTTCCTTCATATATAAAGTGGGAGAAGAGAAAATATAAACAGAGCCCATACTAATTAGGTTTCTTCATTTTTTTCTCCTACTTATCAAAGTATTACATCATTTTATCTTTTAAAAATTGTAATTTTAGCAGAGAAATTTTAATAAAGTAATTCTTTAACAGAGTATTATAGGTTCAGGGAAAAGGTAGGGATCAAGGGTGGAATGGCTAGTGCATAGGGCACATCTAGTTTGCCTTAGATCTTGACACACCATAGTACCTGTAACAAGCTGGCTGGAAAATGCATATTTCATAGTACCTAAGACAATAGCTCTCCTGGGGAGAAAGAGCAATGTCTTTCCTTTAGACACAAAGGAACCTTTTTCCTTTCCTTCTTTTAATACTCATACCAATCAGTAAATTTCTACTTTGGACAAAACATTGTGCCAGCAGTCTGGAGAAAATTAAAGAAGTGTGAGTCACCTGACTGACCTTAAAGAAAATACATTTGTTCATTCATTTGTTCGTTCATTTATTTTTCAAATGTTTATTACATTCTACTAGACCCTACAGATTGAAAGATGTACAAGGTATGTCCTTGTCCTCTGGGGCTTATGGTTAATAGGTATTATTACAATTTACCTGACTAAAGACCTATGTGGCCTCATGATACACAGGAGCCTATAAGATATGTTTATTAGATTATTTATTTACTTTTAGTTAACATTTTAAGCATGTACAAACAATCACCATAACCTATTGGATTTTTTTTTGTTAAAAAAATTAGTATTCACTTCTGTGTCTTGAGCCCACAGATATAAGCAGTATATAATCAGAAAGTTATAAATAAACTCAGATTATATAGGGAAAGGTGTGCTCCTAAAAACGACACATACATTAATTAAAAGGATGCATCTAAAATTATGACCAAACTATCTTTAGAAGGCAGAAATGTAAAATTATACCTTTAAAAATGAAGACATCATTTATATACTTCAAAAATAAAATGTGATATAGCAGAGATGAATGATCGCTATAGGATTGTATTGGTTTAAGAGAACACGATTTCTAAAAAAAAAATTATCGTTGAAAATATATTACCTGTAAGAATGTGAAAGAAATCTAGTAAGAATTTAGGGGAAAAATTATGAAGTCAAAAGCCAATTACCTTAATATTTTTCTTATTCCTAAACAATAAGAACAACATTAAAGGAAAACTATCTTGCATTTTAATTGTCTATCTGGCATTAAGGAAGTTCTGCAAAAATGTAATACAACTGAAAGGCTTCAATTCCAAATTAAAAATCTTCTAGGCTCAGATTAAAATGTGGACTGTTCCATATGAAAAATAATAAAGATGTAATTGGCTTACTGGATAGAATAAAAACTTTCTTTGAAGTTTGGAATGACTAAATTCAATTTCTCTGAATATTTCTTTGTATTGTTTTCTCCCAGCGATGCAAATTATATTAAATATAATAGCTTACAAAGTTATTGTCTATAAAACACTTGTATCTTTTGTAATTCAGATACAAAGAAAACCACCTTGTGTTAATGATATATGCATTTTCACTAACATTTAACATGACAGATATCTCATCACTTTTCCACTAAAATCAGTATAATATTTTTGTTCTATCAGTACTGAATTTAAAAAATCTTGGCTGGGCGCGGTGGCTCATGCCTGTAATCCCAGCACTTTGGGAGGCCTAGGAGGGCAGATCACGAGGTCAGGAGGTCGAGACCAGCCTGGCTAATATGGTGAAACCCCGGCTCTACGAAAAATACAAAAATTAGCCGGTCGTGGTGGTGTGTGCCTGTAGTCCCAGCTACTCAGGAGGCTGAGCAGAAGAATCGCTTGAACCCGGGAGGCAGAAGTTGCAATGAGCTGAGATCAGGCCACTGCACTCCAGCCTGAGTGACAGAGCAAGACTCTGTCCCCCCCAAAAAAAAAAAAAAATATATATATATATATATATAAAATAAAAATAATGACATTAGAAACAAAGAACCATGATTTTATTTAGTGATTCAATATATTTTAAACCTCTTACAAAAGAGAAGGCCTATGAACAGAATGTAGAATTTCTTGAAGTTTAAATGTTGAAGAACTCCAAAAAGTAAATCCAAGCAACTAATTTAGCAGCCTGGGAGGAGGTTAAAGACGCTTAACTATGTTAAGACCTGAGTCAGAATCTGGGCTTCCCTTTTTTCTAGGTACTTTACCTTTACTAAGTAACAACTTCTCTGAGCTTTTTCCTTTTTTGAGATGGAGTCTCACTGTGTCACCCAGACTGGAGTGCAGTGGAGTGATCTTGGCTCGCTGCAACCTCTACCTCCCAGGCTCAAGTGATCCTCCCACCTCAGCCTCCCCACCAAGTAGCTGGGACCGCAGGCATGCCCACCACACCTGGCTAATTTTTTGTATTTTTGGTAGAGACAGAGTTTCACCATGTTGCCAAGGCTGGTCTCGAACTCCTGAGCTCAAGCCATCCGCCCACCTCAGCCTCCCAAAATGCTGGGATTACAGGCATAAGCCACTGTGCCCAGCCTTCTCTGAGCTTTAGTTATTTCACCTGTCAAGTGGGGACTAATACCCACTTCCAGAATTGTTGTGAAAATTCAGTCATGTGTGTAAGGTGTCTGGCATGCAGTAAGTAACTGAACAAAACTTATTTCTTATCTCTTTTTTCACTTTTTGAGCTCTAGTTGGGAAGATAAGCTATAAACCTATGAAAAGGTAATGAAAAATCCAAGAGTTAAGTCACAATTCACAGGCACTGAGGTGGCTGGAGAAGATGATCTCTAAAGCCCGTTGCAGCTCTAAACATTGATTATTCTATGACAGCTGTATGAGAAGCGTCAGGGGGCAGTGGATGATGAATTGGCAATTGGAAGGTGTGGACAGTAAGTGCTCTTAGGTCAAAGAGGGGAGCCACTGCCTTGGGCTGGAATGGTTTAGGAAAACCATTAAAAAAAATTCTGAGCTGGCTGAACTACAACAAAAACTCAATTCAATTAGGAGAGTGACTGGCAAGAGTCTGATTAGAATACAAATTCAGACCAAGCTAAGGAGAATAAGAAACAAAATACTGGTGAGAAAGGAAAAGGCAGAATCAGCAATTTGGTTTCTGAAACAGACAAAGACTATTAAGTAGCTATCATGCTTCTCACCCTTATAACAGTCTTAAAAGGCGGGCAAAGTATATTAGCCCTGCTGGAATCTCCTTTGAGTGTCAGCATCTGTTAGCAACAAATAATAGAAAACCTGGCCATCAGTGGCTTAAACAAAGTCTTTTTTTTTTCCCTTAACTAGAAAAAACCTAAAGGTAAACAGTCCAGAGTTGGTGCCTCTGCATAATGACACTGTCAAGGCTCTTTCTTGCTCTTTCTAGCTAGGCTCTTTCTGGGTCTCTGTCTCACCATTGTTAGAATGATGGCATTTGCACTTATATTTTTGTTGCCTTATGCTCATTTGATGGCTGGTATACCTCTGGGTTTGTACCCCATACTGAAAAGAGACAGAAGGGCAAAGGAGCAGAGAATGTGGGCAGGTGGCATACCCATGAGTCTGAGCCTTTTTATTAAGAGAGTTAAAGCTTTCCTGGAAAGTTGCCTGGGAATTGCAAGACTTTCTCTTGAAATTTTCCTCTGGCCAAAATTGTGTCTCATGGCTGCCCACAGTGGGAGAAAGGGGATGTGGATAGGATTAATCAGCCAACCCACACTGGAGACAAAATTGCTGAGGCCTTGTAAAATAATTAGTACAAAAGATAAAACCAGGGAATTGTCTTCCTTAATCAGGAATTTTCAACTCATTTAAAAAATTAAACTTTTTAAAAATTTTGAAATAATTTTAGATTCAAATGCAATTGTAGAAAATAATATGGAGAGATCATTTTCCTCTAATAATAACATCTTATAAACTATAGTACAATGTAACTACTGGGATATTGACATGGACAGAGCTAAAATACAGAACATTTCCATCACCATAAAGATTCCTCATATTACCCATTCATAGATATAGCTCTCATACCCCCGTCCCTTCGTAATTTCTGGCAACCACTAATCCATCCCCCTTTTCTATGAATTTGTCTATTCAATAACTTTATATAGGCCAGGCACAGTGGCTCACCCCTGTAATCCCAGCACTTTGGGAGGCTGACGAGGGTGGATCTCTTGAGTCCAAGAGCTTGAGACCAGCCTGGACAACATGGCGAAACCCATATCTACAAAAAAAATACAAAAATTAGCTGGGCATGGTATTGCATGCCCGTAGTTCCAGCTACTTGGGAGGACTAGGTGGGAGAGTCACTTGAGCCCAGGAGGTGAGGTTGTAGTGAGCAGAGATTGCATTCCTGCACTCCAGTATGGGCGACAGAGTGAGGACTTGCCTAAACAAACAAACAAACAAACAAAAGAATTCGTGGTAGGGATGTACTGCAGTTTGTTTAACCATTCACCCACTGAAGGATATCTGAGTTGTTTCCAAGTTGTTTCCAGCTTTTGACTATAATGGATAAAGCTGCCACCCTCTTCATGTACAGTTTTTTATGTGCAAGTTTTCATTTCACTGGGATAAATACCTAGGGGTATAATTGCTAGGTCATATGGTAGTTGCATGTTTAATTTTATAAGAAACTGCCAAATTTTTTCTAGAGTTGCTCTACCATTTTACATTTTTGCCAGCAGTGAATGAGTGATCCAGTTCTCTGTATTCTTGCCATTTGGTGTTATCAGTATTTTTTATTTTAGCCATTCCAATAGAGGCAGTGATATTTTATTGTGTTTTTAATCTGTATACCTCTCATGACTAATATTGTTGAACATCTTCATGTATGCTTGACTTCTATATACATTCTTCAGTGGAATGTTGTCATATCTTTTGCCAATTTTCTAATTGGGCTGCTTGATTTTCTGTTAAATTTTGAGAGTTCTTTATATCTATTTTATTAATAGATACTAGTTCTTTGTTGAATACAGTTTGCACATATTTCTGCTACTCTTTGGCTTGTCTTTTTATCTTCTTAACAGGGCCTTTAACAGAGCAAAAGTTTTTAATTTTAATGAACTCCAACTTGTCAGTTTTTCTTTTGTGGATCTTGTTTCCGAAGTCAGGGCTTAGCACTCTTTGCCTAGTTCTAGATTGTAAAAATGTTCTTTTTTTTTTCTAAAAGTTTTCTAGTTTTACATTTTGCTTTAAATTCATGATCCATTTTGAGTTAATTTTTATCTAAGATGTGAGACTTAGGTTGAAGTTTATTATTTTCCCTCTGTATGTCCACTGGCTATAGTTGAAAAGGCTATCTTTACTGACTTGGCTTGGCAGTTTTGTCAAAATCCATTGAACACTGGTTTGGAGGGTCTTTTTCTGGGTTCCCTATTCTCTTCCACTGATGTGTGTCTATCCTTTCACCAATTCCAAACAATCTTGATTACTGTAGTCCCATAATAAGTCTTAAAACTAAGTTGAATAATTTTTCCCACTTTTTTTTAAAATTGTTTTAGGTGTTCTAGTTCCATTACTTTCCCATATAAATTTTAGAATAATCTTCTGTACATTTACAAAAAACTCTTGCTAGAATTTTGATAGGAATTGCATTAAAATGACATCAAATTTAGGAGAATTGACATCTGTGATGGTTGATATTAGGTATGAACTTGATTGGATGGAAGGATGTGTAGATGGCTGGTGAAGTATTGCTTCTGGGTGTGTCTGTGAGGGTGTTGTCAGAAGAGACTGACATTTGAGTCAGTGGCCTGGGAGAGGGGAAGAACAACCTTCAGAGTGGGTAGGAACCATGCAATCTGCTGCCAGTGGCTGGAACATAGACAGAAGAAGAGGGATGAGTAGCTCGCTTGCTGAGTCTGCTTGGGCTCTCTCTCTCCCGCTGTGTGGTGCTGGACACTTGACTTCCTCTCCTCCTGCCCTTGGACATCAGACTCAACCTTCGGACTCTGAGACTTGCATAACAAGTGTCATTATAATCCTCCAGCATGAATGTCAACACAGACCTTAACTCTGATAAGAAACATGTACAATCTATTCTCTCTAAAGCCTGCTACTTGGACGCCTCATCTCCCTGGTAAAACCTAGGTCTCCACAACACCTTATTGTAATCCAGATATTCCTTTCTATTGATAAAAACTTTTTCAACCAATTGCCAATCAGAATATGTTTAAATCTACCTATGACCTGGAACCCCCCGCCACTGCCACCACCCTGCTCCCCACGACCTCTCTTCAAGTTGTCCTGCCTTACCAAATGGAACCAATGTAAATCTCACATGTGTTGATTGATGTATTATGTTTTTCTAAAATGTATAAAAGCAAGCTGTTCACCTTGTGAACATGTCGTCAGGACTTCCTGAGGCTGTGTCATAGGTGCGTCCTTAACCTTGGCAAAATAAACTTTCTAAATTGAGACTTGTCTCAGATACTTTTTGGTTTAAAACTTACTGATTGAGAATCCAAAATCTGAAAACCCCAAATCTGAAATGCTTCAATGAGCATTTCCTTTGAGTGTCATGTTAGTGTTCAAAAAATTTCAGATTTTGAAGCATATTGGATTTTGGATTTTTGGATTATGGATTAGGGATACTCAACCTATACATAGTGTTATTCTCCCCCATCACTAACATGTAAAAGTTAGAGGTTGTTCAGTGATTACATCTTTTAAAAATTATAATAAAATATTATAAATTCAGTCTCATATTTTGGAATTTGTAATAATGGAGAAATTGTACAAGTATTATTATCGTAATTTTATTTCATCTTTTCTATTGTATTTGCTGGGATTCTATGTTAACATATTATTTGTACTTTTAAAACTTTTTGTTGAAGGAAATACACAGGCAGAAATAGGCACAGATTATAATGTATAGCTGAATGAATCTGTTACAGTGGTAATTAGGCAAGAGCTGGACAGGAGAGGGCTTCCCCTACCCACCAGGAATGTCAGGCAACCATCAGGTGATGGTCTGGCAGTTGTCACATCACCTTTCTAAAAATAATAATTGGTTGCAGGCACCAGGGAGAGGCAATTTCCCAATGGATAAAAACACTTGAAATTGGTAATCAACAACTTCCAATAAAATCTCAGGAATTGGGCGAGTGGGCTTGAGTATGTACATTGAAAGGTAAAATGGCAGACTTTAACTGGTTATATGACCTTCCGGGAGCATTCCACCGGAAAAGGGAAAAAAGCCTCAGGTGGCCATGCATACAACTTCTTAAACACACTGCACCTGCTCATCTCTCAAGCGCAAGGACAGCATCATGCATGTGGGCTGCCCACTCTAAGGGAAGAATCATGAAAAAAGGAATGCGGAGACACCCGAAATATGCCAACATATAAAACCCCAAGTCAAAAGGTCAAACACCACATTTGACCTCCACAGTTCTTGCCTGGGTCTCTTCCAAGTGTACTTTCCTTTCTTTCCTGCTCTAAAGCTTTAAAATAAACTTCTACTCCTGCTCTGAAACTTGCTTCAGTCTCTTTTTCTGCCTTATGCCCCTCAGTCAAATTCTTTCTGCCGAGAAGGCAAGAATTGAGGTTGCTGCAGACCTGTATCTATTTGCCACCAGTAACTCAGATATTCACTACCCCTAACAAATTTTACAAAGTGAACACTAAATTTTTATTTCATTTACTAAATGATGTCTTTATATTGTAAATTAAGGGTGAAGCAGAATCGCAGGTGTAATGTTTCAAATTTGATACATTGGCTGTTTCAGATACAAACCATTTCTTATTGCTTCACTCAATTCCTATTAAGGATCTTCACCAGAGAATAACAGGGCCTACAATCATTATAGTATTTTGCAGTTTACTAAACACTTCTATGTACCTTATCTCAGTCAATTCTCATAACAATTTTCTGAGGTAGGGATTATTACATAGTTTTAGAAAGGAGGAAAGGAGCTTTTAGAAAGGCTCAGAGTGGTAAAGCAAATCCTTAGGGTCACAGAATCTATCAGTCACAAATCTCAGACTTGAAACAAGGACTTTAGAGTCCATGTCTTCCACCGACTCTCCTAGGCATACTGCTTTCTACATGGCGCATGCTGTGGCTGTGAGGTACTGCCCAGATCCCCCTCAAGGAATGAAGTACTTATCCCACAACAGCAGGGAGTGCTGCTGGCAGAAAGCCCTCAGTTTCATCTACTTCTGGGACTGCCTTGGCTGAAGAGAGAAATATCACCCAATGCTATGTCCTTTTCCTGGGACAGTCACATCCAATGACTCATCGATGAGCAAAGTCCCCCTCGGGAAAACTCAGAATGGTCATTTCAGCTTCAGAGCTTCCCACAGGGTTAGCTGAGGCTTCCACTAGACTGCACGGCAGCACAGCTCCCTTCTGCCCAATGGTGCTTCTGCCCTTCTATTCCACAGGTGTTGATTCTAAGAGGATACCCTAATACACCTCCCCTGCACTAATCTCCAATATTATCTTGATATCCCCAAATGTGCTATCACATTTGATAGTGTGAAAAATATCACAGTATGCATTTGAAAGTTCTGTGTAGAATTTCATTATTTCATTGATTAGCAGATTTTTTTTTTTTTTTTTGAGACAGGGTCTCCCTTTTTCACCCAGGCTGGAGTGCAGTAGTGCAATCTTGGCTCACTGTAGCCTTGACCTCCTAAGCTCAAGTGATCCTTCTGCCTCAGTGTCCTGAGTAGCTACGACTACAGGTGCATACCACCATGCCTGGCTAATTTGATTGTTTTATATTTATTTTTTATTTTTTAGAGGTGGGGGTCTCAACATGTTGTCCAGGATAACCTGGCCTCAGTCGATCCTCCCACCTTGGCCATCCAAAGTGTTGGGATTACAGGCATGAGCCATTATGTTCGGCCAGGAATTCCATTTTAATACCATGGTTAAACACATAGAAATGAAGTTTGTAAACATATACTAAGGCTTAGATTTGAATACAGATAGATATCCTCAGTGCAAGGACTATGGGAGCTGAAAATAATCTCACCTATTATTTTCAGGTGAGATTTGAGGTTAAATAAAAAGTGCAAAGTGAGTTTCCCTCTGGTATTGTTTGCCAATATTATCCCACTCAGTCCAATCCTAGCAAGCTCATTCAGGCTCATGAGAGAGGTAGTTGAAATCAAGAACTTACTTTTGACATCTGGAAATCTTAGTGGTGGGGGCTGGCAGATGAAGAGAGAAATATAGGTGCCTTCTACTACAGAAGTATTTCATTTATCAAAAGGTTGTGGATAGGAATAGACGGCCTCAGCCTCAGAAGGGGAGGTAGGCTGCTATGGTGAGGGTCTGGGTTCAGAAACAAACTGTATTTCACGTCCCAGTTCTATCAATTATTTGCTATAGGACTTTCAACAAATTGCCTAATCTAATCCAGCCTCATCTGTAATATGTAAGGTCCATGAGGGCAGGGACCATATCTGTGCTGTTATTATCATACATCAAGTGCTTAAGAAGCCTGGTATTCAGAGCCAAATCAAATAATTGTAGAAGGAATGTGTTAAAAAATGAGCAGCCTTTGACATTTAGAAGCTGGTCTGGTACTTGCAGCTATGCCATAATATTTTCCTATTAGACAGAAATAATTTCACAGAATACTAAACTCAGACAAGATTACTCTGAAACCATGATAAAATGAGGCAAAGAAGGTCACTTCATAATTTTGTCTAAGCACAGACCAAAATAAGTTCACTATGCCACCCACAAAATACCAAACATTCCCTTTCTTCACCAAAATGAGTGACTGCTACTTCTTTGCTAATTGCAGCTTTATCCTCCTGCTTCCCTTTGTGTAAATAAGATTTACTGAGACATCCAATCACAGAATTGCCCCTGCTTTCTGACAGCATCCAATCTATAGAAAAACCTCTATTTTCTTAGGGCCTCCCCGAAAACACCCGCCCAAAGCCCCAATCCTATGATAGGTTTGTTCTAAACACCCTCTTACTGAGATACCCAAAGGGTATCCATGGTGAGTGTCTGGGCTCACTTCGAAGAGTAATAAATAGACAGAAGCTGCTTAACTACAGCTGTGTTCCTAGTGGTGTTTGGTTGAGGGCATAGGCAGTGTGAATAGAAAAAACGGGGAGAAAAACACTGTCTCTTCAGAGTTGTGGTGGGTATTAAATGGATAATTAATTTACCAATATATATTGAGGGTCTGTTTTGTGTCAGCTGCTGTGCTAGGTGCACCAAGAAGAACAAGACCCGAATTGCTCTCCAGGGTTTTGAAACTGCTGGGCATGCAGAGTAGAAAATTTATGATCCAATTCAAAGCACTATTATAGAGGCATATACCTCGTATAAAGGTGTTATCATAGAACCATATATACAGAAGGAGCATGTAACTCCTCTGGCCCTTAGGGACCGAAGGAGTCAGAAAAGAGAGGATGTATGGTGGACAGGATAATGGCTCTGCAAAGATGTCCTATTCCCTGAAATCTGTGAATATATTACCTAACATGGCAAACGAACTTTACAGATGTGATTAAATTTCTTGAGATGGAGAGATTATTCTGGATTATTTGGTTGGGCCCAGTGAAATCACAAGTGTCCTTGTAAGAGGGGTGCGGGGGGGTGGGGGTGAGAAAAGGAGACTCTGACTGCAAAATGATGTGGGACCACAAGCCAAGGAATGTGGGCAGCGTGTAGAAGTTGGAAAGGGCCAGGGAATGGATTTTCTCCTGGAGCCTCCAGAGTCAGCCCTCACCATCTATTTAGACCTGTAGCTTCCAGAACTGGAAGAGAACAAATTTGTGTTTTCTAAGCCAACTAAATCAGTGATAATTTGTTAGAGCAGCACTAGGAAACTAATTCAGGCTTAATCTTTAGTGCCGAGTCCCGGGTAGAAGCAAAGGAAGACTATTTTCTGTGAGGACCTGCCAGTTGGTCTTCATGGCTTGCGAGTACGTGTGCTTGGGAGTAGGACAGGATATGTGGAGATCAGATCCTGAAAGGTCTTCTTTCCACACAAAGAAACTGGAAATAATGCTGAAGGTAATCAGAGGCCACTGAAGGATTAAAAGCAGGGGAGTGTGACAAAATCAGAACTGCATTTCAGAAGGATGAATTGAAGTCTACAAGTAGAGACAACAGACGAGAGGCTACTTAAGTATTCTGGGCAAGAAATGATGAGAGGCTGTCTCTGATCACCCTCTACAAAACGCCTTTGCTTATTCCTTGAAATTTGGGATGAGAGGATTTAGAAAAAAAAATGGTTGTACTCTTCAAATATTTGAAAGGCTGTCATGAGACAGATTAGACACGGTCTGTGCTGCTCCAAGTTTGAGGGATAAATCAGTCATAAGAAGATATTAAATGCACTATCCGGAAGCACATAATTAATAATTTGTCTAAAAATCGCATAGACTTCTTCACAGATAATTATGCTTTACATTTCATTCTTTCAACAAATAATCATTTGAGCAGTTAGCATGTGGCAGGCATCAGGCCTGTATATGACGGTGAACCAAACAGACAAAAGGCACTGCCCTGGATGGAGTTTCTTTGCATAAGGTACCGTTTACAGATAACTTTTATATAAAATAATCATTTAATCAAGAAGCAAGCTCACAGTCGGGATAGCTGAAAAGAGACTAATATACGGGCGAGGTTGGTTTGGAGTAAACCCTGGCCTGGGAAAATCGAGACGATAACTGAAAAGCAGTCACTGACGGCAAATGAGCCCCTGGGACTTCTCTCCGCGAGCTTTCCCAGCCACCAGGCCGCTCCCATCACCCTTCCGCCCGTCGGTGCCGCCCCTTTCCTCGTCCCCACCCCGTCCCTTTTAATACGTCACTCGGGCCGCGGGATTTCGAGCATTTCGCTCGCGAGATCTTCTCTGTGGCGGAGACAGCCAGGTTGGCAGCTGACGGGACAGCCGGGGTCTATTTTGTTGCGGGTTTTCAGCAAATCCAGGGCTGGTCTGGAGGCGCGAAGTAGGTTCCGGAGTCCGAGACCTGGGCTGTCGGCCGCGGGCCCCTGAGTAGCGGATGGGGCGGGCTCCCCGGCCTCGGGGCCGTGCTCAGTCTGCGTGAGCGCCGCGTGCCCGGAACCCGTGTGCGGTCGCGCCCCGGGGTTGGGGGTCGGCGTGGGTGGCCCTCGGGCGCCGGGACGCCGTCCGGAGACTCCTGTGGCGTGGGTCTGAGGCGCGGTGGTCCGGTGCGGTCCCTGGGCTGGTGGAGAGCGGGAGGGCCCGGGCGTCCACAATCCCGAGCTGACCTCGCCCTTGGTCGTCCAGGGTTGGAGCCCAGGTGAGATGGAGGTCAGCGGCAGAGCTGGGTGGCCCGAGGGTCTTGCAGCTGGGAAGCTCAGGAAATCCCATGGTCCTCATCTTAAAGTTCTTTTTAACGAACTTACCCAGTGGAGTTGGGTTTCCTTCTTTCCTGCTTTTTCGAAGTTCTGTGAATATATTAATTATTCAGAGAGACTGGAGGAAGACGTAAAAAGAGGAGACTAGGTAAAGTGATTTAAATCCCAACATTCTCTTTTTTTTTTTTTTTTTTTTTTTTTTTTTTAAAAGAACTTAAGGCATACAGAACGATGGAGTATATGGCAGAATCCACCGACCGCAGCCCTGGACACATGTGAGTGCGACACTTCTTCCTTCCCCCTTAAATGTGAAAATCTTCAGTGAGCCCGGGAAACTCACTATGGAGAACGCTTGAGGGTGGGTGGGAAAGAGCGTATATTGTCATAAATGGGAAAAAATAGAAGTCTTATTTCTGTAGAAAATCGAATTAGTTTCTGGTTATAAAGCTTGTTCTAGTAAATATAAGCTCTAAGAGGGTTAAAATATTTACCATACATCCTTTTAGATCGGCACTGTCCAATATGTAGCCATTAGCTACGTGTGGCTATTTAAATTTACTTTTTACTTACTTTTTTTTTTTGAGACGGAATCTCGCTCTGTTGCCCAGGCTGGAGTGCAGTAGTGTGATCTCGGCTCACTGCAACCTCCACCTCCCGGGTTCAAGCAATTCCCTGCCTCAGCCTCCCGAGTAGCTCGGATGACTTCCTGATTTTTATTGGAGATTATAATGTAGTAATTTTTAAATTTTGAACATCTTAAATCTTAGTTATCAATTTTTAATTTCTTGCATTTAAGTTCAAATTAACTTTTTTTTTTTTGCTGTTAAATAGGTTTAATGATACAGTGCTCTTCAAAGAGATTACTACAGAGACTTTTAAACGATAATCCTGGAATCGTTCAGCACAGACCAATTAGCTAAATCTAAAATAAATTGGCTTCTTACCACAACTACCCTGTAAACATTGTAGTCCTTCTGTCTAGAATGACCCTAATCTCACAGGAAAACAGTAACTATGGAGAAACTAGCTTTGTGGCCAAAAGTAAAAACCAAAGGAAAAATAGGAATTCAGTGGTTAGTGAAAGCAGGAAATTTGGCCCCCTTCCCTGTGATGCTTTACTCTTCCCTTGTCCATCAGTTAGCTCAGTGGGTTTGAATAAGCCATCTGAAAATGTCTTTGGAGCTCAGCATAGTGCTGATCTTCCTTGTTCTATCAGTAGCTTTTAACAGACACTTGTCTAAGGGCTCAAAGCCCTTCACAGAACCCTTTCTTGGAATGGGTTGTTTGACCATTATACTTCCCTCCGGACAACCAGCACTTCTGGAAGAGCCTGGTTAGCTCTGTCAGGAACTGCTTTCTTTCCAGGTGGTACCGCTGGCTCCACTCTGTCAACATAAACCCCAAGCAGTTTAAGTTGGAAGTTTCCTAAATTAATTTAAATGGAATAAAATTAAATACTTGGTTGCTCGTTTGTACTAGCCATGTTGCCACATGTGGCTAGTGGCTACCATTGGACATGGAAGATTATTGAACTTTTATTTTGGACAATGTTGTTCTACATTAGGGGTTCTCAGACTTTTTCTGCCCCCAGTACATCTCGAATTATGATAGTTCCGTCATTTATACTGAGTCTCTAGATGTTGATAGACTTCCTATACTGTTAAAAAAAAAATTCTGCTATGGGTAAATGTTTATATTTCAGCAGTCCTTATGCTTTTTTTTTTTAATTGCCTTTGGAGTATATTGGCGTCTGATTCTGTTAGAAATGATTTAGATATTAGTTTCTATTGGTGTAGTCCAGAGATATACTTGAAGAAATGTTCATTAGAGATAAGTAGACAGCTGTAGTCTTTTAATGTAGTGACACCATACTGTTCACCTAAGCTATGGTCCTCTGTATGCCCTGAATAAATAGATTTTTGAAGACTTAGTATTTAGAGATGAGGTGGTTGAATTAAAAAGAGACAAACTGATCTTACATATTCTTGATACAGGATTTTCTTTTTGGTTTTTGCCATTGACACACTATTGCCTTGTTAATTGATTCTTTCTTGGTTTTCCAATTTTCAACAAGGGATAATGAATAACAGTGCTTCTCAAATTTTTCCCAAGTTTGCTATTACACTTGTGGTTGGGAAGTTTATCTGTTTATTTGTAAAAGTTAATGTGAATGTTTGTGTCTGCATAGAAAATGTTTGGAAGGATATATACAAATTATTAATAAATGTTATCTTTATGGATAGTGTTGGTTGGGTGTGGTAAAGAGCACGTTAACATTTTTAATTATATTTCAGTATCTAAAATTAAAATTAGTGCAAGATTTGTATTCTTCATCAATATACCTCCATTTGTTTTAATGTGACAATATAGTTTCATTTGCTTTTAATAAAAAAGACTTGTTTAGACCCATACTGGCTATTTAAATGTAAATTTGAATTAAAAAAATAAATTGAGTTTCTCAGTTGTACTAGTCACTTTTCATGTCCCAGTTGCCACATGTGGCTAGTGGCTACCTTGTTGTACAGACCAGAATAGAACATTTCTGTCGTGGCATGAAATTCTGTTGGACAGTACTGACCTTCTAGAACCTTTAGGACATCGGCCTTATATTGAGGATTTTTAGAATTATAGCCATTTTTGGTGTTTTTGCCCCTGTATTACAGGGTTATTCTTTATCTACTGCATCTTTGAAGATTGCTTTGTTTCTTTTTTTTGTTTCTTTTTTTTGAGACATTGTCTTGGTCTGTCACCCAGGCTGGAGTGCAGTGGCGTGATCTGGCTCACTGCAACTTCCACCTCCTGGGTTTGATATGCATGCCTCAGCCTCCCAAGTAGCTGGGATTACAGGCGTGCGCCACCATGCCTGGCTAATTTTTGTATTTTTAGTAGAGATGGGGTTTCACCATGTTGGCGAGGCTGGTCTTGAACTCCTTATCTCAGGTGATCTACCCGCCTCAGCCTCCCAAAGTGCTGGAATTACAGGTGTGAGCCACTGGCTGGCCCAGGTTGCTTTGTTTCTGTTATTTTTTTGAAAAGGGCAAAGATGCTGTGGCCTAACTTGAAGGCTTTTGTTTGTTTGGCATCTAAAAAAAAATTTAGTGTATTTTAAAAATCTAATGTGAAAAATTTATCCTTTATTTATTAAAGCTTGTGCTGTGAGTGTGGTGTTCCGATAAGTCCAAATCCTGCCAATATTTGTGTGGCCTGTTTGCGAAGTAAAGTGGACATCAGCCAAGGTATTCCGAAACAAGTCTCGATTTCGTTCTGCAAACAATGTCAAAGGTACAGTGCGGTACAATTTTGCTCTTTTTAAAGTTGGAATTTACATTTAGAGAACCACCGAGATATGCTGAGATTACACGAAGGTATATGGAGTAAAGTGCATGCAATTAAGGTTTAAATTTTCTGTTGGTGTCGCCAAAGATTTTAGAATTTGCAATTTTATAGTGTACTTTTCTAGTGTGTCCTTCTAATCTGGTAAAGATAGTGTAAATGTATTTGAATCTGTTCTTCTGTTAAAGGATCTAATAGATTTGATGTATATAGTTAATAGGAGTTGATGTTTGTAAGGGTGAGAGCAGATTATTGAGGACATATTGTTATTATGAGGTTTTTTTTTCTTTAGTTATTAGAAGCCATGTATGATAAAAAGCTTATGTTTGGAGTAATTTAGTAATATGTTTTAAAAACTCATAACATTCACGTGTAATTAAAATAACTATTGTTGATGGAAAAGAAGCTCAATAAATTATATCTGGAATGGTCTGAAATAAAGATTGGATTTGAAGGAAGAAGACTTCTTCTGAATGTTAATGTTTCATTCCTCTTGATTTTCTTTGTCAGCATAAACAACTTACATCTATTAGGCCATTGAGTAACACAAAACTGCCTAATGAGTGTAAAAGTGTATGCCTGTTATTTCCAAAATGGATTAAGACGCTAACTTTTTGAGTGTGTATCTCTAGAGGGGTGGTTCATGGACTCCTTTGAGAATTTGAAAACTGTATCTCTTCCCCAAAATATTTACATACATGTATATATATGTGTGTGTGTGTGTATATATGTAAAAATATATATGTGTGTGTGTGTATATATACATATATATACACAAACACATGAAACTGTGTACTGTTTCAGGGAGTTTACAGTGTATAAGCTTAGCAAGTGTGAGGCTTAATCTTTTATAAATATTTGCTATTAAAAGCCTGGTGGAGTTAGAAAAGTACTGATAAAGAACTAAACAGACTTAGTTTGTCTTGGCTTCCTCACAAACTAGCTGTTTGAAACTCTTAGCTGTTTATCATCTCTGGGCCTCAATTTCCTCATCAGAATGAAGGGTTTTATTAGGTGATATGTGAAGCCCTTTCTAACTCTAAACGTTTACTCATAGGCCAGGCTTGGTGGCTCACGCCTGTAATCCAAGCACTTGAGGAGGCTGAGGCGGGTGGATCACCTGAGGTCAGGAGTTCGAGACCAGACTGGCCAACATGGTGAAACCCTGTCTCTACTAAAAATACAAAAATTAGCCAGGCGTGGTGGGGCACGCATGTAATCCTAGCTACTCGAGAGGCAGGAGAATCGCTTGAACCCGAGAGGCAGAGGTTGCAGTGAGCCGAGATCATACACTGCACTCCATCCTGGGGGATGGAGCGAGACTCTGTCTCAAAAGAAAAAAGGAAAAAAAAATACGAAATAAATATGTACTTATAAACAAAGGGAGACCTGTGTAATGTTTTTGATTGAACCTTGAAAAGTGAAAGTCAAAACTTTCTGTTATGTAACAAGTATGGCAAAAAGACATTCACATAACATGTTTGGAAGTATTTTATATTTAGCAAGCATTTATTGAACACCTACTATAAGATGTATGTGGCATAGTGCTAAGTCCTGGGTAGGCAGGACTAAAAACCTTAAAGCACATATGTAAGAGATTTAAGTTTTGTTTTAGTCTGGTTTTACCCAAGATTTTAAATGTTGTTTTACAATTTACAATTTGAAAAGGACTTGAAATGTAGATGAATAGACTGAACTATTGCTGATTTATAGTGTTGTGAGGTACTAATGTACCTTTTTTTTGTGAAAAATAAGCAGTTCTCAGGCATTTTAGAAGTACATAATAAACCATTTTAATGCCATTTTGAGATGATTCTCACCTGTTTTTCAGAGCATAGCTTTAAGAGACTCTTGGACATTTTAGTGGTGATTTGGTGATTAAAGTAATAAGATCACTTTAGTAGGTTATTTCAGATTGACTTTCTCAGTCAGAATTTTACCTTTTTAATTAAAGCTGCTAGTCTAGTTGAAAGTTTTGGAACCATTAAAATATGTTTGAGTTAAGTGCTTCATATCATCCTTGGGTTTTATTATGCCTGGTTAATAATTTGGGTTATATCTGTGTATTCAGATGGAAATTTCTGTGTTTCCTGACAGATGTTGGATTTCAGTATGTTATCTTCTCTTTTAGGTATTTTCAACCACCAGGAACTTGGATACAGTGTGCTTTAGAATCCAGGGAACTTCTTGCTTTGTGCTTGAAAAAAATCAAAGCCCCTCTGAGTAAGGTAAGTTAAACAGCTAAAATCAGTATTCATAGGTATGTTTTCATTAAAGGTCTCATTTTCAGAAAATTCTTGTGAGTAGGTTTTTCAAAAGGAATTTTTTTTTTTTTTTTTTTTTTTGAGGTGGGGTCTTGAACTGTCACCTGGGCTAGGCTAGAGTACAATGGTGTGATCTCGGCTCACTGCAACCTCTGCCTCCCGGGTTCACACGATTCTCCTGCCTCAGCCTCCCAAGTAGCTGGGATTATAGGCGCACACCACCACATCTGGCTAATTTTTTGTATTTTTAGTAGAGACAGGGTTTCACTATGTTGGCCAGATTGGTCTCGAACTCCTGACCTCGTGATCTGCCTGCCTCGGCCTCCCAAAGTGCTGGGATTACAGGCGTGAGCCACCATGCTGGCCTCGAAAGTAACTATTAAATGTTACTATTGTTGCCAGTAGCACCCCACTACAAACACTTTTTAAAGTTATATATATTCTTTTTATGAAAAGTAAAAATATCTTTTTGCTTTAAAAAGACAGAATTTAATTTTTTTCCTTTGTTATTTATCGAGAATCTCATGTATAATTTTTTAACGGAAATTTTTATGTAAAACCATCACTAAACATAATTGGGATTATAATATTAGGGCTATGTTATTTGGTTTCTTTTTATTGTCATTATTGATCTGGAAATAAAATATTTGTGCCTGTCACTGAAAGTCAGTGCATAAATGTATTAAAAAAAATAGTTTGTTTAAAGTACAGTTTATTTCCTGATATAAAATTGAAAGTGATTGACACTATGAGTTTTCTTTATTTTAAGCTTTATGACTCACTTCTACCATGTTTTTAATTGAAATTGACTCTTTCAGATTGAAGACTTTTCTGATTCTCCTTTAAGCTCTAATAAAATTTCATGTAATAGTTCTTTGAAATTTCTGCCTTTATTTTCCTACTAGGTCCCAGCCAACCCCACAAATTTCTGATGGTCACTTTTTGGCGCTTCTGGCATAAAACTTTGTCTTTTTCCCTTCATATTTTAAAAAACCTTTTTGGTTTTTTTCGCTCCCCTCTGTTCTTGGTGATTTTTACTTTATCTTCTAATCTTTCTAATGAATTGTTTTTTTCCAGTAGTAATGTTTTTAAGTTCCAGAGTCTTTCATGTTCTTGATGCATTTTTTTTAAGTTTTTCTGAAGATTTTGATAATAGGACTTTTTTTGTTTCTTTCTGTTCCCTCATTTGTCTCTGTTTTTTTATGAAGTCAGTTTTTTGTGTGTCTTGGTTTTTTGCTTTTATACTTGGGGTTTTTGTCAAATGTCTAGTGAGTCTTAACAGTTCATTAATTAATTCATCAGATGTTTATTAAGTACCAACTCTGTGCCAAACTGCTTTTGGTGTTGGGGATATGGCAGTGAATAAGGCAATCCCTGTCTTAGAAAGCGTGTATTCTAATTGCACACTAACATGCCAGTGTGGAGCAGCATGTTAGTATGCAGCGATCAAAATAGGTGGATATATTACATGGTATATTAAAAGGTATATTCTGTGGAGAAAGGAGCTAGGAAGAGGATAAGAACTGTGCATGGAAGAGTTGAAATTTAAAGTAAGGGTGTTTAGGGGAGGGCTCACTGATAGGGTGACATTTGAGTAAACACTAAAGATTACAGTAAGGGAGGAAGCTGTGCAGAAATGTGGAGGAAGAGCATTAGGGGTAAAGAAAACAAATGTAGAGACCAAAAGCAAGAGCATACTTGTGTGAATAGAACGGAGTGGTGAGGGGAAAAGTAGTTGGGGATAGAGTCCAGAAAAGTCATGGAAGGCCACAGTGTGTCTGGCCTTGTAGGCCCTTATAGGGGCTGTTTCTTACTCTGAGTGTAAGGAGTATAGAGGGTGAAGGGCAGAGTAGTGAGATGACATGACTTATTAGTATTCCTCTGGCTGCTGTTTTTAGAATGGTTGTAAGGGAGGTAAAGGTGTTTAAGTTTTTGTAATAATCATGAGAAATGGTTTTGGATCAGCAATGGAGGTGGTAAGAAGTGGACAGATTTTGGATCTATTTTTAAGGTAGTAACATTTACTGATGTAGCTGGATGTGTTTTTGTAAGAGACAGAAGAGTTAAGGATGCCTTCCACTGTTCGTGACCTGAGCAGCCAAGTCACTGGGTAGGGGGCATGAGAGTTCATCTGTAACTGGTATTTAGATGTCTACTAGACACTTAAGTAGAAATACTGAGTAGGCAGGTTGATAAATAAGCCAATGAGTGGTCCAGTCTAGAGATAATGAATTTAGGATATAGATAGTATTTAAGGTCATGAATTGGATTAGATTATTTCAGGAGTTTACATAGAGAAGGAAAGAAACTGGAGGACTGAATCCTGGAATCATTCCTTTAATGGGTAATGATGAAGAAATAATTGGGTAATGAGGAGGAATCAGCAAAGGAGACTGAAAGGAGCTGCTAGGAGGTAGGAGGAAAACAGGGTGAGTGTGATGTCCTGGGAGGAAAGGGAAGTGTTTTAAGAAGAAAGGAGTGAGTAGCTATGTGATTTGCAGCTGATGAGTCAAGTAATGAGTTCTGTAGATTTAGTAATGTGGACGACCTTAATAACATGGGCAATTTCTGTTTAGTGGTGGTGGTAAAGATGTCATTTAAATAGAAATTAAAATGGGAGAAGGAAGATAGACAGTTCTTTTGAGATTTGCTGTAAACGAAAACAAAGAAATGGGGCAGTGGTTGAAGGGGAAGTTGGGGAAGGGACACTTGTCTTTTTATGTTATTTTATTTTTTGGAGATAAGGTCTTGCTTTATTGCTCAGGCTAGAGTGCAGTGGCGCTGTCATGTCTCACTGCAGCCTCAAACTCCTGGGCTCAGGTGATCCTTCTGCCTCAGCCTCCTAAGTAGTTGGTACTACAAACATGCACCACCACACCTGGCTGATTTTTATTTTTACTAGAGGTGAGATCTCTCTCTTTCTCTCTCTTTTTGGCCCTGTAGAGCAGAGATCTCACAATATACCCAGACTGGTGTTGAACTCCTGAGCTCAAGCGATCCTCCTGCCTCAGCTTCCCAAAGTGTTGGGATTACAAGCATGAGCCACTGTGCTTGGCCAGGATACATTTCTTAAGATGGTATATATAACTGTATTTGTAAGCTCTCTGGGAGTGTTAGAGTACGGAGGGAAATTTTTGTGAAATTGCAGGGAGAAGAATAATTGGCTGGGGGGTGGCCTCAATAAGTGGAAAAGAGATATAGTACATAGTGAAAGAATACATTTATTTGTTAATTCACTCCTTCATTCAACAAGTATTCAGCACTTACTCTTCACCAAGCACCATTTTGGGAGGCTGTAATATTTCATGGAACAAAGTAAAGATCTCTGCTCTCTAGAGGGGCATTCTGGAGGTTGATCTTGATGGGAGTATGGATAATTCATCTGTGGTAACAGCAGGGAAGGTGTTGAGTGGGAGCTTCTGGGAATTCTCCTCTGGTTCCTTCTTTTGTACTGGAGAAAACAGAAGCGTGGGCAGTAGCTATGTGGGAAGAGCTGTTAGATAGATGTTTGAGGAGAGAGCGGAAGATATGAAATAGTCCTCTAGAACTAGAGGAAATGCACCAGGACAGTGTTGGATGGGTGCTGGGCAGTGCTGAGGGTTACTGTTACAAGTTTAGACTAGTCACTGTGGTGTGCATCTATTTCTGTAGTTCTGTCAGCCACATAGTCAAGGCATAGAGCAGGCAGAGCACTGGATTTAACCAAATTTATAATTTAGCCTAGTGGCTAAGGTGAAATAAGAGAGGGAACAAGGAAATTGAGTGTGTACATGAGAATAATTTTGATTATTGATTTTGAAGCTAGTGAGGAGGAATGAGGAATAAAGTTGGTAGGATGAATGGATTGTCCATTATATTAGCTTGAAAGATATTTGGTGCCCAGGAACTAGAGGAAATAAGCTGGAAAGATGGGAGGTGGTAGTCAGGGAGTAGGATGTTTGGAATTGATAGTTTGGAGGGTTTGCAGTTACTGGTAATAGAGGCATATGAGTGACTGAGATAGGAAGGTGGATAATATTTTGGGAGAAGAAGAACTCAAAGAATGGAGTGAGAGGTCAGGGTATTGTGGGGATCACCTGTGTGGATATTGAAATCGCTAGGTATTAATATTGTTGGAAAGTGTGATGGTGAGCCAGAAGCTAAAATCTTTTGAGAAATGAAAACAAGTGATACAAAGATGAATAGATTACTATAAAAAAGAGAGTTGCGGGTGGTAGAGTCTAATGACTTTAGACTTAGAGCTGGGTATATTTGAGGAGGAGACAAGGAGAATGGTCTGTAATTAGCAATGAAGAGCAAGGACGATAGCTGTCTGGTGCCTGGTCCAGTGATAGGAAGAATCAGTTATCACTTTATATAGCTGCAGGGGAGAGAGAAATCAGGAGATCTAGAAGGTGAAGGGAATGTTCAGCAAAGTTGAGGATTTAGGAGATTTCATTGTTAATGAATGTTGAGCTCCGGAGGGCACAGTAGAAGGGTTTTAGGATTCGGGGAGGAGTGTTAGATGGGGACAGAATAGGGAATATGCATAACCATATGGAAATTGGAGTATGGGAAATAGGGGTGACTGAGGTGTCTGGGACTATGGTAAAGAAAGAAAGGGACTAATAAAGTTGATTAGTCATGGTTGTCTGAGGACACATAGTGCAGTGGTTGTGTTGGGGAATGCCGAGCAGGATGTCAAGGAGACTCTCCATTCCTGCAGGTGGAGGTTGGAGCTTGAGGGGAAGATCAGTCTTATTCAGTGCCTTTGGGGCTTTTTTTTTTTTTTTTTTTTTAACCACTGCTGATGGAGATTGAAGGAATAGGAATCTGCCTATCACCCTGTGTACCTGGCATCACTTGTTAACTACTAGGCTTTGTTTTAGGGAGGCCAGCTATATGAGGAGGGTTTTACTCTGGTGTGTTGAATCTTTGCATCTACACTAAAAGTGGCCAGTCTACTTTTTACCAGACAGTGCTTGATAAAAGTATAATCTGCTGCTGATACCTCTCAAATCTGTTAACTGCAGCCCAAATTTTTTTATAGATCTCCAGACCAATTGTATCTTACTGTTCACTGAAAAGTCCTCTTGGGTATCTCACAGATACTGTCTTAAACTGAAATGTCTGAAATCAAATGTAACATCTTTTTCTCATTATATCCATTGTTTATTTCGGTATAGGTAGTCACAAAAAGTGTACTGCCTAGTTGTCTAAGCAAATACTTGAGCATCATTCTGGAGTCTGTTCTCTTCCTCTTTTCCATATCCAGTTACCATTAAATCTTACAGATTTTTTTTCTGCATCACTTGGACTGTGCAGATAAATCTTACAGATTTTTATCTCCTAACTAGCCCTTGCATCTGCTTTTGTTATTTCCAGTGCCTCTCAGTTCAGATCATCTACAATCTGGCCCAGGTTATTACAGCAGCCTCCATTCTTGTTCTCCCACCCACCCCTTCTCCCCAAACACCCATTCTGGCCATTCTTGAGTTATATTCAGATCTTCACATATAGCAAACTGTTTTGGCCTATGCAGATGCTGCAGATTTAGTAGTGAGTTATAGTTGTGGATTTAGTATTCAGTGCATGCAACTTCTCTAATCAATGTCACTTCTTAAAAAAAGTCACAGAATATAGAGAGAATAATCCAAGTGGAAACTTTTGTTCATGAGGTTACTAATAAATAATGAGGTCACAAGGTCTTTGCTTTCCTCCAAAAAATATAATTTCCTTTTAAAGGACAATGTACTTTTTTTTTTTTTTTAAGGGAAAAGAATTTTTTTCCTATGCAAATACTTTAATTTTTGCTTAAATTATATCAGTTGCATTAATATAGTCATTGGGTTGTCCTTTGATTTGCTGCTGTTGTTACGTAACCAATGATTAATCTTTTTTTGTGATGATGGTGTGTAGTATGCTGATCACAGATTCCTTAAGCATCTTATGAAATCTGCTTATTGATGATTTGTTCTTTCGTGTTTTTTTTCCTCCTAGGTGAGAACTTACGTTTCTTTTTGTTTGTGTTTTATTGAAGGTACGGCTTGTAGATGCAGGCTTTGTTTGGACTGAGCCTCATTCTAAGAGACTTAAAGTTAAACTGACTATTCAGAAAGAGGTAAGCAGTACATAATTTTCTCAGCATGGTTAAAGTGCAGGTAGTGAAAATGAAGACCCAGTGATAAGTTATTTTATGGCTTGAACAGCTTAAAAGAAAAAGAGTACACTCAATTTTAGCTGTTTGTTTTCTTTTGAGCATCTGTACAAATAATTAGATCACTAGTAAGAGTAGTCATTGCTTCTGATTAGCAGACTTACTTTTCCAGAGTTATTTTTATTAGGAAAGGATTGAAGTAAAAACATGGTCTAAGGTACTGATCCTCAAACTTGGCTGATCATTGTAATGACTCATCATAACTGAAGCAAAAATTCTCTGTATGTGAGGCCGGGAATCTATAAGTAGGTTGAGTATCCCTTATCTGAAATGCTTGGGACAAGAAGTGTTTCAGATTTTGGATTTTTTGGATTTTGGAATTTTGCATTATACTTAACTGGTTGAACATCCCTAATTCAAATACAAAATGTTCCAGTGAACATTTTCTTTGAGTGTCATTTAGAAACTCAAGAAGTTTCAGATTTTGAAGCTGAAATTTCAGATTCTGGGTTTTTGGATTTGGAATGTTCAATCTGTATTTAAAAAGCTTCCCATGTGATTTCTGATCAGTTATGTTTGGGAATCATTAAATTAAGGAATTTTTTTTTTGAGAAGTTTTCCTTATTTTTTTCTTCTAAGGATGATTTTTCTATGTAAACATGTATAGGCTGGGCATGGTGGCTCACACCTGTGATCCCAGCACTTTGGGAGGCCAAGGTAGGCAGATCACTTGAGCCCTGGAGTTCGAGACCCCATCTCTACTAAAAATACAAAAGTTAGCTGGACGTGGTGGTGTGTGCTACTTGGGAGGCTGAGGTGGAGAATCACTTGAGCCCAGGAGGCAGAAGTTGCAGTGAACCAAGATCGTGCCACTGTACTCCAGGCTGGGCAACAGGCAGAGTGAGACCCTGTCTCAAAAAAAATTATATATATATATATATATGTAAAATATACACAGAATATTCTCACAACCACTTCAGCTAAAGGAAAATTTGAAATGCTAATCTAATAAATCTTAGGAATTAAATCTGTATACCGTTCTTGAAATAGTATAACTTGTTTTTATGACTTTAAATTTGAGGACATTTGATTGATGTCCTCAAAGCATTAATGGAAAAAGTTTTAAATTAAATATTAAAGGTTCTTCTTTAAAGAAAATATTTGTTATTAAACAAAACCAAAAGAATGAAGGAGTGTAATTGTTTTATCAGGTGATGAATGGTGCTATCCTTCAACAAGTGTTTGTGGTGGATTATGTTGTTCAGTCCCAAATGTGTGGAGATTGCCATAGAGTAGAAGCTAAGGATTTCTGGAAGGCTGTGATTCAAGTGAGGCAAAAGGTAATGAGAGAAGATGATGAGTGAGTCCTACATCTTATATTTCGTCTTTGTTAATTATAACTTTTCCTTCTTTCTAAATCCAGGGATAGTCTGGGTCCCTGAAGCATTCACCTTTGGAAATAGATCATTATTACATTTTAGATAATCTTTAAAGATTGTTATTGTTTGAAAAATCAGTATGCTCTATCTGTAGATAGTATGTGTGTCCTATACCTATAAATGGCTTTTTTGTGGGGCATTTATTGATCAAATAATTTATATTTTAGACTTTGCATAAAAAAACTTTCTACTATCTGGAACAGTTAATTCTGAAATATGGAATGCATCAGAATACACTTCGTATCAAAGAGATTCATGGTGAGTTAAAACTCAAAAGCATTTGAAATTATGTCAGATTTTTATTTCAACATACCTAAGTAATCTTATATTTACTGATAATATCTGGATTAGTACTGTCCAAAAGAACTTTCTGTTAGGAAAAAAAAAAAAAACAACTTAATTCTTTATCTGCACTGTCCAGTATGGTATAGTCACTAGCCACATTTGGCTGTTGAGTACTTGAAATGTGGCTAGAGCAACTGAGAAACTGAATTTTTAATTTTCTGCTAATGTCAAACATAATTATCTTTTTATGTTTCATACCTAAGTATGATATTTCTTGAGGTTTCTGTTTGATACATATGCATACATACTTCTGTCCAATCTTGCTCTCAGTTAAGTGAGTGACATTGAAAAGAGTTAGAAAGAAAGCTTGCCTTCTTTCTACCTAGCATTTAATTAACCTCTAGAAGTTTTTTAAGAACTTGCCCATTAAGCCATCCAATTTGATATCTCCTAAGGGACGTCTTTTCAGTTTCTTTTATGATATTCACCTCTCAGGTATTCTACCCCTTGAGTCAATTTTAATACCATTTTCCAAGAAAAACCATTTCATCTAGCTTTTTAGATTCTTGGTATAAAATTGAACAAATAAAATAAATCTCATCCGTAACTGTAGTTATGTCCTCTCTATTGTTCCTAATGTTTATCTTTTCTCTTTCTACTCACCTCACCTTAGACTAGCTACTTTTATCTATTATGTTAGTTTTTTCAAAAAACTATTTTTAGTTTTAAACAATCTTTTTATTAATTTTGTTTTTAACACTAATTCCCTCAACTCTATTTAGTTCTGTTTTGTTTTAATTAATTGAAAGCTTAGTTTATTTTTAATTTCTAATACATATATTTAAGATCATAAATTTTCTTCTGAGTACTATAATGGGTCTGTAGCTGGTACTTATAGCTACCTTTTTCCACTGCCCATTGCATATTTTATTTGCCCTCAGCAAGCACCTCAGCTGTTTCATTCTTTTGGGTACATACTTAGGTGTGGAATTACCAAGTCATATGGTAAATTTATGTTTATATATAAAAAACTACCAAACTGCTTCAAAGTGGCTGTACCATTTTACATTCCTGCCGCCAATATTTCTCTGTATCCTCCTCAACACTTGTTCTTATATTTTTGTTTATAGCCATTCTAGAGGGTGGTATGAAGTGGTATCTCATTGTGGTTTTAATTTCCATTTTGCTAATGACTAACGATGTTGAGCATATTCTGGATACAAGTCTCTTACTGCATATATGGTTTGCACATATTTTCTCCTAGTGTGTAGGAGAAAATTCACACTCTATATTCTTAATGGTGTCCTTTGAATTGCAAAAGTTTTAAATTTTGTTGAAGTCCAGTTTATCAAGTTTTTTCTTTTAATTGTGGTTTTGGGGTTATGCTTAAAAACTGTTTGTCTAATCAAGGTCACAAAGATTTTCTCCTATAGTTTCTTTCAAGTGTTTTATAGTTTTAGGTCTTATATATTTAGGTCTAACTCTTGAGTTAATTTTTGTGCAGAGTGTGAGATAAGTGTCTAAATTCATATTTTTCTATGTGGATATTCTTCATCCCAGTGAAAACTCTGTCCTTTCCTCAGTGAATGCCTTGGGTCTTCTGTCAAAGATCTATTGACTGTAAATGTAATGGTTTATTTCTAGAATCTGAAGTCTGCTCCCATTGATCTATATATCTATCCTTATATTAGTACCATGCTATCTTGCATACTTACTAAAGTTAGTGAGTTTTGACATTAAATGTGTAATGTTCATTTTCTTCAAAATTGTTTTGGCTATTCTGGGTAATTTTAGTATTGGCTGTTTTGGTAATTATATTTAGTTATTTGCAAGAATATCTTTAATATTTCTCAGCTAGGTAGGTTTGCTTTTGGCTATTCCTTTCTTGATTTCTAGTGCTACTGTTTTATGATGAGATAATGTTGTCTTTAGTAATTTCTACTGTTTAGGATTTATTGAAATTCTTTTTCTTTTTAAAATCTTAATACATGATTTTTAAATGAATGTTTTATGAATGTTTGATAAAATATGTATTCTTTCTTAGAACTGTGTTCTATAATCTCAGTTAACTCGACCTTGATAGTTGGTTATTCAAGTTCTGTGAATTGTTACTATTTTTTGTCAATATGATTATTTTGGTTTTGAGAGAGTCCTATTCTAGTCCTTCACAATGATTGTATGTGTTAATATTTGTTAATTTTTTCTTTTCTTTTTCTAGTACTTTTTGTTTTCTATCTCTCAGATAGTTTCCTGTTATCTTCTTGGTAGATTATTCCATTTATTACATAAAATAACTTTCTTTTTTTTTTTTTTTTTTTGACATGAAGTCTTGCTCTGTCACCCAGGCTGGAGTGCAGTGTTGCGATCTGGGCTCACTGCAACCTCCGCCAACTGGATTCAAGCGATTCTCCTGCCTCAGCCTCCCAAGTAGCTGAGATTTGGCACATGCCACCACGTCCGGCTAATTTTTTGTATTTCTAGTAGAGACGGGGTTTCACCAGAATGGTCTTGATCTCCTGACCTCATGATCCACCCAGCTCAGCCTCCCAAAGTGCTGGGATTACAGGCATGAGCCACCGCACCCGGCTGTTCATAAACTTTCTTTGTTCTTTGTTTTTCTGTCCCCCTTGGCCTTGAGTTTTATTTTTTCTAGAATTAGAATTACGAGTTTTATTTTCATTTGCTGATTTATTTTGTCTGTCTTTTTGCCAAAGAAGTCTTAAGTGATATCTCTAATCTGTTGTGACTACAATAGAGTTTTCTAATAATTTGATTTTGTTTAAAACAGATGTAATTTATAATATAGTCATGTTAGTAGAGGAGAATCCTATTTTGCATAATTATTTTCATAGGGCTTTTTTTTTTTTTTTAAGATGGTCTGGATTTTTATTATTCCTCAAAACAACATGCTCAGAAGATGGTCGAATTTCTTCAGTGTACAGTTCCCTGTAGGTATGTTCTGAACCTTGAATGTGACTAAATCTAAGGACTTGGGAATGGATGCGGATCACATATATTCTTCAGGCTCAGACAACTTCTCTTTATTTAAAATCGTAGTAGAAATACTTACACAATCAGGAAGCATATATTGGGTTAACCACCCACTCACAGAGGTGGTAGGACTTGTGCTCCAAAGATCGGGAAATTTTCATAGCTGGAGTTTATATTGAAAGGTACTATTAGTGTGAACAAAGATTTGCAGTGGGCGTTAGTATGGCTTTTAATAATGCTATATAGAAAGTAGATTGGTCTGAGCCAACAGCATGTTCTAGAGGTTTGGTGGAAAAGGTTCAAAATAGGTAGGGCTTAGTTAGAATGGTGAAGGTTTTGACATGCAAGTGCAGGACAGTAGGTTTTACCAGAGGAGGCATCATGAAGCCATTTTAGACCTTGGACAATGATGGTTTGATTTAATGAAAATTGATATTCCTGAGTCCATACAGGTTAATGATCTTTGTCTTTATATTACTACTAACTTTTTTCTTAATAGATACAAAGCATCACAAAGACTGATCTCTCAAGATATCCATAGTAACACATACAATTACAAAAGCACTTTTTCTGTGGAAATTGTTCCAATATGCAAGGTACTTTTCTTTTTCATTTAATCCATATCTGTAAAAGAGTACAAGTAATTAATTGGCTTATATGTAATTTGTAGCTCCTGGTTTTCCTCTAGGGTTGGTTAAAAATTTAGAATAAGTTCCTTAAGTGACTTCTAACACATTCAGCCATGTTAAAAGATATATATTTTTAAAAAAGTCATGCTTATAATTATGAATTGACATGCCTTTTATTTTGGTGTATTAAAATGAAAAGACCTGGTTATAGTTGATAAAAGTCCGTATTCTTTGAAATTTGTGATCCTATGAGCCTGTATCATATAGTTCAGTGAAATTGAATAAAAGAAATGACATTAAAATCAATATTAGTGAGCCACTTTGTGGAATATGTACAAACAAAATTTTGGCAAGAAATGAAAGAATATTGTGATAATGTGAAAATGAGATCATAGAATCATTTTTATGATTTTAAAACATAAGCTGAATAAAACATTTAAAATGTAGATTATTTCATTTAATTGTACTAAGATAAAACTCTGCTTCAGAAAAATATGAATTAAAATTCAATAAATAGTTATTGAGTATCTATAGTATAGAAGGCTGTGTACTGAGGATTGTATAACTACAGGTCTCTGCCATGTAAGAATTTATATGTCAGTATTAAATCACTAAGAATGATAACTGCCATTATTGTGACCATTCTACATAAAGTTAATCTAGATACTTTAGTGTCTTTCACCTCATTCTCATCTCATAATAACTGAGGTAAGCCATATCATTTTGACGATGAGGAAATTGAAGTTTGAGGAGGTTAGATAACTTGCCCAAAGTTACATGATCACAAAATGATGAAGCTAGGATTTGCACCCAGGTCTGTGTCTCCAAAGCTTTAAAACTGCTATTGCTATTTTATAGTATGTACTAGGGATGAAATGATAGCTTAAAATAGGGTCAGCAAACTTTCTCTGTAAAGAGACAGATGGTAAATTTTTTAACTTTCAGGTCGTATAATCTCTTTTGCAGCTACTCAGCTTTGCTGTTGTACAAAAGTAGCATGGGTAATATGTAAAGGAATGTCAGGGCCGTGTTCTGGTAAAACTTTATTTACAAAAACAGATGGTGGGTCAGATTTGTCCTGAGGGTGGCATTTTGCCAACCTCTGGTTTAAAACAGTAAATGTTTCCCTGGTACAAATCTTGAGAAATATGAATTTAGGTGTGAGGGCATATTTAGGCCTTGTGTAACTGAGTTTTACACATGTAAAAATTAACATATGTATTAAACTATGTAAAAAAGTATATTTGTTTATCTTTGGAAACTCATGTATTAAAAACCAAGGACTGAACTAAGAGCTGTTATGATTGTGAATAGATACACCTTAAAATATAACTCAGATCTTTTTTGTATTTTAATTCAGTTTAAAAACAGATAATTACGTTGCTGCTTCATGTCTCCCAATATAAATGTAGACATGTGACTTTTTTGGGCTTAAATCTTTGATTGTATATTGGCACATGTAGCCATGTAAGAGAAATGTGTTCCTTTGAAGTTTATTTTTTAATGGAGATTGAAAGAAGTCACAGGTGGATTTATAGAATCACTCTCCTGCTAATGTTTATAATACTCTGTTTAGAATGTACACTGTATTAACATATAGAGTGATAAGAGGCATTCACACTGCAATAAAATGGAAATAATAATAGCTTGGTGATTTGGGCCCTGGATTTTTTTTTTTTTTTTGAGAGACAGTTTTGCTCTGTCACCTAGGCTAGAGTGCAGTGGCACCACCTTAACTCACTGAAGCCTCGACCTCCTGGGCCCAGGCTGTCATTCCACCTCAGCCTCCCAAGTAGCTAGGCCCACAGGCATGCACCACCACGTTTGGCTAATTAAAATATATATATATATGTATATGGAGACAGGGTCTCCATATGTTGTCCAGGTTAGACTTGAACTCCTGGGCTCAAGGGATTCTCCCACCTTGTCCTCCCAGATTGCTGGAATTACAGGAGTGAGCCAGCGTGCTCAGCCAGGATTTTTTTTTTTTTAAAGCATTTTTATTAAGACAAGATGCCTGTCATACTTAAGGTCTGATTCTTTTCTTTAGTCTCTTTGTTGATTGATAGAATTGAAAATAACGTTTTGGTTGGTCAAATGCAATTGGATTGGGTGTTTATTGATGAGTGTTTATTGGACTGTTATTTAGGATATGCCTCATTCTAAATGTTAGTTCTTATGCCTAGGATAATGTTGTCTGTCTGTCTCCAAAACTGGCACAAAGCCTGGGAAATATGAACCAGATTTGTGTGTGTATTCGAGTAACCAGTGCCATTCACCTCATTGATCCAAACACCCTACAAGGTAAATTCTGGAAATGATTTGCCTTGACAATTTTGTTTTGTATGACAAACAATAATAATTTGTGTTGTTAATTTTTCAAGCATTCTTGCTAATATTGTTTTGAAAGGTTAGTTAAAATTTGTGCTATTGTTTAATACAAAACATTGTGGAATTTGCAAGCTTTGATTAGTTACTTTTGTATTTTTTATTTAAAGAAACAATTCTGTTAATTTTTACATATTTACTGGTTTATTCCATTAATTTTTACTGAAATTGACTTTTTTTTTTTTTTTTTTGAGATGGAGTCTGGCTCTATTGCCCAGGCTGGTGTGCAGTGGCGCAATCTCAGCTCACTGCAACCTCCGCCTCCCAGGTTCAAGCTATTCTCCTGCTGCAGCTTCCCAAGTAGCTGGGATTACAGGTGCCTGCCACCATGCCCAGCTAATTTTTGTATTTTTAGTAGAGACGGGGTTTCACTGTGTTGGCCAGGCTGGTCTTGAACTCCTGACCTCGTGATCTGCCCGCCTCGGCCTCCCAAGGTGCTGGGATTACAAGCGTGAGCCACCATGTCCAGCCTGAAATTGACTTATTTACCTCATTTAATTTTTGTGACTATTTACTTAAGTCCATTGCCAAAATTTGGTGTCTAGCAGTTATTTTAAATTTTGGAACATTTGGCTTTTTGTGGCCCATTGGAACATTTAGTTTGAATATGAATTTTAACCAATTTTGTTATTACTGTAGATCATTTTTTAACATTGTCTATAGAATAAATTATTTTTTAAGGAAGACCACATTTTGGTAGGTATCTTAGTATTTGGATGTATCTTCTGCTTGATCTTTTTCATGTATTTTCTGTAATATAAGTTTCCTTTATACAAAAAGTGAGTTTATTTTGATATTTTTCAAAGTCATTCATTATCTTTATCAGTTAGGATTCATAAGTTAAAGATCTGTTAGCAATATTGGGATGGACATTCTTTACCTATCTGGTAGAACTAGGCTTTATTTCCCATAAACTAAGCAGCTAAGGTGACAGATACGTTTCTAAAATAAAGTGCCAGCACGTGAAACAGCTGTACCACTGATTGGCTCTGATCTTACTTAAGAGGCACTTAGCCCTGTGGCATTCTGGTTATAGTAACTATTTAAGATATGTTTGACATCTGATATATTTTTCTTGTGCTTTGAGAAGTTTGGGATTGGTTTATAGGAGTAATTGATGACCCTAAGGAGTGAGTTGACACTAGTTCTGTTGACCTGCCACTTCCCAGTTGGTATCTACCAGTTTATTCTTAGTTAATACATTTGATAATTGAAATATATAATTTTTCTTATGTTTTTGTGTTCTATCCTTATTTTTAGTGGCAGATATTGATGGGAGCACTTTCTGGAGTCACCCTTTCAATAGTTTATGTCATCCCAAACAGCTAGAGGAGTTTATTGTGATGGAATGCAGCATAGTCCAAGATATAAAACGTGCTGCAGGTGCTGGAATGATATCAAAAAAGGTAAGCTACATCCTGCCTGCCAGTGTATTTTTTTTTCCCCTCAGTTATTATTGTTTCAGTCCCTCTTTTAAAAAAAATTTGTTGGTGTTTCCACAGTATGGAATCCAAACTTAGCACCACATTAGGAAAAAAATTCTTTTTTTTTTTGTCTTTTTAATATGTGGTCATTGTGGAAATTGTTAGACTTAGACTGTTAAGTTAATTTATTCTCTTTTGTGTAGGAAAAATCTTTTAAATGTTTATTCCATTATATTTAAAAAAGGCATTTCTTTGCTTTATTTTTATAGAGGAGGACCTTTATTTTTGTAGTGGTTATCTTGACTTTTAAAAAGTCATCACCAAATACTAAATACTTCAGTGTGCATCTCTCACACACAGGAATATTTTTCTACATAATGAAAATGTTGTTACCATACCTATAAAACATACAGTCTACACAGTATTCTGCTCTTATCCATGGGGATACATTCCAAGACCCCCAGTGGATTTTTGAAACAACCCACAATAGTACCAAACTCTATGTGTATTGTTTTTTCCTATACATACATACCTATGATAGAGTTTAATTTATAAATTAGGCACAGTAAGAGATTAACAATAATTAATAATAAAATAGACCAATTATAATAATATACTGTAATAAAAGTTGTGTGAATGTAGTCTCTTTCTTAAAGTTATCTAATTCTACTCCACCAACCTGTTTTTGGATAGCGATTAACTGTGGGCAGATGAAAACTTTGAAAGGGAAACTATGGATAAGGGGGGGATTACTGTGTTCAGATTTCCTCATTTGTCCCAAAAGTGTCTTTTATGCCTTGTTCAAACAGGTATTCAATTGGAGACCACTCATTAAATGGGAATATTATACCTTTTTAGTCTTTTATTTAATAATAGTCCCCTTCTTTTTTCTTTTATTGGTTATGATACCAACTTCCTTAGACAACTAGTGCATTTATCTTGTAGAATACTCCACCTTCTAAATCTATCTAATTGTTTCCTCATGATGCCATTTAACTAGCTTCTTAATTCATTGTGTTTCCTCTAAACTGGAAAGTTGATCTAAAGGTTTGGTTACATTTAGGTTAAATTTTTCTTGCCAGAATATTTCAGAGATGATGCCATGTACTTTTTATTATATCAAGAGACAAGTAATGTCTGACTGTTTCACTTGTTAACATAGTGATAGTCAGATTCCTCCATTGTAATGTTATGATTTTTTTTCCTTCTGACCAGCAAGCAATCTGTGGCTTAATACTATAATAATATGCAAGTACTGAGTTCCTGTTACCTCTTTTTTTTTCTGGCTTTAGCATCTGTTGATAATTCTTGCCCATAAATTAATTATTTTATTCAGGGTTACAAAATGGTGAATTTTCTATTTCTATTCTACATTTACTAGCTGTCATTCTTAAAGAAGAGCTTTTCATTATTAACTAGGGGTTATGTAGCTTTCCTGAAATGCTCGCCTGCATACATTCTTTTAATTAATTAATTTTAGACATGATCTTGCCGTGTTGTTTGGGCTGGAGTGCGGTATGGCTTCATAGCTCACTGCAGCCTCAAACTCCTGGGCTCAAATGATCCTCCTGCCTCAGCCTCCTGAGTAGCTGGGACCACAAGTATGTGCCACCATGCCCAGCTAATTTTTTAATTTCTTTGTAGAGATGGGGTCTCCATGTTACTCAGGCTGGTCTTGAACTCCTGAGCTCAAGCAATCCTCCTGCCTTGGCCTCCCAAAGTGTTGGGATTACAGGCGTGAGCCACCTCCCCTGGCCTATGCATAAATTATTAATTCTTTTAGCAAATATTTTTAGAGTAAAGAGTTGATCTAGGAATCATTTCCAGTGGTGAAAATTAGCTTACATGTACAGGTGGTGTCTCTCTTTGTGATTATCATTGTGATCTCCTGAAGTATAAGTATTGTATCATTTACTGTATTTTCTTTTGTTTTCTTCTTCTCTCCTCCTCTCCCTTCATTTCTTTTCCTTTTTTTTTTTTTTTTTTAAAGAGACAAGGTCTCACTCTGTCTCTCAGAGCTGGAGTTCAATGGTATGATCATAGGTCACTGGAACCTTGAGGTTGTGTGCTCCAGTGATCTTACCACCTCAGCATGCTGCCACACCTGTCTCATTTCTATTTTTTAATTTTTTGTAGAGTCAATCTCACTGTTTTTTCAGGCTTGTCTCAAACGATCCTACTGCCTCCCTTATAGGAATGAGCATGAGCGCCTGCCCTTTCTTTTTTTTGAAATCCTCATATTGCCCTAAATTTATTCAATGGGAGCCCCTTCAGAATGGTTCCTATGTTGTTTTGACGTGACTCTCCTGGTCTTTGAAAGCATCCTTGATTTCTGGTGCAACACAGCATTCAGGTGTTCCAGAATCACATGTATAGTTTATAACCCATATCTGAAATCAAATGTTTCTTCAAAGATGAAAGTCTGGCTTCTTTTACTGTGAAATAGTATCTAGAGACTCCCAGGGTACCCTTGTGTGTGTGTGTGTGTGTGCGTGCTAATAATGCTTCTTGAGACAAAAATAACTTGTGATAATTTGGGAAAAATTAATGGAAATGGAAGACAGATGACATTCTACATTTTATTTATAAATTAAGGTAATGTACTTAGGGCAAACTTTTCATTTATAATAAATGTAGAGTATCATTTCCCTTCAGGCAGATATAAAACCAGATACTGTATTTTCTTGGTTTTTAAAAAATAGCTAGAAGAGGTTAATAAATTTCTTACAAGCAGAAGTCTAATAGCTAGAAAGTAAATCCTGTTAAATAAAATGTAGTCTCCCTGTTAATTGACTTTTCTTTTGCAGTTCTTAAGTTTGAGACTTGTCTTTTATTTCAGTTTCTCCTTCTGCTCTATTTCTTTTCATTTTTTTCATTTCTTTTTCTTTGACCAACTGCAATAAGAAACACTTGATTCTTTTCATAACTTTATTTTGAGATTCCTTAATTTTATTTATAACTCTTAGTATTTTTCTCTCGATCTCACTTCAGTTGGTCTGTCTTTGTTGTTAAAGGTGTTGGCATGTTAGAAAGGGAATTAATAGTTTTCTAGTTTAAAAATTGGGATGTTGTTTCTGCTATATATATATTATATATAGCAGATGTACTATATTATATATAGCAGATGTAGAGAATGATTGTAGTCTACACTAGTAGATACTTTAAAAATTAATTTGATAAAGATTTGGCCTCTCTAGTGGTTTACTACCAGGATTTCTAGGCTGTTTTGTCTGGACCCTGATTTTCTGAACCCTTGTGTCAAGCAAGAGTTTGCTTGGAATACGTTCTTGCTTTAAGATTCCCCTACCTTTTCAGTTATTTTGTTCACTCTGCCTATGTTGGCCCATCTTCCTGTGAAAACATTTCTTTTGAAAATTCTACATATATATATTTTTAGGGACATTATTAATGTTTTATAAAAGTCTTGAATAAAATCTTAGAAAAAGTCAATGATTTATTTTTATGAATTGTTTGTGAGTCTTTCTATACTCATGATTCAGTAATTTGTTAATTTTGACAGTGTTTCATACATCAGAAAAATACAAAAAATTTTCTGTCTTTAAAAATTAGAAAACCAAAAATCAATATTGTATTTAACTTTTCTCTGAGATGCTTTTAGAGTTATGTTTAGATTATTGAAGAGTACATTTTCTTTCCTCTTAAGCATACCCTCGGGGAAGTCTGGGTACAGAAGACATCTGAAATGAATACAGATAAACAGTATTTTTGTCGTACTCATTTGGGACATCTTCTAAATCCCGGAGACCTGGTGTTAGGGTTTGTATTATTTCATATTTTAAACTGCCAATTAGGATTGCAAATTTTCTTTGGGAACCAGCAAAACTACCTAAAAATACTAACATTGTTTATTCTAAAAAGATCGAAGGGTTCTTAGGAGCCTTATAACTCATTTTATTGTTGATAACTAAATTAAACTGGGTTGGACAGAAGCCCATAGTTACTCCATTTTGGTTATAATCTTAAAGAGTAATTTGTTGTAAGATTTTGTTAATTGAGCCTTGAAGTTATATGGTTGTATCCATATTTAGAACTGCTTTTGCAGATTGGGTCTTTTTTATTGTGCAGTTGCTACTGCTCAGATAACTCACTTTTAAGATATGACAACTATATATATACAAAGGGCTTGTAAAGGCATAGATCAGTTCTTTCTGAATCAGAGTTTTTCAGTGAGTGTGTGATTAAACCCTCAAATATTGCTTTTGCTTTTAGGATTTCAGTTTCTTTTACTACAGAATGAGGTGTTTTTTTTTTGTTTGTTTGTTTAAAATAAACTAGAAGGAAGCAACTAATTGAATTCTAAAGTTGGACTGATATGTAAGTCTGTTTTGCTTTTACAAATGTATGGCAAGGTGGACAATAATTGATTATAAGTGAAACTCAGAGTTCCTTATTGTCTTTACCAGCATCTACAGAAGCATGTTCATTGTGTAATAAATGACAGAACTTTTAAAGTGAGAAGCATATTAAATGTTTGATTTTTAGGAAGTTTTAGGTGATAGCCATAAAATAAAAAGTTACACACAAAGGGTAAATGGTCACTAAGTTTTTCATTGTTTACATTTCAGGTTTGATTTGGCCAACTGTAACTTAAATGATGAGCATGTCAACAAAATGAACTCAGATAGAGTTCCAGATGTGGTAAGGCTTTAGATTTTTCCCTTTTTTCCTGTGTTAAAGAGGATGAATGTAACTCTTAGGGGTAAGAGGTAGGAGTTCACACTTTTGAAAATAACAAATCAATTTAGAGATTTCTGAAACTGCAGATAAGGTATAATAGCAAAATTTTTTTTTTTTTTTTTTAAAGAAACAGGAGGCTGGGTGCAGTGGCTCAAGCCTGTAATCCCAGCACTTTGGGAGGCCTAGGCAGGTGGATCACCTGAGGTTGGGAGTTCGAGACCAGCCTGACCAACATGGAGAAACCCTGTCTCTATTAAAAATACAAAAAAATTAGCCAGGCGTGGTAGTGCAAGCTTGTAATCCCAGCTACTTGGGAGGCTGAGGTAGGAGAATTGCCTGAACCGAGGAGGTGGAGGTTGTGGTAAGCTGAGATTGCGCCGTTGCACTCCAGGCTGGGCAACAAGAACAAAACTCAGTCTCAAAAAAAAAAAAAAGAAATGGGAGTCTTGCTTTATTGACCAGGCTTGCGTGCAGTGTCATGATCACTCACTGCAGCTCAAAATTCTGAGCTCAAGTAATCCTCCCACCTCAGCCTCCTGAGTAGCTGAGACTACAGGCACATGCCACCACTCCCAGCTAATGTTTAAAACACGTTTTGTAGAGACGGGGTCTTGTTATGTTGCTCAGGCTGGTCTCGAACTCCTGGCTTCAAGTGATCCTCCCACCTCAGCCTCTCAAGTAGCTGGGATTACAGGTGTCACCTATCATGCCTGGCTTCATTTTAAATAATTTTTCTTGGTGGGGTAAATCCAAGATTTATTGTGATTGTTCCTTTTCTAATCACATTTTCATTCTCGATCAAAATACCTGATATTATCTGTAGAGCAAAAATAAATTTAGCCGGGTGCGGTGGCTCATGCCTGTAATCCTAGCACTCTGGGAGGCTGAGGTGGGTGGATTGCTTGAGCTTAGGAGTTCGAGACCAGCCTGGAAAACACAGTGAAACCCCATCTTTACTAAAATACAAAAAATTAGCCAGGCGTGGTGGCATGCACCTGTAGTCCCAGCTACTTAGGAGGCTGAGGCAGGAGAATTGCTTGAACCTGGGAAGTGGAGGTTGCAGTGAGCCAAGATCATGCCACTGCATTCCAGCCTGGGTGATAGAGCAAGATTCCGTCTCCAAAAGATAAATAAATAAATTTGCAGCTAAAAATGATGACATTTAGCATTTTTTCAGGTTCATTTTTATTAGGCTCACTTCGTTTCACATACATTGTTCAGTTAAGAAGGCATTTAGAGTTAAGGCTGTTATTCAAAGCTGAATAAAATATCCGTGAAAAATAATCTTCACAGTATCAAGCCTTGGAAAAAAACTATTAATTCTGAAAAATCTGTTAAGTTCTAACATGATGAGGTTAAGAATCATGAGAAACTGAATGAAATTAGTGTGAAAGACCCTGTCTTCTATACTTGCTTAATCTTTTAGAATAAACATTGATTTCTTTAGCAGTGAGCAAAAAAAGTAGAGCCATGACAAATCAAGGACTCCGACCACCTGCCCAGTTGTACTTTTATTAGTTGATAAATTAGGAATTAACAGCGTGGTTGGAGTGTAAGTCTAAATAGGTATTTCTAACAAGGTCATAAGAGGAGATCATGGCAATCTTACAATATTTTGTATTTTGTAAAATTATTTTCATTCTATAATTTATTAAACAAGCGTTCTAAGATACATTGTTGTGAAAGTTATATATAGTTCTGTAAATGCTTATTGGTGGGTATAAGAGAAAAAAAGTATCTACTTGTGATATTCAGAATGATTTATATGAATGGTAGCTGAAAACTGAAGTTTGAGTTAAAAGAAAACTACAGTTTTTGTTATTAAGAAAAACAGTATTCAGTCACTGAAAAATTTTAGCAAATTTTAACAATTGTACAAATAATGCTTGAATCCATTCTCATAAAAAGTTAAATACATGGAGAAAAATTTTAAAAGTCCTCTTGACACTGTCTCTCCATCCCTTCTCCTTTCTCCTGAGGTGTAACCAGTGTCATTAGTTTGGTCATTTTTTAGCTTTATTGAATTTTGTGGCCTCACTGTATAGTTCCCATTCTTTGTAACTTTACAAATATTTATCTTGCAGGTATTAATCAAGAAGAGCTATGACCGGACCAAACGTCAGCGTCGTAGAAACTGGAAATTGAAAGAGCTTGCAAGAGAGAGAGAAAACATGGATACAGATGATGAAAGGTCTCGCTTTTCTTTAAATCTCTTATGTTGTCTCAAAGGAAATATTTATGATAAATACTTTTTATGTTGTAAAGAAATAGGCATCACACAATTGATCCTTGCACTCAATTATAATCTTGGATTCTTATCAAGGTATTAATGGAATCAGTATAAGATGATGTAAAGACATTTAACACAGATTTAGTAATTATTTCCTGGTTTATGACCTAATAATTGTAGTGTTAATGTAAACAATTCATTTGAAAAGTTAAAATATAATCATACTTTGCTTAACAATGGGCATACCTTCTGAGAAATGCATCATTAGGTGATTTTGTTGTGTGAGCATCATAGAATATGTGGCACATGACTTTATAATAAATAATTACATTATGAATATCACAAATAGCAGATGAGTACTTATGGCTTGAGATAAAAAGGAAACAGCTCATTGATGCCAAGTGTGTTATTCCTCAAATAATTTAAGCAGAAATGAAGACAGTGTTCTAAAACAGTTTATTGGATGATTCAAAAAGTGGCTTTAATGATGGTGAAGACACCGATGTCTAAAAAAACTGAGAGTTTATATAAAATTGTTTCATGAAATGTGAGTTGGAAACAGCAGTATGTCTACATAGTCCTTAAAATGAAAGTCCTTAAATGAAGAAAATATAACTATATTTTTGGTGATGAAATATTTAAATGTTTATTTAAAGGCAATACCAAGATTTTCTTGAAGATCTTGAAGAAGATGAGGCAATTCGAAAAAATGTCAACATTTACAGAGGTTGGTGTTCTAGGAGTGTTTAAGTCATTTGTTCTGTATATAAGTATAGTTCCTAGTATGAATATTTTGGTATCTTAAGCTTTGATTCTCATAAATGTCTTTAATTGTTTTTTCAACTACTCTAGTCACACTTCTACAAAAAAACTTGCAAAACAATAAATAAAACTTAACAAAATACTGTTTTGTATATTACAGTTAGTATTATTTGCATTCTAGCTTGATCCCTTAAGTTGCTCACTCCTATAGTGGTGGAAGTATATTCTTACAGTTACTCAGTTCATTTGTTCAGTGAATGTAATTTGAATGACTGCTGTAAGAGACAAGAGCTTCTGATACAATGTAGTTACATAATAATAATGATAAGGTAGATATTTGTATATTTTCAAATATATTTAATACTTTGTATACATATAAATACTTTGTATTTATTTTATTCTCTTTGTATTTTTTTAGATTCAGCCATCCCTGTGGAAAGTGACACCGATGATGAAGGAGCACCTCGAATTAGTCTGGCTGAGATGCTTGAAGACCTTCATATTTCCCAAGATGCCACTGGTGAAGAAGGTGCATCAATGCTGACATAATGAGATGTTGTAGACTGTTTCCATACATGGGCTTAAGAAGTTGGACAGAGTTACCTTAAGTGTCTCTACTATCTTTGCCTCCAGATTTCAAGAGGAGAAATTTAGTTTTAAACCTGAATAAACATGTTTGTTTTCAGTGCTCACTCAAACCACTAAAACAGATGGATAGCTTTGAGGTTTTAGATAAGGAAAGATTATGGAGAATGTAGTTGTTATTGATTTTTGGCAATTTTACATTTGGAATTTTATCACTGTGCTTTTTTATATGAGGCACTGTAGTATTTTCACATAGTATAGTACTCTGGATGTAAAAGCTCAAAAATTGTGATTCCTTGAACGTTCACTAAATCTTCAAGCAAAAACACATTTTTACATTATTTTTACGTTGATTATTTTAGTGAAAGACCATATGAAGAAGCATTTTTAATATTAACTTGTTACATACTTTGATCCACTTTACATCATTTTTATGTTGTTGAGGTAGGGAAATTAGGGTTCAGTTTATCACTGGACATTCAGGAGGCAAGTCAATCTTTTTTATTTCCTTATAAAATTAACTCTTCAAAAGCCGTTAAACAGAGAGTTATCTTAATTTTTATTGCAGTAGGAGGAAATATATTTAAAATATTTGTAGATTTATAGCAAATAGAGACTCGTTATTTAAAGGTTAAATAACAATTTGTTCTTTTGTTGTTTTTGCCAGTTTAGGGCAGTAGCTGCTTTTGTCATAAATATCTTCCTACCACATCAAAAATGCTGCTTTTAAAATTTTTGTTTATAAATTGAGAAGGAATTTTCTCTCTATAAGTTTCTGTCATTGAACAGATCACCATTAAAAAGAATATTAGAATCCAGCATGAAGATAATGGCTAATAAAAATGAGGTACATACTTTATAAAACCATTAATCAGATTTGAATGAGGAATGCTTCCCACATCCTTGAAAGAAAAACTGTGGCTTACGTTTTGAAGTATTCTGAGAATGAAGTATTAAGATCCAATTTCTATAAGCAAGATCAGACTTGTTAAGTATGCCGCAAGTAAGAGCTAATTCATTCATTCCATGTGTGCCACTAAATAAAGAGATTGAGCAAGTGCCACTGTGTGGAACATTTTTCTTTTTTTTAATATTGGACTTTCCAATTTTGAAATTATGGATAAAGTCCTAAATTTTCTATAGTGGCTTCTTTTCTGTCTGCATATTTTGTTAAAATTGTGGATCTAAAAGCCATATCCTGTCTTTGGTGGTGGCCTGGTAGGAATGGCTTGTCCTAGTTCTTCAAAGGTAAGATTGACCAAAGCAAGTTCTCATTGGTGGTCTGTGTTTACATCTTCCGTGTCAAGATATTTTAAAGCATGAAAATAAAGCCATTCTTGCCCTTTTTCGTGTGTTTGAAATGGTCGCATTGGTGTCATATTTACATGAGAAAGTATCTTACGCAATTTTCCAAAGTAGAATTGTTAATGTTATTTAAGTACTTTTATAATCTTCCCACTGAAAAATATAGTTTCCCACTAACCTTATTTAGTCTTACTCATTTATTTAGTCTTACTCATTTTGATGTTCTATTAAGTATTGAAACTTCTTGGTTGAAAGGCTGTGACAGGCAAACGAATGTAGCTAAGAGAAAAGCTGTCATCCAAGAGCTTGCACAAAGTTAAATAACCTTGATAAATCTACCATACTATATAGTAAGGTTCCCATACTCAAGAGTCTTGTGGGTCCCCCAGTATTCTTAGTCATATCCCAAAGTTGTTATGGCTTGGGAAGGCTGGTATTAATCAAATGCACAAGAACATGATTTATAACCAATTTATAAATATAATTTACAAGTCATTATGACCATTTTTTTTTGTAGCCAAATCTGCACCTGAAGCTGCTGATTTAGAGTCAGAAGTCACTGAGGGGCCAAGTGTGGTGGTTGACGCCTGTAATCCCAGCACTTTGGGAGGCTGAGGAGGGCAGATCACTTCAGGCCAGGAGTTCAAGACCAGCCTGGCCAACATAGTGAAACCCTGTCTCTACTAAAAATGCAAAAATTATCCGGGCGTGGTGGTGCACACATAGTCCCAGCTACTCGGGACGCTGAGGCAGGAGAATCACTTGAACCCAGGAGGCAGAGGTTGCAGTGAGTCGAGATCTGGCCACTGTACTCCAGCCTGGGCGACAGAGTGAGACTCTGTTCCCCCACTCCCCCAATAAAAAAAGTCTGATGAGCAAGAAAAGTTCAGGGGTAGAGTTGCTTGTGTAATTGAGATGTTTAACAGCATCAGGCTAATTCCTTGCCATAGTAGAACCCAGAAGCTCTGAGCTGTGTGCCAGGAGATACCTCCCTGGTCAGTACTTAGTACCAGAGTTTTCCCTAGATTCTTTAATTTTAGTAAATGTGCTCACATTGAGTCAATCCTTACATAACTGGGTATGTTATTTCCAGCCCAAGGAATGTTTATTTTTAAAAATATTTTTAATTATCCATAATTTCAGACTTACAAAATGTCGCAAGTATTCCCGGATACCATTTACCTAGATTTGCCAAATGTAAACAATTTGCCTCATTTGCTTTCTTTCCCCTTCTCACTAATAATTTTTTCCTCAACATTTAAGAGTAAAATGCAGACATGATGCTTCTTTATCCTTTAAATATTTCAGCATTCCCCCCCCGCTCAAAAAACAAGGAATTCTCGAATCACAGTGTAGTGATCACTATCAGAAAATTAACATTGACACAAAACTGTTATCTAATTGATAGGCCGTATTAAGATGTCAGTAATCTCAATAAAGTCCTTCATAAAAATAGTAAATCTAAGATTCTGTGTTGTGTTAGGTTTTCATATCTCTTCAGTCTTCTTTAATCTGGACTAGTTCTGAGTGTAATGTTTTATGTAATTGACATTTTTGAAGAGTCCAAGCCAGTTGTTTTGTAGAGTGACCTCAGTTTGGGTTTGTCTGATGTTTTCTCAAGATTAATTTTAGGTTATGTCCTTTTGGCAGGACTATGCCAGGAGTGATGCCAAATTCTCAATGCATAGTATCAGGAAGCGTGTGCTGTTGATTAGTCCAGATGTTCCCAAACTTGGTTATTTGTTGGTTTTCTGTTGTAAGGAAGAGCTATCTCTTTTTTCATATATTTGCTTATTCAGTTGTTTTTCATGTCATTGTGGACTCTTGAATTTTTACTTTAATACAGTGGGATCTAGCCCTTTGCAATAGTTATTTTTACTTGATTTTTTAAAAATTTATTTTCAGTGTACAGTGAAATTTCTCTTTGATGTACAGATCTATGACTTTTAACACATAGATCATGTAATTACCACAGTCGAATTATAGAACAGTTCTATCACATCCACCCCAAAAAAATTCCATGTTTTTTTTTTGTTTTGTTTTGTTTTCAAATCCTCCCATCCCTAACCCCTGGCAACTTCTGATCTGTTTTCTAACTTCATAGTTTGCTTTGTCCAAAATATATAAATGAAATCATGCAGTATGTAGCCTTTTAAGTCTGGTTTCTTTCACTCAGCATGGTGCACTTGAGATTCATCTAAGGTGTTGTGTTCAAAGTGGGTTCCTTTTTGTTACTGAGTAATGCATTATCAATATCACAGTTTATTCATTCCTATGTTGAGGTATGTTTGAGTTTCTAGTATTTGCTGATTAGTGGTAAAGCTGCTGTGAACATTTCCGTACAGCTTTTTATTTTACTTGGGTAAATAACCAGGAGTGAGATTGTTGCATCCTATATTTAACTTTGTAAAAACCTGTCAAACTATTTCCAAAGTGGCTTGTGCCATTGTGCTTTCCCACCAGCAGTGTATGAGATTTTCACTTACTCTGCATTCTTGTCATATTTTGATATTGTCAGTTTAAAAAAGCCATCCAGATAGGTGGATGGTGGTTTCTTTTTGTGATTTTAATTTGCCTTTCCCTAATGGCTAATAATACTGAACATCTTTTCATGTGCTTATTTGTTATGTATATCTTTTTATCAGTAAAACGGCTGTTCACATCTTTCATCTATTTTTAAGAATTGGGTTGTGTTTTAGTTGGGGTTGCTATAACAGAATACCATAGACTAGGCAGCTGAATAAAAAAGCAAACCTTCTTTTCACAGTTCTGGAGGCTAGGAAGTCAGATCAGGGTGCTAACTAGCATGGTCAGATTCTGGTGAGAGCCCTCTTCCTGGTTTGCACATACATGGCTGTCTTCTTGCCATCTTCTCACATAGCAGAGTGAGAGCTCTCTAGTATCTCTTACCTCTTCATAAGAGCACTCATCCCATCAATAAGGGCTCCACTTATGACCTAATTACCTCTTAAATGACCCACCTCCTAATGCCATCACATTAGGGATTAGGGTGTCAACAGATGAATTTTGGGGCACCATAAACATGCAGTCCATAGCAGGTTGGTTGTTTTCTTGTTTTTTATTTTGATGTTCATATTGTTCCAGACTTGGCCAGTGGGTACCCCTCCAAGCTGGGGCTTACGTCCTTTGGACAGGTGCTTCTCTGTATTTGATCTTGTTCTTATGCTGATATAACTTTTTGGGCAGGATTTGAATTTTTCTTGTTCAGGCCCCACATATAATCTACTCTTAGCTTATTTTGCATCATGAGGAACCAATGTACTTAAAAATAGGGCAGTTTGAGTTGAGTCATCTGTGATTTAAGGAATCATGAAATGGCTTCATAAAAAACACTGATGTCAGTGTTATGTATTCTCAGCTTATCAGTTCTGTCACATGTTGAAATAACTTGATCAGTGGGGTAGTGAGCCTTGATGACAGCAAGAAATCAGTCTAGGTATCTTTCTGTACTCAAAATAATGTGATAAGAAAATTGAATTTTAGTTGATTGACTTGATACATTTTGAAAACTGTGTTATTGTCTAGGGAAGAGACATGATTCAGGGTGACAAAACAAGATCTGTAATAATTAAAGGTTATTTGGAATAGGTTGGGCAGCCACTATGTTTCTGTAGCAATGTTGCTTGTATTGTTTTATCTGATGGCAATTTTATTTTGTTTTTGTTGGAGTCAGCACTGCAGTGGTGCCTGTCACACATTTTCCTTCTGAAACAGTTTCGTATAAATAAGGTCTTTATCACCTGCTTCACAGCATTTTTGTGAAGTACTTTAAGGTAAAATATGTACTAGAAATAGTTTATTAAGTGCTAGACAATTCTTGGGAGCTGTATGATGGAAATGAAAATGTTTTGGAATCAGCTTACCTGTCACTTATTAGCTATATGACTTAAACTTTCTGAACACCTATTTCTTCAGTTTGTTAAAAGGACATAATACTGTTGACTACATAAAGGATTGCTAAAATTCTTAGCATAGTCAGTATGCAACAAATTGTAATTCAATAGTATCTGCTTTCAAAATTTATAAACAGTTTTAGTGTTTAGTATTTAAACAAGTTGAGAAATGACTTGTTTCTTGTTGCATTTTGTATGCCTACACTTTTTAGAGCAGCATAGAGTCATAGAGTTTGTTCTAGAAAATTCATATGGTATAGGGAACCATAAAGACAAATGTAGGAATTACCCATAATCCTACCACAGGGATTCACTGTTAACATTTTGTCATTGCTAACATTTTGATACTTTTCTTTTTTAATAGGCTTTATTTTCTATTTAGTTTTACACTTAACAGAAAAATTAAGAAAACACTGCAGGGAGTTCCCATATACTCCATACCCAGTTTTCCCTATTAACATTTTATATCAGTATGATATAAAATATAATTATATGCTTGTTATAATGAGCCAATGTTGATACATTATTACTAACTAAAGTCCATATATTTAGAGTTCTTAGTTATTATCTAATTTTCTTTTCCAGGGCCCCATCCAGGGTACCACATTGCATTTAGTTGTCATGTTTCCTTATGCTCCTCTTGGTAGTGGCAGTTTCTCAGATTTCCTTTGTTTTTGATGATCTTAACAGTTTTGAGGAATACTGCTCAGTTATTTTATAGGATGCCCTGCTACTGGAATTTGTCTGATGTTTTTCTCATGATAAGATTGGGGCTATAGGTTATTGGGAGAAAAACTGCAGAGGCAAAGTACCATTTTCATGACATAATTTCAGTGGTGCTTACTATCAATATGATTTCTCACTGTTGATGTTGATCTTGATCACCTGACTGAGGTAGAGTTTGTCAGGTTTCTCCACTGTAAAGTTACTCTTTTCCCCCTTTCTTTACTGTACACTTTGGAAGGAAGTCACTGCACAGCCCACGCCTAAGAGGTAGTGAGTTACACTGCCCCTCCTTAAGCATGGGATATCTATGTAAATTATTTGGAATTCTCCTGGATGGGACATTTGTCTCTTTTTAATTTACTAATTATTTCAATCATGTTTGGCCATATGGAGTCATGAATACTTATTTTATACTTGGTGTTATAATCTGATACTATTTTAATTATTTTGTTCGAATTGTTCTAGCTTTGGCCATTGGGAGCTCTTTCAGTTGTCTCCTTTGGGTGTATGGTCCTTTGACAAACCCCCATCATTGTGTTATGGTGTGTGTGTGTTTGAGCATTTCCTTACATTCTGGTACTATAAGGTGTTACAGACTCATCTTGTATATTTATTGCCCTAGAATTGGTCATTTTTTTCTAGGAGCTCTGGTTTTATTTATTGGAGAATGGTTTTAGAAACCAACATCTAGGTGCTCAGTATGCTTGCTGCTACTGAGGTCATTTCATTTAGTTCCTCTCAACTGACAGAGTAAAAAAAATGCTGTTTTACTAACCTATGTATTTATATATATTTATAAATACTTCTATATGTACCAAATCTATCTACACTAAAGTACACATGAAGTCATACTGATGTCTCCAATTATAATTAATTACTGCATGGGTCAGTCTAGCTTCCTGTCCTTGTTTATCTGTGAACTCCCATTCCAACAGTGTAAAACCTGATTTCCACCATCTGCCACCCATTTACTTAATTATTACATTCCAGTATACAAGTATAGTAGTACAAGAATTATTAATCTGCATCCTGTAAAAAATAACTTTGTTAACTACAGTAAATGTTTTATGTGCAGTTCCCTTTTGCCCTTAGTCTTTCAGACTGTACTCATTTCCAGAGTTATTTCGGTCAGCACCTTTAATGCAATTGTTTCATATACTTGTAAAAGAGTTAGTCTTATCATAGTCTTCATTTCTTCCTGGGATCACCTGACCTCCTAAATGACTTTTTTAAATTTACTTTTTGTGTTGTAAATTTCTACAGTTTTGACAGATGGGTAATGTCTTGTATCTGCATTACAGTGTTAGAATTTTACCGCCCTAAAAATCACCTGTGTTTCCCCTATTCATCCTAAACCCTAAACTCTTAGCAACCACTAATCATTTTACTGTCTCTATAGTTTTGCCTTTTTCAGAATGTCGTATAATTGGAATCATATAACATGTAGCTTTTCATACTGGGTTCTTTAACTTAGCAATGCATTTTTAATGTTGTATGTATTTTGTGGCTTGTTAGCTCATTTCTTTTTATTTGCTGAATTATATTCTATAGTATGGATGTACCACAGTTTGTTTATCCATTCATCTATTGAAAGACATCTTGAGTACTTCCAGCTGTTGGTGATTATGAATAAAGTTGCTATAAATATTCATGGTCAGGTTTTCCTGTGAACTTAGGTTTTAAAATCAATTGGATAAGCACCTAGAATCATGATTGCTGGATCTTATGGTAAGATTGTTTAGCTTTGGAAGACACTACCAAACTGTCTTCCAAAGTGGCTGTATCCTTTTGCATTACCACTTTCAATGAATGAGTGTTCCTGTTGCTCTGCATCCTTGTCAGCATTTGGTAGTGTCAGTTGTTTATAGATTTTAGCCATTCAAATAGGTGTGCAGTAGTATCTCATTGCTGTTTTCATTTGCAGTTCCCCGATGACAACTGATGATAAACATCTTTTCATATGCTTATTTGCCACCTGTATATCTTGGTGATGTGTCGGTCCAGATTTTTGCCCATTTTTAAATTGGGTTGTTTTCTTGTTATTTTAAGATGTGTATTTTAGATGATAGTCCTTTGTTAATATGTATTTTACAACTATTTTCTCCCAGTCTATGGCTTGCCTTTAATATATATATATATATATATATATATATATATATATATATATATGGGCTGGGTGCAGTGGCTCATGCCTGTTATCCTAGCACTTTGAGAGGCCAAGGTGTGTGGATCACCTGAGGTCAGGAGTTTGAGACCAGTCTGGCCAACATAGAAAAACCCCGTTTCTACTAAAAATAGAAAAATCAGCCAGGTGTGATGGAGGGTGCCTGTAACCCCGGGTACTCAGGAGGCTGAGGCAGGAGAATTGCTTGAACCTGGCGGGCGGAGGTTGCAGTGAGCTGAGATCGCACCACTTCACTCCAGCCTGGGCAGAAGAGTGAGATTCTGTCTCAAAAAAAATTAATAAAAAATAAAATAATACTAATATATATGAAAATAATTTATGTATGTGAATTATTTATATGTAATATATATACTTACAGATGATTATATAGTGGTGAGCTCATACTGTATATACAGTTTTTGTGCCTTCTTTATTATTATAAAATAAACGCTTTCAAAGCCATTAATTCTTTGTAAATACATTTAATAAAACAATATTCCACTAGTAGATTACAGAATATCCCCAATTCATCACTCTGCCCTGTGTCTGTGCCTTTTATCCTATAACTTATAGTAGGATCAAATAAATATTTAAGGCTTTAGAGGTTATATGGTCTCTATCACAACTACTCAGCTCTCCTGTTGTGGCATGAAAGGGCCATAGACAATGTGTAAATGAGAGTGGCTGTGTCCTAATAAAACATTATTTTAAAAAACAGCAGGCCTGCTGACCCTGATGTCACTTTATTTTTTGTTTTTAATTTTTAATTCTTATCTGTGGGTATATAATTGGTATATATATTTATGGAGTATATGAGATATTTTGATATGGACATACAATGTATAAAAATCACATGCGGGTAAGTGGGATATCCATCACATCAAGCATTTATCCTTTGTGTTACAAACAATCCAATTATACTCTTGATTTTTTTTTCTTATTTCACTTAAAGTATCTTGGTTGTTTTAAAATGTACAATTATTATTGACTATAGTCACCCTGTTATGCTATCAAATACTACATCTTATTCTCTTTTTTTGTACCCATTAAAACCATCCCCACTTCCCCCAAACCTTCCCCACTACCCTTCCCAGCCTTTGGTAACCATCATTCTACTCTCTTATCTCTGTGAGTTCAGTGGTTTTAATTTTTAGCTCCCACAAATAAGTGAGAACATGTGAAGTGTGTCTTTCTGTGCCTAGCTTAGTTCACTTAACATAGTGATCTCCAGCTTCCTCCATGTTGTTGCAAATGACAGGATCTCATCCTTTTTATGGCTGAGTAGTACTCCATTGTGTATAAGTGCCACATTTTCTCTATCCATTCATCTGTTGATGGACACTTAGGTTGTTTCCAAATCTTGGCTGTTGTAAATAGTGCTGCAGTAAACGTGAGAATGCAGATATCCCTTCGATATACTGATTTCCTTTCTTTTGGGTATATACCTAGCAGTGGTATTATGGGATCAAATGATAGCTCTGTTTTTAACTTTTTGAGGAACCATAGTGGTTGTACTAATTTACATTCCCAACAGCAGTGTACGAGGGTTCCCTTTTCTCCACAGCCTTGCCAGCATTTGTTATTGCCTGTCTTTTGGAAAAAAAGCTATTTTAACTGGAGTGAGATAGTATCTGATTGTAGTTTTGATTTGCATTTCTCTGATAATCAGTGATGTTGAGCACCTTTTCACCTGTTTGCCATTTGTATATGAAATGTATATTGAGAAATGTCTATTCAAATCTTTGCCCATACTTTGATTGGATTATTAGATTTTTTCCTATAGAGTTGTTTGAGCTCCTTATGTATTCTGGTTATTAATTCCAGAAGGATAGTTTGCAAATATATTCTCCCATTCTGTGGGTTTTGTCTTCACTTCGTTGTTTTCTTTGCTGTGCAGAAGCTTTTTAATTTTATGTGATCTTATTTATCCATTTTTGTTTTGGTTGCCTGTACTTGTGAGGTATTACTCAAGAAATCTTTGCTCAGACCAATCTCCTGGAGAGATTCTCTCATGTTTTCTCTTATTAGTTTCATAGTTTGAGGTCTTAGATTTAAGTCTTCAATTCATTTTTTTAATTTTTGTATGTGGTAGGATGGGTCTAATTTCATTCTTCTGCATATTGATAATCCAGTTTTCCCAGCATTGGGGAAAGAAACTGTCCTTTCCCCAATGTATGTGCTTGGCATCTTTGTCAAAAATGAGCTCATGGCGGATATATGGATTTATTTCTGGGTTCTCTTCTGTTTTATTGGTCTGTGTCTATTTTTATGCCAGTACCATGCTGTTTTGGTTACTATAGCTCTGTGGTATAATTTGAAGCAGGTAATGTGATTCCTCCAATTTTCTTCTTTTTGCTTCAGATAGCTTTGGCTATTCTGGGTCTTTTGTGGTTTCATGTAAATTTTAGGATTTTTTTTTCCATTTCTGTGAAGAATGTCATTGATACTTTGATAGGGATTGCATTGAATCTGTAAATTGCTTTGGGTAGTATAGACATTTTAACAATATTGATTCTTTTAATTAATGAACATGGGATATCTTTCTATTTTTTTGTGTCCTCTTCAATTTACAAAGTACATCAACTTTTTATAGTTTTCATTGTAGAGATCTTTCACTTTGTTTAATTCCTAGGTATTTAATTTTATTTGTAGCTGTTGTAAATGAAATTATTGATTTCCTTTTCAGATTATTGTTGGCTTATAGAAATGCTACTGATTTTTATATGTTGATTTTTTATCTTACAACTTTAGTGAATTTGTTAGTTAGTTCTAATAGTTTTTTGGTGGTCTTTAGGTTTTTCCGATTAAAATATCATATCATTGGCAAACAATGATAATTTGACTTCTTTCTTTCCAATTTGGATGTCCTTTATTTCTTTCTCTTGCCTGATTGCTCCAGCTAGGACTTCCAGTGCTATGACAAATAACAGTGGTGAAAGTGAGCATCCTTGTGTTTCAGATCCTAGAGGAAAGGAAGGCTTTCAGTTTTTTCCCATTCAGCATGATACTAGTGGTGAGTCTATCATATATGGTTTTTATTATGTTGAGGCATGTTCTTTCTATACTCAATTTTTTTTAGGGTTTTTATCCTGAACAGATGTTGAGTTTTATCAAATGCTTGTTTTAGCATCAGTTGAAATGATCATTTGTTTTTGTCCTTCATTCTGTTAACATGGGGTATCACGTTGATTGATTTGCATATGTTGAACTATTTTTGCAGCCCTGGGATAAATTCCATTTGGTCGTGATGAATGATCTTTTTAATATGTTGTTGAATTTTGTTTGCTAGTATTTTGTTGAGGATTTTTAGATCAATATTTATCAGTGATGCTGGCCTATAGTTTTTTTTTTCTTTTTATGTGTGTCTGGTTTTGGCATCAGAGTAATAATGGCCTCATAGGATCAGTTTGGAAGTATTCCCTCCTGCTTTATTTTTTAGAATAGTTTGAGTAGGATTGGTATTAGTTCTTCCTTAAATGTTTGCTAGAATTCAGCAGTGAAGCCATCAGGTCCCAGGCTTTTCTTTGCTGGGAGACTTTTTGGCTTTGATCTTGTTATTTTTTATATGTCTGTTCAGATTTTGGATTTCTTCATGGTTCAATCTTGCTAGGTTTTATGTGTCTAGGAATATATCCATTTCTTCTAGGTTTTCTCATTTATTGGCACATACTTGTTCATTGTAGTCTCTAATGATCCTTCTAATTTCTACAGTATTGGTTATAATGTCTCCTTTTTCACCTCTGATTTTATTTATTTGGGTCTTCTTTTTTTTTTCTTAGTCTGGCTAAAAGGTCACCAATTTTGTTTATCTTTTCAGAAAAACCAACCATTTGTTGATCTTTTGTATTTTATTTCAATTTCATTTATATCTGCTCTGATCTTTATTATTTCTTCTACTAATTTTTGATTTGGTTTGGTCTTGCTTTTCTAGTTCTTTAAGATGCATTGTTAGATTGTTTTCTCTGATGTCACTTTGTAGTGCCCTTTTACTTTTATTCTGACCTTTGGAGATTAGAATGAGGTGTAAATTCTGAGCCTGAGCCTCAGAGATTGCATGTTTCCTCTCGGGCCTCTGCCATTGCTGTGAGCACATGTTTAGTTAAATCTGTTAGAGGAAGTGAGGGAGAACAAACCCAGGTTGCCGCACCTGAAGCCAGCTAACCCTCAGACATGTAAGCAAGCACAGCTAAAATCAGTAGAGCTGCCTAGCCAAACCCCAACTCATCCCAGACACATGAGCAATAAACTTGTATGCCCCTGAGGATTTGTGGTTGATACAGAGCATTGTTGTGACATTAGACAGTTAATATTGTGACATACGAACACTGAATTAACAATTTTTGTGGCTGGGCATTTCTAGGTTTTTTCTTTTTCTTTTTTCCCATAAAAATTTGTTTCATTTCTCATTATTTTCTGAGAATATATATGTAAGGATGAATTTACTGTGTCAAAGAGCATATAAGAATCTCAGTACATAGAAAAATCCTTTTTAGAAAGGTCGTACCTACCATGTAATGCAGTTTATGAGATTGCCTCTTTTACAGTCTTACTGTTCTTGATGTTTGGTATGTTTTCTCTTTTAATGTTTTCTAGGCTCACTTTAGGTGAAGCCCAGTCTGTAGTGATCTGTTAGATGAACTTCTGTAGCAGTTACAATCTGTTCTACGTGGTTAGTTTTATAAACCTCCTGAGTTATTATCATTAACATTTTTATATGTATGTCTTTCTCTCCAACTAGGCTATATATTTCCTTAGGGCAGCACAAATATAGCACAATGCATAGGTCCTCAAGTATGTAGTTAGTAGTACAATCTGATTTGAGCTACAATTTTGAAAAATGAGTGGTCTTTTTGGGTGGGTATTGCTTTGCTTTAAATAACTCTTTGAGAGTCCACTCATGAAGCAAGAAGTCAAGCAGATTTTTAAGGCTTTGGAGAGGTGGTAAATAGAACTTATAGAGAGAGTTGTCCATATTGGTCAAGACTTTATTTTGTTTGTAGAAGCCAAATGTGCATCTAATCCTATACATTGTTAAATTTTATGAGTAGTGCTGTGTCTGGAGTTGTTTCCTTCTGGTGGGTTCATGGTCTCGCTGACTTCAAGAATGGAGCCATGGACCTTCACAGTGAGTGTTACGGCTCTTAAAGATGGCACAGACCCAAAGAGTGAGCAAGATTTATTGTGAAGAGCAAAAGAATAAACCTTCTACAGCCTGGAAGAGGACCTGAGTGGGTTCTGGCTGCTGGCTGAGATGGCCAGCTTTTATTCCCATATTTGTCCCCTCCTATGTCCTGTTTCTGTCCTATCAGAATGCCCTTTTCTCAATCCTCCTTGCGATTGGTTACTTTTAGAATCTTGCTGATTGGTCCATTTTCCAGAGTGCTGATTGGTCCATTTTACAGAGCGTTGATTGGTGCATTTTACAAACCTCTTGCTAGCTACAGAGCACTGACTGGTGCGTTTTACAATCCTAGCTACAGAGCGCTGATTGGTGCGTTTTACAATCCTCTTGTAAGACAGAAAAGTTCTCCAAGTCCCCACTGGACCCAGGAAGTCCAGCTGGCTTCACCTCTCAGTGCTAATTAGTCAACCACAGAAGTCTGATATTGTAGTATTAGCACAGACTGTTCAGTTTTAACACACAGTAAATTATTTTCTTCCTCCAGAGAATTTTATTGTGTATAATGTCACATATGTTATTTATAAATAATCCTGTGGACAGACAACTACAAATGACCTATACAGAGAAGAAAAACTATTGGGAGATATTCAAGAACTAGAAAATATGTCTGGTAGTTTTCCTGTGTTTATGGATTTGGACCAGAATAATGCTAATGGGCTGACTACTCAACAAAGGACAAGATAAATCAGTGTACATGTGGATTCAAGAGTGTTCTATACTAAGAGAGTGCTGTAGAAGTCCCCATGGAATGTTACTAGATTCCTGGGATGATGATACTGAATAGTCTGGAATGTGGCATTCTTTGTCTCAAAGAGAGTCTTTAAAAAAATCTGTGTTCTGATGGTAGAGTTCCAATTTTGGCATTTTGCCTTCTGTGATAATAGATAGACTTTGACTCTAGGTAAATTTGTGGTGGAGCAAAAGTTCGTTTGGGGTTGTTCCACTTACCCCTTACTCTTTGCCCTCCCTAGTCATGTTTGTCCTCTTTTCTTTCTTTATAGGCAATGGCCTGATACTCATAGTCAGGAATAAATAAATAGTTATGGTTTAAAATATTATTCTTGAGAGTATTTTCATCTTTGTCTGGGAACAAACATGCTTATTTGTACTTGAGTTCTTGTCCTTCTACCATCATCACTGGAAAAACATCTCTGGGTAGTCACTGCCTCCCCAAACTGGACTCAGGATGGAACTTTTGAAGCAGTGTTACCTACCCCAAACAACTCAAACCCATAAGTATGAGAATAAATGATTATTTTAAGCCACTGAGTTTTGGGGGTGGTTTCTTATGCAGCATTATTGGCAATAGCTGACTGATACTCTCTACATCTTTAAAATTCATTTCACTGTGCAACTTCTGATGGGTAATGCTTGCTCTGATTATAGAAGTAGGGCAACCCTCTTTCCCCAAACACCTACTAGGGTTAAAGTTCAGATGATAGTAGATGTACCCCTATCGATTCTTTTAAAGTAGCTTGACTTTTTCTGCTAGTGTTGTCTTGAGTGGGTTAGTTAATCCCCATACATTATTTCTACACATTACAGGTTTTACTGGTTTTAATAGTACTCTGGAAGGTGGCTTGAGGTGGAGGAGTGATATGGTTTGGGTCTGTGTCCCCACCCAAATCTCATGTTGAATTGTAATTCCTGATGTTGGGGAAGGGACATGGAGGGAGGTGATTGGATCATGGGGGAATGGTTTCCCCTATGCTGTTCTTGTGATAGTAAGTGAGTTCTCATGAGATCTGACGGTTTTATAAGTGTTTGGCTCCTCCCCCACCCCATTCTGCCACCATGTAAAGAAGGTGCTTGCTTTCCCTTCGTCTTCTGCCATGATTGTAAATTTCCTGAGGCCTTCCAGTCATGCTTCCTGTTAAGCCTGTGAAACTATGAGTCAATTAAACTTCTTTTCTTCATAAATTACCCAGTCTCAGATTTCTTTATAGCAGTGTGAAAACGGACTAATATACAAGGAGGGATTGGGGAGGCTAAGAAGACATAACTCCAAGTGTTCTTAGTCTTACTTCAGGCTGGGCCGCCTCTTATTTCAGATATTGGCTTGTGGCAGTGTCAGTTTCCTAGTTTTGATCCTGTACTATGTTATGTGAGATGTTACCATTGGGGGAGGCTGGGTGAAGACTACAGTTGACCCTTGAACAACACGCATTTGAACTGTGAGGATTCACTTGTAGGTGGATTTTTTTTCAATAAATATATTAGAAAATATTTTGAAGATTTGCAACAATTTGAAAAAACAGACAAACCATGTAGCCTAGAAATATCAAAAAATTAAGAAAAATTAGATATGGCATGAATGCATAAAATGTATGCTAGTCTATTTTATCATTTACTGCCATAAAATATACAAAAATATATTATAGAAAATTAACATTTAACAAAACTTAGGCACACAAACACATACATGGCGCCATTCACCATCGAGAAATGTAAACAGATCTAAAATTGATTTATTAGTCATAACTTCATAAAATTAACTGTAATAAAACAGTACTATTGTAATAATTTTGTGGCCACTTCCTGTTGCTATTGTAGTGAGCTCATGTTGGAAGTATCCACTTAAAATGCCATGTGACCCTAATCATCTCGGCATGAGCAGCTCATTTCTCTGGTAAATTGCTTATCACATTAAAAAGTGATCTCTCTTGGTTCTTGCATGTTTTTTATTGTGTTCAGTGCAATACTGTAAACTTTAAATAACACCATGGGACCCCTATGAAATGCCACTAGTAATGCTGGAAGTGCTCCCAAGAAGCAGAGAAAAATCATGACAAGAAAAAGTTGAGTTGCTTAATATGTACTATAGATTGAGGTTTGCAGCTGTGTCCACTATTTCAGACAGATGATTCACCTTGTAAACAGATGATGTAAACTTACAGTATTGATAAATACAACACAGTACTGTAAATGTATTTTCTCCTCTTGATTTTCTTAATAACATTTTCTTTTCTCTAGCTTACTTTATTGTAAGAATACAGTATATAATATATATAACATACAAAATATGTGTTAATTGACTATGTTATTGTGAAGACTTCCAGTCCACAGTAGGCTGTTAGTAGTTAAATTTTGGGGGATGATACGTGGATTTTCAATGGTGTAGGTGGCGGGCATCCCTAACCCCCATGCTGTTGAAGGATCAGTTGTACATTAAATTTTTTTTCTGTGCATCTATAATTATTTCAGAATAAAGTTAAGAGTTAAAAGTATTGCCATATTATATAATGCTAATATAAGAGGATTATATATTAGCTAATATATATAAATATATCTTAAAAATGTATTATATATTTTTTCCTCTAATATTAGCTAGTATTACAATACTGTGCTTATATAATGTTTACAAGGTGAATAATATATATATACTAGCTAATATAAGCTAATGTTAGAGGAAAAGAGATAATTCTTCCTTTGTTACATGATTTATTTAAAGAAACGAGTGAATATTGACAGTTTATTGAGCAATCTATCCATCACTGATCTCTGAGGTGTTCTTTAGAGAAAAGTTAATGTGACAGAAAGAGTGTGTGTATGTTTATTCAGTCCCATCTAATCTAATTTAGAAGAGTTGCATGAAAGGACCCATTTGTTTTTTTTAGTTGTTATTGTTAATGTTAGCAAAAGGGAAGGAGATGATATTAGATAAAGAAAAAGAGAAAAGCAGATCGTCTTTTATGTGAGGTTATTGTTAGGGAGGTGGCACGTAAGAGAGGACTGGCAATTTTCAATTTTGGCAATCCAGAATGACTTCTGTCTTAGAAAATGAAAAGCAATTTATTTTCTTTAGGAGTGTTTAGCACTGTGAATGTTCACAGAAACATGTTTGTTTGCTGTCAGATATGTGGGAATAAGCTGAAGCCCATAAAAGTTGGATGGAGACTTAGCAACTTGGGAAATAAAATATTCTGACAGTTTCTAGCTTTGGACTTCAACCTATTTCAGTGATAGTAACATCAATGTCCTATGCTTTTCCCCATGGTTCTGTGATTTGACAATGTACAGTGTAAGCAAGAATAAGAGAAATACTTTTTCTTTTTTAAAAGATAATTTTAAAGGTTGTGATATGGCTTGTCTTAGTACTTCTTTTGGTATTTCAAAATACCTTATGATAAGAGACAATCTAACATGGGAAATAGTGAAACCACCTTTGCAAAATTATAACTGAGGAAATTATGATAATGAAAGAAATCAGATATAACCGATTCCATCTTGCTTCCAACCTTTAAGCTGTCCTTGTTCATTCCTGGGCATAGGCTGAACTAACCTTGGGAAGGAATTCAGTTCATGGTTTGACTCTGAAACAAAATTGATAAAAATTTTGTTTCCCAAAAAGACCCCTTTCTCACCTGGGGGCCAGTCTGCCTTTGTAGGACTAACAAATTAGTTACAAGATTAGAAATCACAGTTCAGGGGTCATGCAACCCCTGGCTCCAAGAGTCTGAACCTCCCCAGATTGCTCCTGGGGAGAACATCACTACTGTAAAACCTAAGATCAGTCCTTGAGATATTTTTCAGACTCTGTACTTACTGGGTCAGCTGAGACCATCCAGACCGGTAATCTGGCTCAACCAGTTCTGCCATCTCACCCAGGAACAGAAGACAGCAAGAAAAACTGACTTCGACTCCCTATGATTCCATCTCCAATCTGACCAATCAGCACTCCCCAATTCCCAAGACCCTACCCGCCAAATTATCTTTAAAAACTCTGATCCCATATGGGGAGACTGATTTGAGTAATAATAAAACTCTGGTCTCCTGCACAGCTGCTCTGTGTGAATTACTCTTTCTCCACTGCAATTCCCCTGTCTTGATAAATTGGCTGTCTAGGCAGCGGGTTGAGGTGAACCCATTGGGCAGTTAGAATAGGTCTGATAATATCTTCACGTATTCTGGCACGCCGCACTAACTAAACTTTGGAAAGTTTAGCAGCAGATCTATGGAAACTTATTTAATTTTACCCCAGCATATGAATAAATTTATCAAGAAGGAAGCGAAATTGGTTATGTCACTTTATTTTATAACTATTTTGTCCACATTTTCCTTTTTCTAAGGAATGAATATTTACTTGAAAGGCCCACAGACATTATTTAGTTATCTTTACCATGCATTTGTTTCTTTTAATATGGCACCATGTGGAAGTGTAGTTTTGCTCAACTCATACGTGTGTGAAAGAAAGCATAGTGAATATGACTAAGTGCATAGGCCCAGGAACCAGATGACCTGGGTTTAAATCCCAGCTCTTACTGTGACCCTCAGGCAAGTGCCTTCTTTTAACTCAGTTTCCTCATCTGTAAAACAGGAATTTCATTGTTTAAAATTGTGGGGTCCAATTATTCTGAGGTTAATAGTAAAGCAGTATTTTTCAGGTGCCCTGGCACAAAAGGGCTGGAAGTGCAAAAAGAAAGACAAATGGGACTGGAGCAATAAAATGGAAGATGAAGGGGTGATATCCAGAGATCAGAAATTGGAGATGCCCCTGGGCTGGCTGCTGCACCATTGGAGGCACTGTTAGAGTCAAGCTTGGATCTGCTGAAGAGGTGTCACTCAGCCAAAGGGTGCTGCCTCTGCCCTAGCTGGTCATCTGGATTCACTTCATTCACATAGCAGCAAGAGTATCTGCCACCAACTACCATACATTTGGAGTCAAGAGCCTTTCTCTTTTTTTTTTCAGCCTTCTCAGTTCCTTTCAGTGCCTAACAAGAGAAGCAAGAGAGCCTGGAAATGTAGTTTGATACCTCCCAGCCCTAGATGTTCACAGTATAGAAGGGTAGGTGGACTGAAAAACAACAGGTAAATAAGCTGTACAAAGACTTCATAATGTGCATATATCTTTTATAGTCAGTAACTGTGGCTGTCTCTAGGAAGGAGAACTCAGGGGCTGGAACATAGCAGTGGAGGGATACATTATTTTCACTCCTGGTTTTGGGGCTTTGTTTTTAAGGCCTTTAGATCCATAGAATTGAATTGATTATTTTCAGTTCATTGCACACTGATTTTGGTCCTTGTAAGTCATTATGCTCATTCCTTTCTCCCATTGTCACTCATGCCATGGATGTCTACTTCCCATACTTCTATGTAGATACATTGATATATATATATATATATATATATATATATATATATATATATATATATATATATATATTCACACTGTTATTTATGGTTTAAATTTAAAGAAATACTGTTGTGCTATCCATTTTCCCACGGTTGGGCATCTAAGTTGCCTGCAATTATTTTGCACAATGCTGAGATAAAGAGCTTCATCTTGGCCGGGTGCGGTGGCTCACGCCAGTAATCCCAGCACTTTGGGAGGCCGAGGCGGGCGGATCACGAGGTCAGGAGATCGAGACCGTCCTGGCTAACACGGTGAAACCCAGTCTCTACTAAAAATACAAAAAATTAGCCGGGTGTGGTGGCGGGCGCCTGTAGTCCCAGCTACTTGGAAGGCTGAGGCAGGAGAATGGCGTGAACCCGGGAGGCGGAGCTTGCAGTGAGCAGAGATTGCGCCACTGCACTCCAGCCTGGGCAACAGAGGGAGACTCCGTCTCAGGAAAAAGAAAAAAAAAAAGAGCCTCATCTTTTTCTTTTCTTTTCTTTTGAGGCTTTGTTGAGAGTTTCTGGGATACATACCCAGTGTGGTAGGCAGCCTCTAAAACGGCTCCCATTGATTTCTGCCTCCTGATATTCATGCTTTTTTTTAATGCCCTTCCTTTTAATATGGACTAGGTCTAGTGATTTTTTTCTAACAAAGAGAATATGTCAAATGTAACGCGATGTCACTTCTAAAATTGGTTTACAGAGAGACTGTGACTTCTGTCTTGCTCGCCATTTCTCATTCTCTCTTTTTGGAGCTCTTGCTCTGGAGGAAGTGAGCTGCCATGTTATAAACTGCCCTATGAAGAGGTCCATGTGACAAGGAACTGATGTCCCTGGCCAACAGCCAGTGAGGCCCTAAGGCCTGCAACACTCTGTGAGTGAGCCTGGAAATGAATCTTCTGAGCCTACCAACAACCACACTGATCCTTAAAATGGCTATAGCTCCAGGTCCTTGATTGCAGTCTTTCAAAAGACTGTGATTCAGGGCATTCAGGAAAGTCATGTTTGAATTTTTGACCCACGGAAACTTTGAGATAATAAGTGTTGTTTTATTATTTATTTTTAAGCCACCAAATCGGGGAGTAATTTGTTACACAGAAATAGAAAGTACATCCAGGAATGTGACTGTTGGGTTGTAGGATGCATATGTAGGGGGAAAATAACTCCCATACGTTTGTAATCGGAAAAGATCCCCGTTACAAAAGACAGATTAACAAGAGAAAAACAAGTTTATTAACGTGTATTTCATATGTACAAGGGAGATATCAATGATTAGTTCTCAAAGAAGTAGCTTTGAATTCTAGCTTTTATTTTATTTTCAACAAAGAAGAGTAAATTTTTAGAGAAGTGACAGCACAAAGGAAAAGGACTTGGAGTCTCTACAAGCAGCAACTTGTGGGGAAGGCAAACAAATGGCAGATAAAGGTTAGTAAAGCTTGTGAAAATAAATTTCCTCTGGTATCATTTCAAGGCTGATGAGGGTCTAAAGCTGTCTTCAGTGGTTAACCTCTGTTGTCTGTGGTAAAGAAGGGGTGGCAGGATACCTTTTTTCTTATAAATCTACGTTCTGCTTTCAGGCAGGTGGAGGGAGGGCAGAGAGCTCTCCTGCATCTGCTCCTTCTTCTTTTTTTTTTTTCTGGAGCCAGAATCTCATCTGTCACCCAGGCTGGAGTGCAGTGGCACCATCTCGGCTCACTGCAACTTCTGCTTCCCGGGTTCAAGTGATTCTCATGCCTCAGCCTCCCAAGTAGCTGGAATTACAGGCGCCCGCCACCACACCCGGCTAATTTTTGTGTATTTAGTAGAGATGGGGTTTCACCATGTTGGCCAGGCTGGTCTCAAACTCCTGACCTAAAGTGATCCACCTGCCTCGGCCTCCCAAAGTGCTGGAATTACAGGCTTGAGCCACTGTGCCCGGCCCATCTGCTGCTTCTTAATAATCTTTGGCTCAACAATCTTTTATTTAGGGGAAGCATATTCTGGTCTCTCACAGATAGCTAACTATAAGGACTGTCAAATTTCTTTCCTACCAGCAGTACATGAAGGTTTCTGTTTCCTCATAGTTTCACTAACACTTGATAATATCCGGCTTTTTCCCCCTAATTTTTGATAGGTATAAAGTGATATTCTAATTATATTTATTTGATTACATGCTGAGTATCCTTTCATATTACTCAATGGTTATTTAGTTTCCATCCTGGTCAGTATTTCTTCATACTCTTTGATTTTCCTTTCATGTTGATTTGAAGAAATTTCTTATATAATAGCCTTTGTTGGTTTTAGACATGGAAAATATATTGTTTGTTAAGTTTGTGTACGATGTCATTTGCTAAGCAAATATTTAACTTTGATGTAGTTATAGCCATAAATTTCTTCCTTTTTTTTTCTTTTTTTGAGGCAGGTTCTCATTGTCACCTAGGCTGGAGTGTAGTGGCACCATCACAGGTCACTGTAGCCTTGACCTCCTGGGCTCAGTGATCCTCCTGCCTCAGCCTTTTGAGTAGCTGGGATAACAGGTGTGTGCCAGCATGCCTGGTGAATTTTATTTTTATTTTTTGTGGAGACGGGGTCCCACCATGTTGCCCAGGCTAGTCTTGAACTCTTGGGCTCAAGCCATCCTCCTGCCTCGGCCTCCCAAAGTGGGATTACAGGCGTGAGCCACCATGCCCGGCCCATAAATTCTTTTTCTTTAAGGTTTGTGCTTCCCTGAGTCTTGTTTAGGAAGGACCACGGATGCCATAATTTAGATTTTTTTAAATAAGTAAAGGCCTTTGCTTTAAAAACTGTTGAATGAAGTGCCTTTAAAAATATGAACGAGGGTCGGGCGCATTGGCTCATGCCTGTAATCCCAACACTTTGGGAGGTTGAGGTGGGCAGATCATGAAGTCAGGAGATTGAGACCATCCTGGCCAACATGGAGAAACCTCGTCTCTACTAAAAATACAAAAAATTAGACGGGCATGGTGGCACGTGCCTGTAGTCCCAGCTACTTGGGAGGCTGAGGCAGGAGAATCCCTTGAACCCAGTAGGCGGAGGTTGCAGTGAGCCAAAATCACGCCACTGCACTCCAGCCTGGGCAACAGAGCAAGACTCCATCTCAGAAAAAACAAAAAAAATATGATCGAACACTGATGATCTTTTATTGCTCATCTCATCGGAATTTTCTTTGCATTACCACTATCAAGTACTTATTTTACAAATACTGTGGTAACTGTTAACCTATTCACAAATCTGGATAAAGATGAGATATGGCCTTTTAGTAAGTGACCCAAGTCAGGTTGACTGGAGAATCTAGTAAGAGTGAATTGAAATATTGATCCCCAAATTTCAGAAACTGTAAGATAAATATGTTGCAAAATAATAAAAATGTGTTTTCCTAATTTTTTTCCCCTCAGTGAAGGGGGAAAAACTTCTAATTCTTTTAAACAATAATTTTAGGTTCAATTAAAATGGCCACCAGGTGGCACCAATGCCTGATAAGTACTTCTGAAAATCAGAAGCATTATTCTCATACTTAAAATCTGTTAAAATTGACATTATAATTAAGGAGATAATTCTGGTCCCCTCCTAATTAGTCTTCAAGAAACTCTTTTTAGGCTCCAAGTTAGATGAAGTGTCTTGTCTCTGTGATCCTATGGCTAACAGTACTCACCAATTACTCTGTAATTGTTTACCTGAGTCTGTTTCTACTCGAGGTAGAGATCAGGACATTTTCAGCCTCACTAGGCCCCGAATAACGTGGCTTTTATTTATTTTTCTGGTAAACATTTGGTTATGAGTTAAAGCCAGGTTTGGGAGAAGTAAAATCTAAAATGTAGACTTTCCAATTTAAATAGGTCTTTCAATACTTATAAAATCTACAGGCTTGGGAAAATAGTGAAAATAAACATTTCGTTGTTTAAATTTTATATTTTGAATTGATAATGAAAAAAATAGTCAAAATTCTCTTCCTCATTCACTGGTCTGATCCACAAGTTCCCTTTCATTTTGGGAAATGGGCCTACAAGACACTTATGGCCCTTGAAAAATAAGTTTTATGAATGAGTATGTCCAAGGACTACAAGGCTGACTTCAAAGCAACAGTCTGGACTCCAAGTACGAAACTTAAAAAAAATCATTTATTCTAAATGGCACTAATGAGACTCAGGCTGCGTCTGTATCTGAGTATACTAGAAAGTCTCTATCAGCTGCTTCCCTTTTATCTTCTTAGAGATGACATCTTTTCTGTATGGTTGGTGCATTGAGAGACTCAGCCAAGTATCAGGCTTTCCATCCATGGGACACATGTCTCCGGAACCTTCCAGCTGTTCACTTGTGACCAATACTCAGAATGCCTTTACTATTGAATACACTTTTAAAAATGATCAATACCAACATTCCCCAAAGTGTGATTAGTGAAGCGATAGTCCTTCAAGAAACTACCTGTACTTGGGGAAAAAAAGTATCCTATCCTTGTTTCTGTCTTTGCAGCTTGTATTATCATATTGAAGACTCTGAAGCCCTTCAGCAGTGGTTCTCAATGGAGTGGTACCGCCCCCTAGGGGACATTTTGTAAATTTGTGGGAGTGTTTTTGTTGTCACAATAATTGGTCAGAAGCCATGGATACATGCTAGGTAACATTCGGCGCATCTAACAATGCTATAGAAGCAAGAATTGTCCTTCAACCCCTGGGACTTTCATTTGTCCTGACAATCATGTAGCTAAAAATATGTATCTAATTAAGCCTACTACTAATTGTGTTTAACATGTCAATACAAAGTTATTAGGATTTTATAGTAGACACTTGAATGTCTTAGGAATACATTATAGGAATGACAATATAAATCAAGGAGTACTTAGGAATGACAACATAAATCAAGGAAAGATTGTATCAAAAATAATTTTTTAAAAAGACATGGTCTTGAGGCCTGCAGGGGAAAATGGTGAATAGGCAGGACTAACTTGTAGCTCCCACTTGGACTGACAGAACAGCATGTGGAGACCACATCGTGAACTTTTGCTCCAAGAACTGCTGCAAGAACATACCAGGAAAACAGAAAGAATTCACAGACCCTTTGAAATAAGCGGCTTGCCACTGCAAACTCCAAGAAACAGCCGAAAAACTGTGAGTGCCCAAAGTGTGAGAGGGTGAAAGTCCACCTCTGAACACACATCCTCACCGAGGAGCTTGAAAATCTGGATCACGGGAGAGGGATTTAACCTTACCTAGAGCTGAAATGAATTTAGAGAGTGGAGAGAAATATAAAAGTAGAAGAGGCAGCAGGAAAGGCCTGTAGGCACTTCTGGCATCCAAGGAAGCCCAGGGAACCTATTTTGACTTTATTTCACAGGGGTCTCTGGGGAGGGCTGCCAGTGGAATTGCGGAAAGACCACAGGAAGAAGGAAACTTCCAGCTGAACTTTGTAGTAATTTCGACCAAGTGTGAATTTTCCAGGGCAGAATCCAGGGTTGGGGGCAAACGGGAAGTGCAGACACAGGCACAGAAGCCACAGCAGGAGGGGTGAAGCCTGAAAGCCCTGCTTGCTTTCTCAGAGGAGAGGCTTGTAGCTTGGGGCCAGTTCCAAGCCCTGCTCACCAGCTGCCTGGTTATAAAGTCCGTGTTGGGGGAGCACACTGGGAGTGAGACTGGCCTTTCTGGCTACCTGGGAGCTGGGTGAAGCCTGTCACAGCTGGCTTTCCCTCACTGACTTGGAGACTTGTCTGATGCAGCAGAGACAGCCATAATCCCTTTGGCATGAGAAACACACCCATATCTCCCACAGCAGGTGCAGCAAGCCCCACCCAAGGAGAGTCTGAGCTCAGACACGCCTAAACTTGCCCCACCTGATGGTCTTTCTCCACCTGCCCTGGTAGCTGAAGACAAAAGACATAATCTCATGGGAGCTCTATGGCCCTGCCCACCACCTGAGAAACCTGAATACTTATCCAGGTGACCCTAGGGCAAGCTTGTATCCTCCCTATGCTACCACAGCTGATGCTGCTTTGAAAGTGCCACCTCCCGGCTGGAGGCCAACCAACACAGCAACTCATAAAATAACAACCCTTCCCCCAAGAAGGAAAAAACAGCTAACTCCACTGCCTGTGACATCTTGGCTAACCAGAGGTCCTAAGTCTGTCCATGTGACAACTTTACTGCCAGCACAACTAGCATTCATGAAAAGTCGCACACTAAACAAAACTACAACCAAGGCCCCACACAGAGTCCACCTTATTCCCCGGCTACCTCCACCAGAGCAGGTGCTGGTATCCACTGCTGAGAGACCTGAAGACAGATGACATCACAGGACTCTTTGCAGATACTTTCCAGTACCAGCCTGGAGCCTGGTAGCTCTGCTGGGTGGATAGACCCAGAAGAGAAATAACAATCACTGCAGTCCAGCTCTCAGGAACCCCCATCCTTAGGGAAAGGGGGAGAGCACCACATTAAGGGAGCACTCCACGGGACAAAAGGATCTGAAGAGCAGCCCTTGGGTCCCAGATATTTCTCTGATATAGTTTACCCAAATGAGAAGGAACCAACAAAACAATTCTGGTAATATGACAAAACAAGGTTCTTTAATACCCCAAAAGATCACACTAGCTCACCAGCAATGGATCCAAACCAAGAAGAAATCTTTCAATTGCCAGAAAAAGAATTCAGAAAGTCAATTAGTAAGCTACTCAAGGAGGTACCAGAGAAAGGTGAATAGGAGTTTAAAGAAATTTAAAAAATTTTACAGGATATGGATGGGAAAATCTCCAGAGAAATAGACATCACAAGTCAAAAACAATCACAGCTTCTGGAAATGAAAGACACACTTAGAGAAATGCAAAATACATTGGAAAGTCCAACAATAGAATTGAACAAGTTGAAGAAAGAACTTCAGAGCTTGACACAAGGATTTTGAATTAACCCAATCTGACAAAGAAAAAAGAGTTTAAAAAAATGAACAAAGCCTCCAAGAAGTCTGGGATTATGTTAAATGACCAAACCTAAGAATAATTGGTGTTCCTGAGGAAGAAGAGAAATCTAAAAGTTTGGAAAACATATTTGAAGGAATAATTGAGGAAAATTTCCCTGACCTTGCTAGAGATCTGTGGGAGTTAAGGCAGGCTGGTGGGAAAAATTTTCAGGATAGTTATAAGAAATAGACACAAACCTTCTATGGAACCTGAAGGGGTTTGCATAACTTCAGTAATAGATCTGGCTGAAGGCAGCCTAATCCTCTTACCTTAAGTAAATAGCTTAAAGTAGGTACAAAGGAATGTAAGGGAGTTTACCTAAATAACTTGTTTACTCATGTGGTCCTAAAATTAACTTTTGATCATTTGCGGGCAGGATGGCTCTCTTGGGGGGAGGGGACCAGGTTAGTTAACCTCTAGTGATGTTGACTCAAAGCCTTTGTCATTTAATATATGCTGAATAAATTCCAGCAGGGCCAGTTAATCAGGGTCTCGGCTGCTACAACTCTTTTGGTCAGTGGCCTCACCCCCTAAGCCCACTCTTTCACTGAATATCAGTGTCTGAGTACGTTATTCATCTGTTGTGCAGCTGGGGTCTGTGAGATGGACCCTGGCAGAGATCTGGACATCCAAATACAAGAAGCCGAAAGAACACTTGGGAAGTTCATCACAAAAAGATCATTACCTAGGCACATAGTCATCGGATTATCTAAAGTAAAAACGAAGGAAACAGTCATAAGAGCTGTGAGGCAAAAGCATCAGGTAACCTATAAAGGAAAACCTATCAGATTAACAGCAGATTTCTCAGCAGGAACCCTCCAAGCTAGAAGGGATTGTGTTCCTATCTTTAGCCTCCTTAAACAAAACAATTATCAGCCAAGAATTTTGTATCCAGCAAAACTAAGCCTCATAAATGAAGGAAAGATACAGTCCTTTTCAGGCAAAAAAATGCTGAGAGAATTTGCCACTACCAAGCCGGCACTACAAGAACTGTTAAAAGGAGCTCTACATCTCTACATCTTGAAACAAATCCTCAAAATACACCAAAATAGAATGTTCTTAGAGGATAATTGTCACATGACCTATAAAACAATAACACTATTACAAAAAAAAAGGTATTCGGGCAACCGCTAGCACCATGAATAGAATAGTACCTCATCTCAAGACTAATGCTGGATGGAAATTGCCTAAATGCTCCACTTTTTTTTGAGACAGAGTTTCGCTCTTGTTGCCCAGGCTGGAGTGCAATGGCACGATCTCAGCTCACTGCAACCTCCACCTCCCTGGCTCACGTGATTCTCCTGCCTCTGCCTCCCAAGTAGCTGGGATTACAGGCATGTACCACCACGCCTGGCTAATTTTGTATTTTTAGAAGAGACGGGGTTTCTCCATGTTAGGCTGGTCTCAAACTCCTGATGTCAGGTGATCTGCCCACCTCGGCCTCCCAAAGTGCTGGGATTACAGGCGTCAGCCACCGCACCTGGCCAAATGCTCCATTTAAAAGATATAGAATGGCAGAATGGATAAGAATTCACCAATTAAGTATCTGCTATGTTCAAGACACTCTCCTAACACACAAGGACTCACATAAACTTAAGGTAAAGAGGTGGGAATAGACATTCCATGCAAATGAACACCAAAAGTGAACAGGAGTAGCTATTCTTATATCAGACAAAACAGATTTTAAAGTGACAATATCTCAAAAAGACAAAGAGGGTCATTATGTAATGATAAGAGTCTAGTCCAATAGGAATATATGACAATCCTAAATATATATGCACCTAACACTGGAGCTCCCAAATTTATAAAACAATTACTACTAGACCTAAGAAATGAGATAGATGGCAACTCAATAATAGTGGGGAACTTTAATACTCTACTGACAGTACTAGACAGGTAATCAAGACAGAAGGTCAACAAAGAAACAACAGACTTAAACTATACTCTAGAACCAATGGACTTAACAGATATTTACAGAATATTCTACCCAGCAACTGCAGAATATACATTCTGTTTATAAGCACATGGAACATTCTCCAAGATAGACCATATGATAGGCCACAAGAAAAGTCTCAATAAATTTAAGGAAATTGAAATTATATGAAGTACTTTCTCAGACCACAGTGGAATAAAATTGAAAATCAACTCTGAAAGGAACCTGCAAAACCATGCAAATATATGGAAATTAAATAATTTGCTCCTGAATGATCATTGGGTCAACAATGAAATCAAGATGGAAATTAAGAAGTTTCTTTGAATTAAACGATAATAGTGATACAACCTATTAAAACCTTGGGGATACAGCAAAAGCAGTGATAAGAGGAAAATTCATAGCATTAAATGCCTACATCAAAAAGTCTGAAAGAGCGCAAATGGGCAATCCAAGGTCACACCTCAAGGAACTAGAGAAACAAGAATAAATCAAACCCAAACCCAGAAGAAGAGAAGAAATAACAAAGATCAGAGCAAAACTAAATGAAATTGAAACAAAAAACAAATACAAAAGGTAAATGAAACAAAAAGCTAGTTCTTTGAAAAGATAAACAAAATTGATAGACCATTACAAGATTAACCAAGAAAAGAGAAGATCCAAATAAACTCAATTAGAAACAAAATGGAAGCTATTACAACTGATACCACAGAAATACAAAAGATCATACAAGGCTACTATGAACTCCTTTATGCACACAAACTAGGAAACCTAGAGGAGATTGATAAACTCCTAGAAAAATACAACCCTTCTAGATTAAACCAGGAAGAAATAGAAACTCTAAAACTCTGTTTAGAGTTGAAAAAAAATTCGCAAAGTTTTTTTTTTTTTAATTTTTTGAGACACGGTCTTGCTGTGTCATCCAGGCTGGAGTGAAGTGGCACAGCCTGGCTCACTGCAATGTCCGCATCCCAAGTTCAAATGATTCTCATGCCTCAGCCTTCCAAGTAGCTGGGATTGCAGGTGCATACCACCATGCCCTGCTAATTTTTGTATTTTTAGTAGAGATGGGGTTTCACCATGTTGGCCAGGCTGGTCTCAAACTCCTGACCTCAGGTGATTTGCCTGCCTTGGCCTTCCAAAGTGCTGGGATTACGGGCATGAGCCACTGCACCTGGCCATGCCAACAATTTAATTTTTTTTTCAAGATGGAGTCTTGCTCTGTCGCCCAGACTGGAGTGCAATGGTGTGATCTCAGTTCACTGCAACCTCTGCCTCTTGGGTTGAAGTGATTCTTCTGCCTCAGCCTCCTGAGTAGCTGGGATTACAGTCACATGCCACCACGCCCGGCGAATTTTTTGTATTTTTAGTAGATATGGAGTTTCACTATGTTGGCCAGGCTGGTCTCGAACTTCTGACCTCGTGATCCACCTGCCTTGACGTCCCATAGTGCTGGGATTACAGGTGTGAGCCTGGCTGACAACAAGTTTTTTAGCGAAAATTTGCCTAAAATTTTTTAGTAAAAAATTTTTTTGCAGCAAGATTGAAATGGCAATTAAAAAAACACCAAAAAGAAAAAAAGTCCAGGATTAGCAGATTCATAGCTGAATTCTATCAGACATTCAAAGAAGAATCAGTACCAATCTTGTTGACACTATTCCAAAAGATAAAGAGGGAATCTTCCCCAAATCAAACTAGGAAGCCAGTATCACCCTAATAGCAAAACGATGAAAGGACATAACCAAAAAAGAAAACTACAGACCAATATTCCTGATGAACATAGATGCAAAAAATCTCGACAAAATACTAGCTAACCAAATCCAACAGCATAAAGATAATCTACCATGATCAAGTGGATTTCATACAAGGCATGCAGGGATGGTTTAACATATGCAAGCCAATGAATGTGATACACCACATAAACAGAATTAAAAACAAAAATTACATGATCATTTCAATAGATGCAGAAAAAGCATTTGACAAAATCCAGCATCCCTTTATGATTAAAAACCTTAGCAAAATCGGCATAGAAAGGGCACACCTTAAAGTAATAAAAACCACCTATGACAAACCCACAGCCAACATTATACTGAATGGGGAAGAGTTG